>NC_000020.11:36920779-37223809 GCF_000001405.40 Homo sapiens | reverse complement strand
AAAGTTTTCTATTCTTTAAGGTGAGTAAAGGCATGAAAAAATCCTAGAACAAGAGTCTTCAAGGATGATAATAACACTGACCCAGCCCAGTAATATTTCCAACCTCTCCCATTCCGAGGCCTAAAATGTCTTTTTCTGGCTTTGGATGGATGGTAAACATCAAAAAAAAAAAAAGAAGAAGAAAAAGGAAAAGAAAAAAAGTAAATCTTTTCATGTGTCCTTTAAAATAAATAAGGGGAAAAATCCTTAAGCAGTACCTTTCATTCAAATCAGCAAGAATTGGGTTCTAATGATAGCTAGGATTTATTGAGTGCTTACCATGTGAAAGGCACTGGCTTTGTAAAGACTATCTCATTTAATCCTCACAATTCTGTAAGGTACTGCTTTTCAGATAAGGAAATAAAAGATGAGAGAGATGAAGCTGCTTTGCTCAAAATCAGACTGTGAGGAAGTGATCAGGCCAGTGTCAAGCTCAGGCACTCTGACTCAGAATCCATGCACTTCAGCTCCTTGTTAGACAGTCATGGTAGTTATCTGTACTGTTGCCCAAGTACTTCTCATTCTCCTTCTGAGCATGTGGTAGAATTCTACTTCCCTGCCCCCATGGAGTCAAGTGTGGCCACATGATTTGCTCTGGCCAATGAAATGTGGGCAGAAGTGAAAGCTTTAAGAATCAATGTGTGATTCTCTCTTTTCCTCTGACATGGACACAATGTCCAGATGCTTGCTCCTTCAGCCAGGGTCCTGGAGCAAAGATATCATGAAGCAGAGCCTCCAGTTGACCACCTAAAGAATCTAGCGTGGGGAAAAAATAAACCCTCATTGTTTTAAGCCACTGAGATTGGGAGTTTGTTATAAGCACAAACCAATCCATGTTGACTCTTAAAGTGTTTGAATTCTGTATGTCCCTTAAACATCTTCACAAAGAGGGGCTAATGCCAATAAATGAGAAATTTTAAAATTAGATTAAAATCAATGTAAATATCCAAAAGAGACAGAAAACATGTTAAATTTCTGAATTAAAACCCAAGTTTGAATGTGCAAATTATGCAAACCCAAGGCGCTTTTATGTGCAAACAGATCTGTAAGCCTTCCAAATATTTGATAGGTTTGAATGTAACACTTAAGGAAATCCTTGCCAAATCCACTGGTTTATAGTCTAAGTCAGGATCAAGGAATAGAGATAACGGGCTGGGCAAATAATTGAAGGATAGCTCTGGCAGTTTTCTGAAATACCATATCGAGGTGTGACAACCTCAAATCAAGGGCAAAGAAGAAAAATTAAAAATAAAGATACCTATCAAGTAATTCCTTCTAACGGCCTTCTTTCCTGCCTCTGTAATAACTATTTTATGACAACAGCCTCAATTATCATGTTGAATAGGGGTGTTGTTTTGCTTTAAAAAAAAAAACTGTAAAGGTTTATTACCAGAAGCTGTAAGGATATTACCATCTACTTTTGAATTCACAGCCACCTATGAATTCATAGCAGAACTATATTTAGGATCATTGCCTGTCATTGAGTCTAGGCAACTGGGTGAAATTATGGCAGTGGAGGAGGAGGGACGATGGCCCATCAGGTTGAATAGACACCCCCAAGAAGGGAGCTAGGAGCCTCACTTTGGCTCTTTGGGCTCTCTGCTGAGTTAACAGCGTTACAACTCACGCAAGGCTCAGAACCAGAGCAAGCTTTCTTGCAAAAAACACAACCCGACAAGTACTGACATCATTTCCACTGGAAAACAAACTGGAATGGAAGGCTCAGGCAAAGAAGTAGCCACAGAGCTTTGATTTGACACCTGCTGAGAGCACTTTCCCCATTCAGGGAATATACAGAGATGGCAAGAAATCCTTCCTGTCCCGTACACAAACCATAATTATAATAAACCAGGTTGCTGCTTTAATGGATGTACAAAGTGTTATGAAAGCACAGAAGGAACTGTGACCCAAGTCTGCCCATGGGTGGCCCCAAATGGGGAGTAGGAAACATTCCATAGCAAGAAGACTGAGGAGGAGGCTTGATGGGCTTAGCAGCCCTCCAATTTTGGGAGAGGTAGGAGGATTAGCAATAATACTCCATGCTATAAAAATAATCTGTCTTCAGAGTTAACTACTCTGCAATCTTCATCAAGATTAACTAGGTAATTCCCTATTTCTCTAACTCATTCTCTTAAGAACTCATTCATTTAATCTGTAAATGTGATCTTGAAATCATCATCCTACTGAAATGTCCATAAACAGAAGACTAGCTAAATAAAGAAAGATACATGCATATTATTAATTACTATGGAGCAATTAAAAAGAACAGACTAGGCCGGGCGTGGTGGCTCACGCCTGTAATCCCAACACTTTGGGAGGCCGAGGCAGGAGGACCATTTGAGGTCAGGAGTTTGAGACCAGCATGACCAACATGGCAAAACCCTGTCTCTACTAAAAATACAAAAAAATTAGCCAGACATGGTGATGCACGCCTGTAGTCCCAGCTACTCAGGAGGCTGAGACAGGAAAATGGCTTGAACCCAGGAGGCAGAGGTTGCAGTGAGCCAAGATCATGCCACTGCACTCCAGCCTGGGCAATAGGGCAAGGCTCCGCCTCAAAAAAAAAAAAAAAAAAGAATTGTGTAAAGTCTTCAGTGTCTCCTAATGATAGTGATAAGGAAGCTATCAGCTTTTAGGTTTTCACTTAGAATCCTGGCTGTAAACTCTCAGCACTAACTGGCCACCAAGGCCAGCTAATCAGGATCCAGCTTCGTGTGTGTTCTAAAGACATCCTGAGCATCCCCAGACAATGCAGATACATGGAGTGAGCAAAGGGCAAACTGCAGTGAACTTGCATCATTCTTGGTTTGCTCTCAGCCCCAATTTTAAAAGGTTTCCTAAGTTACAGCTTTCATTGTTGCACATAAACACCCGTAGGGCTGTTCCTAAATAGGGAACAGTTTAAAACAAATCCTTCTGCTCCTAAAATCTCACTATAAATGGGTCTCTGGAAACACTCAAAAGCAAAGCATTTTTATGCTACTCTTTTAAAGCAAATTTAGAAATAAAAATCGTAACTTTTTCCAAAGCCCTCTTTTAAAGAGTTCAGTGTAGGATCCCTGTTGATTAGCTGCTTCTTCCTTCCAACTAACAATGCAGGATTCGTTTTTATAATAGGAAAGGGACTTATTTCTCCACTTTAAATGCAGCTAAGCCTGCTTTACACTGGATCATGCTATTCCTTTCTTTGCCTGCACCACATGCCATATACATCTCAAAAAATGTTTTAACGCCAGGAAATGCAGTCTTTCTGCTGGGAGTAATAACACCCCTGTTTAGCTTATTACTGTCAAAAATGATGGTGCATTAGGGGCAATTAATGCTAATGAGAGCGTCCAAAACCGATGCTTCCCCTGACAGCCAGTCCAATGTCAATGAGGGCTATTACAGGACTTCCACACCAAACCACCGTTAATGCACTCTGACCAATGTCGAGCATTTCTTGGGAGGACAAACAGGACCCAATGACCTGCTCTGAGGCTCTAAGTGTGATTATTACTGAAATTACAAAGAAAAGTTGCATATACGGCAAAGGTCAAAGCCGACTCTCTCTCTCTCTCACACTCACACACACACACACACACACAAACACACACACCTCTAATGTAATAAGGAGGAAGAGAGAAGATTTTGTAATGCTTACTCCATCACTAGGGAGGAAAAGGAGAGTAAATGGCCTCAATGGGGGCTTATTATCATTGCATGAACAAGAGCTATTAGCCATTTCTGCTATTTTGTACTTAGATAATTTTTCCAACAATCACAGAAACACTTGGACAAACACCAGATTTGATGTTACAAAATGCCAAGCTGTTACAGTAATCAAGACAGCGTGGCACTGGCATAAGGACAATACAGATTAATGAAATAGAATTATGAGTCCAGAAATCAACCCTTACATTTATTGTCAAGTGATTCCTACAAGGATGTATGTGCCAAGGCAATTCGTTAGGGAAAGAACAGCCTTTTCAACAAATGGGTCTAGGACAACTGCAAAAGAAGACTGGACCCCCTACATCACACCATACACAAAAATTAACTCACAATGAATCAGAAACCTAAGGGTAGGAGCCAAAAGTATAAAATTCTTTTAAGAAAACATAGTAGTAAATCTTCTTAACCTTGGATTACATAATGGCATCTTAGACATGACACCTAAAGCACAAACAACAACAACAAAACATTTTAAAACTGGACTTCATCAAAATTAAGATTTTTTGTGCCTCAAAAGACAACATCATGAAAGTGAAAATACAACCTTCAGACTGTGAGAAAATATTTGCAAATCATGTATTTAATAAGGAACCTCTAACCAGAGAAACCCTTACAACTCAATAATATAAAAAGATAAATAAAAGGAAATAAGAGGTGTATAGATTGTAGAAGGAAGAAAAAAAGACCAAAAACATTTTTTTCAATGGACAATGGATTTGAATAGACATTCTTCTAAAGAAGATATGCAAGAGACCAATAAGCACATAAAGAGATACTCAACATTATTACCTATCAGAGAAATGGAAATCAAAACCATAATGAGACACCACTTTATACCCACTACGATGGCGAAAATCAAAAAGTCAGATAATAACAAGTGTTGGTGAGGATGTAGTAAAATTGGAACCCTCACACATTGCTGGTAGAAATGTAAAATGGTGCAGCTGCTTTGAAAACTTGTTAGTTTCTTGAAAAGTGAAACACCGAGTTACCATATGACGCAGGAATTCTATTCCTAAGCATATACCTGAAAGAACCAAAAACAAGTGTTCAAACAAAAAGTTATATACAAATGTTCACAGCAGCATTACTCATAAGAGCCAAAAAAGAGAAATACCTCAAATGTCATTAACTGATAAGTCGGTAAACAAAATGTGATATATCCATACAATGGAATATTATTTTGCCATAAAAAGAAATAAAGTACTAATACATGCTACAACATGGATGAACCTTAGAAGTATTATGTTAAGTGAAAAAACAAAAAAGCCAGACACAAAAGGTAACCTATTGTATGATTTCATTTACACAAAATGTCCCAAATAGGCAACCACAGAGACAGAAAGCAGAAAGTAGGAAGAGAGAATGAGGAGTGCCCACTAAAAGATATAGCATTGCTCTCCAGGGTGATAAATATATTCTGGAATGGCATTGTGGCAAGGGTTGCACAAGTCTGTGAAAATACTAAAAACACTGGATTGCATAGTTTTGTTTTTTTTGTTTTTTTTTTTAGCAGAGACGGGGTTTCCCCATGCTGACCAGGCTGGTCTCGAACTCCTGATCTCAGGCGATCCACCTACCTCGGCCTCCCAAAGTGCTGGGATTATAGGTGTGAGCCACTGCGCCCAGGCTTTTTGTTTTTTTGAGACAAGGTCTCACTCTGTTGCCCAGGCTAGAGTGCAGTAGTGTGATCATAGTTCACTGCAGCCTCAAACTCCTGGGCTCAAGGGATCCGCTTGCCTCAGCCTCTTAAGTAGCTGGGACAGGTACATGCCACCATACATGGCTAATTTATTTTTAAATTTTTGGTAGAGATGGGATCTCCCTGTGTTGCCCAAGCTTGTCTCTAACTCCTGGGCTCAAGCGATCCTCCCACCTCAGCCTCCCAAAGTTCTGGGATTACAAGCGTGGTGGCTCATGCCCAGCCTGAATTACATACTTTTAATTGGTAAACTTTATGGTATGAGAATTATACCTCAATAAAGCTGTTATTAAATCAATAAATAAAAGCTAACTCTTGGCCGGGCCTAGTGGTTCACATCTGTAATCCCAGCACTTTGGGAGGCCGAGGCGAGGCAGATCACCTGAGGGTCAGGAGTTTGAGACCAGCCTGGCCAACAAGGCAAAACCCCGTCTCTACTAAAAATACAAAAAAATTAGCCAGGCATGGTGGCGTGTACCTGTAATCTCAGCTACTCAGAAGGCTGAGGCAGGAGAATCACTTGAACCCGGGAGGTGGAGGCGGAGGTTGCAGTAAGCCAAGATCGTGCCACTGCACTCCAGCCTGGGTGACAGCAAGATTCCATCTCAAAAAAAGAAAAAAGAAAAAAAAAAGCTAAGTCTGGAAGATGAATTGCCAGAGTTCTGAAGGGCCTGCAATGTGGAAAAACATCTTTAGACCACTCTATCCTTTTCTTCCTCTAAGTAATGTTAAATGGAAACCAAGCACTGAAAAAATAAGATTTAGGCCGGGCATGGTGGCTCACGCCTGTAATCCCAGCATTTTGGGAGGCCGAGGCAGGCGGATCACAAGGTCAAGAGATCAAGACCATCCTGGCCAACATAGTGAAACCCCGTCTCTACTAAATATACAAAAATTAGCTGGGCATGGTGGCGCGTGCCTGTAGCCCCAGCTACTCGGGAGGCTGAGGCAGGAAAATCACTTGAACCCAGGAGGCGGAGGTTCCAGTGAGCCGGGATTGCGCCACTGCATTCCAGCCTGGTGACAGAGCGAGACTCTGTTTCAAAAAAAAAAGAATAATAATAATAATAATAATAATAATATTTAGTTTTCACCCATAGGAGTTCTCAGCCCAGTGAAAAAGCAATGCAGGTGGTGGTTCACGCCTATAATCCCACTACTTTGGGAGGCAAAGGTGGGCAGATCGCTTGAGCCCAGGAGTTCGAGAGCAGCCTGGGCAACATGGCAAAACCCAGTCTCTAGAAAAAAATACAAAAATTAGCTGGGCATGGTGGTGCATGCCTGTAGTCCCAGCTACCTGAGAGGTTGAGGTGGGAGGATCACCTGAGCCCAGAAGGTCAAGGCTGTAGTGAGCCATGATCACGCCACTGCACTCCAGCCTGGGTGGTAGAATGAGACCTTGTCTCAAAAAAAAAGAAAGAAAAAGAAAAAGAAAAAGCAATGCATATAAACAAACAATGGTAATATAATGCAATAAGTACAATTATAGAAAAGGGTGTAAAATACTACAGCAACAAAAATGAACTTCAGATAGACCGAAGCCTTAAATATAAGGGGGAAAACAACTTTAAAAATGTTCAAAAGACACTGGAGGGCCAGGTGCAGTGGCTCACGACTGTAATCCCAACACGTCGGTGGGCCAAAGCAGGCGGATCATTTGAGGCCAAAAGTTGGAGACCAGCCTGGCTAATATAGCAAAACCCTGTATCTACTAAAAATGCAAAAATTAGCCAGGTGTGGTGGCATGCACCTGTAGTCCCAGCTACTCGGGAGGCTGAGGCAGGAGAATCGCTTGAACCCCGGAGGCAGAGGCTGCAGTGAGCCAAGATGGCACCACTATACTCCAGCCTGAGTGACAGAGCGAGACTCTGTCTCAAAAACAAAAATAAAAATAAAAAAAGAAAACATTGGAGAATATCTTTTTGACTTTGGGGTAGCACAGGATTGTTTTAAAGAAGATATAAAAAACACAGTCTAGCAAAAAAACTTGTATTTTATTTATTTATTTATTTTTTTGAGACAGAGTCTGGCTCCATTGCCCAGGCTGGAGTGCGGTGGCACGATCTCAGCTCACTGCAACCTCCACCTCCCAGGTTCAAGCGATTCTCCTGCTTCAGCCTCCCGAGTAGCTGGGATTACAGGCACGTGCCACCACGCCTGGCTACTTTTTGTGTTTTTAGTAGAGATGGGGTTTCATCATGTTGGCCAGGCTAGTATTGAACTCCTGACCTCAGGTGATCCGCCTGCCTTGGCCTCCCAAAGTGCTGGGATTACAGGTGTGAGCCACCTCACCTGGCCCTAGGAAAAGACATTTAAATTAGGCTTCATTAAAATTAAATTTTGTGCTTCAAGAGATGCCATAAAGCAATTCTAGGGGAAGATATCTGATGCTCACAACTAAACATATATCACTCCTAAAAATCAGTAATAAGACTAACAAACCAAAAGAAAACCAGGCAAAGATATAAAACAATTCACTGGAAAGGAAATGTAATTGGCTAATAAATATATAAAAAGATGTTTAACTTTACCAGTAACCAAGGAAAGACATTAAAACAAGATACCTTTTCATATGCATCAGATTACTAAAACCTAAAAATACCAAATATTGGTACGAATATGGAGAATAGAGCAATTTGGTGACTGTAACAGCAAAAGACTCATGGAAAAGACAATCAGAGGTGGAATCAATAGGACTTGGTAACTGACTAGAAGGTAGAAGTGAAAAGAAAGGAAGGGGTTAAGAACTGTGAGGTATAAGCCTGGCATTTAAGATGGACTCGAAGTACAGGGAAGAAGAGGTTTCAAGAAAAAAAAAGAAAAGAAAAAAAGAACTTTCCTTTTAATATGTTCAGTTGCAAATAAGTCCTCTTAACATAGGAAACTAACATTATAAGAATGTGGATTTGAAAGGATCAAGGCATACGCTACAATAGCTTCTATCCATAGTGAACGAACTAAGATCAGATGTCTCATGCTAAAAAGGTCAACACATGAGGTGAAGAGATTCGAGTTCCAGAAAACATCTTCCTTTCTGCCAAACTTTAAATGCAAGTGTTGAATCTACCTATGGGAAGTAATGCCGCATTTTTGAAAAGGTCAAACTTTCTAGCTATTAATTCTGTCATTAAAAGAAAGCAAGTGTCACAGGAGCCAATTTGAGGAGCTCTCCAAAGGCCAAACCTAGGATAAAATGAGCAACAAGATAAATGAGTCATGGACCACAATGTATATAGTAAAATAAATGTCCATGATGCAATTATTGTAAACATATGAATTATAGAAAATATATTACATTATAAACATGTTATGATAAAGAATTATGATAGTTATAAATAAAATGGTATAAAACACAGTTATTTTCTTACAGCAGAATTCCAATTTTTAAAATGTAGAAGGAATGAAAGAGAAAATCACCCTTTGGCAAACACCACAGTAATAACTATTACAGACAACATCATTAGGATACTTACAGAGTCTCAAAGTACCACCCCACAAGACACTTAAATACAAGCAGAAAAACAGCAACTTTACAGCAGAGAAACCTAGCACACAATCACCTTACTCAAGTGATCAAGGTTAACATGACCTGTAATAAGACATATCGACATCATATACTTCTTGTTCTGAGTAGGGCAGAGCATTACTTTTGGGATAGAACTGCGGAAAATGCATGACCTGAACCTGATCATGAAGAAACATCAGACAAACACAAACGGAGAGACATTCTACAGATTGAGAGCCCATCCTCTTCAAGTGTCAAGGTCATGAAAGACAAAGAAACCATCTTAAATTGGAAGTAAGAAAGTAGGAAAATGTGTCACTCATCTTAAATAAACTTCTATCTAAAAAGATTACAATGAAAGCCACCATGCCAGATGGGGTAAATTTCAATTAGCTGGGAAAAATACTAAGGTGAACTACCTCTTTCCCACAAAGCATCAGGTAAATAAGGCTTTCTATCCTTAAAGCTACTTCGATCTTCAACCCAGCTAGAGTTAGCTAAACATCAACAAAGTTCATTATGAAAGATTACTGATTTTCTTTTATCCTTTACCCAAATAGCTTCATTATAGTGTTACGTATGTGTCACTTGGTGCTTTTTGTCACCTATTTGGCATCAAGCACTTTTCTAAACCCACCAAAGCCTATCACACAAAACACTTTAAGAGTTTAAGGCTCAGTGGAATTATGGGTGATTTTTATTTTTTCTACTAACTAAATTTCATGTAAGACAGTAATGCTAAATTATAATGGAAAATGAAAAACTTACAAATAAAAGAAAATTCACTATGACCAAGTTCTTGATTTACTGCCTTAGCTACTAAGTCTGTCAAACAGCAAAGACTGAATGCAGCCCTCCCTCCACATAAACACATTAGCTTGGTTGTAGAGAAAAGTCAATGCACCAGACAATTAATACTGTGTCAATTTGGCCATATCCTTGGATATACTAACATGGCAATGGGAAGGAAAGAAAAACACCTACCTCTACGGTATTTGCAATATACCGGTTGTCACCTTCAACTTCGACAAGGAAGTCATAATAACCACTGGAAAATTTGACGTTCATGAAATTTAGTTCAAAAACATCCCTGTTAAGAATGACAATGGGCTTAGCAAGAACTCAGGTAGGAAAGTCATGGATATAACAAACAGGAGCTACAAAATGTCTCCTGGAGACTGTCCAAGGCTAGCCAACTCCTTACCTTTTTGACTTCCCACCCCACTTGGGCAATCTCGTGCTTCTTATTTTTTTTTTATTTTGAGACAGGTTCTCACTGTCACCCAGGCTGGAGTATAGTGGCACGATCACAGCTCACCACAGTCTCAAAACTCGTAGGCTCAACTGATCCTCCCACCTCAGCCTCCCTGGTAGTTGGGACAGCAGGCATGCACCATCACGTCCAGATAATTTTGCAGTTTTTTGTAGAGACAGGGTCCTGAGATCAAGTGATCCACCTGCCTCAGCCTCCCAAAGTGCAGGCTGGGGCATGAGTCACCATGCCTGACCCTCGTGCTTAATCACAGATTGGCATGTGGAGAAAAGTATCTAAGATGAACACCCCTAGGTTTCCAACGTTTTCTTTTCCTTTGTTACTCCCACCACTCCTAAAATTCAAACTCCTGGTAGCTTTCCACAGTGTAATGTAAAATTGAGAAGTTTACAATGTGATCCCACATATGTTTCACAATGACAACAAAAATGTAGAGGAAAATACTCCAAAATGTACAAAGAGGTTGGTGTACGATAGTATAATTGTGGCTAATTTTTTGGTATGATTTCTACCTTTCCGTGTTTTGTGAATTTCTCAAAAAGGACATATCTTACTTTTATTAAAAATATTTATTTTTATTTTAAAGGGAAAAAAAGGTAGAGAATTCCTTACTCTAACTATATAGTAAAATCTCAATGTCTTTTACCACTCCATTGACACGCCTAAAAATGATTTTGCTTTTTAATTTCACATATTGCCTATGTATCCTTATGATTAAGAAACGCATTTTCTCTCTAAAATTGAAAACTCCTGATCTCAATAACTTATTACCTAATTTAACACTTCAAAAAGTTCCATATAAGGCCAGTGGCTCACACCTGTAATCCTGGCCCTTTCGGAGGCCAAGGCAGGCGGGTCACTTTAGGTCAGGAGTTCGAAACCAGCCTGGCCAACATGGTGAAACCCCATTCCTACTAAAAATACAAAAAAAATTAGCTGGGCATGGTGGCGGGTGCCTGTAATCCCAGCTACTTAGGAAGCTGAGGCAGAATTCCTTGTACCTGGGAAGCAGAAGTTGCAGTGAACCAAGATCACGCCACTGCATTCCAGCCCAGGCAACAGAGCGAAACTGTCTCAAAAAAAAAAAAAAATTCTATACAATTAGCTGGGAAAAACACTAATTCATATAAAAATTGACCCTTAATTTTTTTCTTTTAGAAACAGGTCTTACTATGTTGCCCAGACTGGTCTTAAGCTCCTCGGTTCAAATGATCTTCCTGCCTCAACCTCCAAGTAGCTGGACTACAGGTACCTGCTACTGTGCCCAGCTTGACCCTTAGTTTTTTGTTTTTGTTTTTGAGACAGAGTCTCCCTCTGTCACCCAGGCTGGAGTGATATGGTATGATCATGGCTCACTACAGCCTAGACCTCCCAGCCTCAAGCGATCCTCCCACCTCAGCCTCCCAAGTAGCTGGAACTATAGGCAAGCCACACACCCAGTAAACTGGGCCTTAGTTTTTAAAAAATTACATAGCAATAATATGCAGCCATTAAAAATCATTGTAAAGGCCAGGCATGGTGACTTACAACTGTAATCCCAGCACTTTGGAGGCTGAGGTGGGAGGATCACCTGAGGTCACACGCCTATAATCCCAGCCACTCGGAGGCTGAGGCAGTTCAAGACCAGCCTGGCCAACATGGTAAAACCCCATCTCTACCGAAAATACGAAAATTAGCCGGGCATGGTGGCAGGTGCCTGTAATCCCAGCTACTTAGGAGGCTGGGGCAGAAGAATCATTTGAAGCTGGGAGGTGGAGATTGCAATGAGCAGACATCACGCCACTACACTGCACTCCAGCCTGGGCAACAAGAGTAAAACTCCATCTCAAAAAAGAAAAAAAAAAATTGTAAAAGAATATTTAATCCTATAAAAAAAAGTTTGTGGCACATTGTTACATATAAAGCATACCCTGATTTTTTTTTTTTTTTTTAATAGAGATGGAGCCTCGCTCTGTCGCCCAGGCTGGAGTGCAATGGCGCGTTCTCAGCTCACTGCCAACCTCCGCTGCCTGGGTTCAAGTGATTCTCTTGCCTCAGCCTCCGGAGTAGCTGGGAATACAGGCGTGCACCACCACGTCTGGCTAATTTTTTTGTATTTTTAGTAGAGATGGGGTTTCGCCATGTTGGCCAGGCTGTTCTCGAGCTCCTGACCTCAAGTGATCCGCCCACCTTGGCCCCCCCAAAGTGCTGGGATTACAGGCGTGAGCTGCCACACCTGGCCCCCATCTCTAATTTAAAAAAAGGCCGGGCACAATGGCTCACGCCTGTAATCCCAGCACTTTGGGAGGCCGAGGTGGGTGGATCACTTGAGGTCAGGAGTTCAAGACCAGCCTGGTCAACATGGTGAAACCCTGCCTCTACCAAAAATACAAAAATTAGCCAGGCGTAGTGTCACACACCTGTAATCCCAGCTACTCGGGAAGCTAAGGCAGGAGAATTGCTTGAAGCCGGGAGGTGGAGGTTGCAGTGAGCCGAGATCACACCACTGCACTCCAGCCTGGGTGACAGAGGAAGACTCCATCTCAAAAAATAAATAGATAAATAAATAAAAATTACAGATGGGGTCCTGCTATGTTGCCCAGGCTGGTCTCAAACTCCTAGGCTCAAGCAATCCATCTGCCTCAGTCTCCTAAAGTGCTGGGGTTACAGGTATGAGCCCCATGCCTGGCCCTTAACTGAATTTTTAAAATTTATTTACATACATAGAAAAAAGACTGTCAAAAAAAAATTATAAAATGTTAGCAAGGCCAGGCACAGTGGCTCATGCCTGTAACCTCAGCACTTAGGGAGGCCGAGGCAGGTGGACCACCTGAGGTCAGGAGTTCGAAACCAGCCTGGCCAACATGGGGAAACCCTGTCTCTACTAAAAATACAAAAAATTAGCCGGACGTGGTGGCGGGCACCTGTAATCCCAGCTACTTGGGAGATTGAGGCAGGAGAATCGCTAGAATCCAGGAGGCAGACGTTGCGGTGAGCTGAGATTGCACCATTGCACTCCAGCCTGGGCAACAAGAGCAAAACTCCGCCTCAAAAAAAAAAAAAAAAAAAGTTAGCAAAAGTTATCTCTGAATGGTAGCATTATGGGTAAGTTATATTTTCTTTTTTTGTGCTTTGCTGTATTTTTCCTATAATAAACATTATTATTTATCAGAAAAAAATCAATAAATATTAAATTTCAAAATAGCTACTTATGTCACAATGACAAGACAGAGCCAACTAGAAACAGAGAATGAAACAGTAAAACCAAATAATCTTCATTTTAAAAATCATTTTCTTACATTCGACTGTAGGCTTTCGATACCAGTAGATCAAATTTACCTAACTGGAATGTATTAATCTGTTACACTGGCTGCAGGCTAACTTTCCAAAACAAAGAGGTCAGCGCCCCACCAAAATATGATCAGGACTTACCCTACAGGGGTGAAGGATGTCTTCTGGAGGACAGTGGCTCTGGAAGCAACAGATTTAGCATGTTCTAGTTTAACAGTGGCCTGAGTCAGAGGCTGAGACAGAACATTGGTGACTTGCAACTGGAAATAAATAAAAAATTATTTGTTACAACAAAGGCTACAGGAGCAGAGAATTTTGTTTCTGGGGTGCTTTATCTATAGGTTGCAAGCTCTGCAGGAGAGCAAATCCCCTGCTTCGGGAAATCTTGGCTGACCTTGGGCCTGCTGCCTAATCCTAAAGTGAATTATTACAGGCATGAGTCACCACACCTGGCCAATATATTGCCTTCTTTCTGATTCCCTATTCTATCCACTCTACTACAGAATCTTTAAAAGAATTTATCAGACTGGGCATGATGGCTCATGCCTATAATTGCAGTGCTTTGGGAGGCTGAGTCAGGAGGATCACTTGATGCCAAAGAGTTCAAGAACAGCGTGGGCAACATGGCAAGACCTCGTTTCTACCAAAAAAAAAAAAAGTTTTTTAAATTAAAAAATTAGCTGGGCATGGTGGCATGTGCTTGTAGTCCCAGATACTCAGGAAGTTGAGGCAGGAGGACTGCTTGAGCCCAAGAGTTAGCATGAGCTATGATTGCGCCACTATACTCCAGCCTGGAAAACAGAGGGAAACCCTGTCTCTGAAAAAGAAAAAAAAAAATGTCTCAGCTAGACTGGGTGCAGTGGCTCATGCCTGTAATTGCAGTACTTTGGGAGGCCGAGATGGGAGGATCACTTAAGGCCAGGAGTTTGGGACCAGCCTGGGCAATACAGTGAGACCCCGTCTCTACTAAAAAATTAATAAATAAATCAGCCAGAAAAATACTTTAGAATGGTATCAGCAATGGGAAAATTAAAGAAATATGGATAATATTAATAACTATCATTTGTTGAAAGTCAACTATATGCATATACCAGGCTAGGCCCTTTACATACATTCTCCTATCAATTGTACGACACAGATAGAATAATCCTTATTGCACAGGTGAAGAAACAAGCCACAAGAGGTTAAGGGACTGCTAAAGGTCACATGGCCAGTTAAGCAGTTGAGCCAGGACTCAAACCATCTATTTAACTTCAGAGTCAATTCTTTTTCCACTTTGTTCTCTTAGCCCCTCTTGACTCACAGGAAACCATGTTACTCAGGTTACTTTCTACCCAAGTCTTTGTTGAGGGTATATGAGTTGTATGTAGGGAGAAAATGGGCAATTTTGAAGAACAGGGTACTCGCTCAGGAGGATATCTGCAGGGGCCACCAAAGTAGAACTAATGGGACAGACAGAACTGTCCTAAGTGGAAACCCAACACTTAGACATTAATAAAATGCTAATTTCTCATGAAGATCTTAGCTTATCACTGGTTCCAAACAACAGCAACAAAACGCCTCATTTGAGATAAAAGTTCTAAGCATATTCAAGATCTGTGCATGTGCTCTGTTCAACGAGTTAACACAAAGGAGAAGTCTATGCTTACTGCTGAGTGAAAGGGAGGACTGTGCTATAAAGAGGCAAAAAGATATCCCATCAAGGACCAGGGAAAAAGAGAACTGATCAACCATAAACACCAGAATTAATTGAGAATTAAAACAGCTGTCGTAAAATAACATATTTAGAAAATTTGGGTACTGGAGGAAGCCTACGCTGCAGTGGGCCATGATCGCACCACGGCACTCCAGCCTGCGCGACATAGCGAGACCGCGTCTCAAAAAAAACCAAAACAAAACCAAAAAAATATGAAAAAGAAAGTTTGGTATTGGGAAGTGCATTTTAGATGCAAGACTTCTCTATACATCTGGAGTTATAGACCTAGAAATGCAATATTCCTGCACTTACTGAAAGCCTGTATTTTTTTTTTTTTTTTTTTAGACAGGGTCTCACTCTGTCACCAGGTTGGAGTGCAGTGGTGCAGTCTCGGCTCACTGCAACCTCTGCCTCCCAGGTTCAAGCGATTCTCCTGCCTCAGCCTCCTGAGTAGCTGGGACTACAGGTGCGCACCACCAGGCCCTGCTAATTTTTGTATTCTTAGTAGAGATGGGGTTTCACCATGTTGGCCAGGATGGTCTCAATCTCTTCACCTCATGATCCGCCTGCTTCAGTCTCCCAAAGTGCTGGGATTACAGGCGTGAGCCACAGTACCCAGCCAAGCCTGTACTATTTAAAATCCTCTAGGGAGAGGCCAGGCACAGTGGCTCATACCTGTAATCTCAGCACTTTGGGAGGCTAGGAGTTCAACACCAGCCTGGCCAACATGGCAAAACCCCATCTCTACTAAAAATGCAAAAATTAGCTAGGCATGGTGGTGTGCGCCTGTGATCCCAGCTACTTGGGAGACTGAGGCACAAGAATCACTTGAACCCAGGAGGTGGATGCAGCAGTGAACCAAAATCATGCCACTGCTTTCCAGCCTGGGTGACAGAGCAAGACTCTGTCTCAAAAAAAGAAACAAAAATTAAAAATCCACGAGGGGAAAAAAATTTTTTTAATAGATTTGAAGGGTTCTGTGGCTAGTTCACCGAGTGGTCATGTCTCCATTTCAAGGCTCAGGGAAATGAGCCTTGCCCTCCATTTAATGGGTATGTCCTTGTAGGGGCTGTAATTGGCTGTGACCATAGTCCAGATTTCTGAAAGCCTTCCACTAGGAATGATAATCAGAGGGGCACACTTTGGGCATGGATGTCTTACCCGCAAGATAGCCTGTTCATGAGTGTCGGAAGCAGAGCCCTCAGGCACAACCACAACTGGCACGTGGTAGCGATTATGCGAGAGCACAGCAGCTGCAGAGGCCACGCTGAAGGCTTCGGAGAGGGACTCAAAGTTCTTCTTGCTGAAGATCGCGTTCATCAGCTGGATGACCTGATCCTGAAAGAAATGCGAAATGCAGCTGTTTCTCTTCCTCTGCTGGGAAGGTGGGAGGGCCACTGCTGTAGAGGAAAGTCACCCTTATCTGTTTCGGGTGTTCACATGGGAGGTCTTTTGGTCAATGATCCAAATTCGTAGATGGAGAAAACGCAAATATTCTGCATTTAAACTTAGAACTTGGATGTGGTTGTTTTTTTTTCCATCTTCCTTTATAAACTGAAATTCATGATTTGTCAGTTATTTAATAAGTGCTTATTATACAGGCCAGGTGCAGTGGCTCACGCCTGTAATCCCAGCACTTTTGGAGACCAAGGCAGGTAGATCCCTTGAGGTCAGGAGTTCGAGACCAGCCTGACTAACATAGAGAAAAACCCCAACTCTACTAAAAATACAAAAATTAGTCAGGCATGGTGGCATGCGCCTGTAATCCCATCTACTCAAGAGGCTGAGGCACGAGAATTGCTTGAACCCAGGAGGTGGAGGTTGCAGTGAGCCAAGATCGCGCCACTGCACTCCAACCTGGGCGACAGAGAAAGACTCTGTCTGAAAAAAAAATCATAATAATGCTTACTACACAAATGCAGGGTACTTCCAGATAACTACTGAGATATGAAACTATATTATGAAATATATATAATAGTAATTATTTGTTAATGTCTATATATGCCAGGCATCATGATAGGTGCTTTACATGCATTAACTCAAATTTTGACAAAAACTATAAAAGATTGCTATTATCAATGTTTCCCAAAAAATGAAACTGAGGCTAAAGGAGGCTAAATAACTTCTGCAAGTTACCACAACATTAGCAAGACCAACATTCAAATGTAGGACTGTTTGTCTCCAAAGTCCTTCTACAAGAAAATCTGTTCTTTCCTGATTCTCATTATCCTCCCAGCTAAGCTACCTTTCCTCCCAACCTACTTGTAAGTAGTACATTGAGGCAAAGTTTTTATTTATAAGACCAAACTTTATAGCTAAAATGTACATTAAAAAGAAACTAAAATAACTCTCCATTAAGAACTAATGGGCTGCTTAGAGGAGAAAACTAAAAGCAATTTTTTAAAAAAGTGGAACCTAAAAGGCATTATTAAAATTCTGGAGGTTATTTGCTTAGGAGGAAACATTTTCCCCTTCAATCAGTTTTGTTTTTTAAAATCTACCATCCAACAAAAGGGCTCTCTTGTTCCTGACAGTGTTATTCACAGTCAACATGAAAGAATTTTCTTTAATTGGACCAATTACAATTTTCCATCACTACTCTGTTGACACGTTAAAATGGGTGACTGTTCACCAGAATTGTTTTGTCAAAAGCAGTGACAGCGAAATTACTCCAGCCAAGTACCTGGTTAGCAGCAGCTTGGAAATAAAGGAAGAAAATGTTTAAGTTGTATAAGTACAATATCATTAATTCATCTACTTTACTGTGTATAGGACAATCAGCAAACAATCTGTACCCTAAGACCCCACACTCTTGCAATTTCACCCATAACAGAAATTAAAAGGGAGTATATTTCTAGACCTCCTACACTTAGGACAAAGGAAGAGACACAAAAAGAATGCAAACACATGAATAACTTATTTGACCACATGGAGAAAATATGAAATTAATTCCAATTATCCAAGACAGATAACTATTTACTTAAAGAAACTTGGCACAAAACTCATAATGCATAAAGAAATGAAAATTCTCACTTAAAACCCAAATCTCTCCTCCTAAAATTTAAATAAAAGCAGCTTGTATTTTAAGTACTTTAGATTAAGGGCTGGTAACTTCTCACAAACAAGGGGTACAAAGACGGTCCTACTCAAAAAGGCTTCCCACATGCATTCCAACTAAAGATTCTTTCAGGTTAACAACCTCCTCTTGAGAAAAAGAATGAACTCTTGGCGGATGTGTGATAGACACACATGCCTCTCAGTGAACTATGTCCATCAGCAAAGATTAGCTAAGATTTAGCCGTTGCTGAGCATAAGGGGGAAGGGAGGAGAAGCAATTGTGAGCCCAGAGAAGGATCTGAATGAGCCACCAGAGTGGAAAGCATTCAGGCGACAAGCAGAAAAGGGTACTGGGAAGAAAGGGAGATGAAACAGGAGTAATACACGTGGCTTCCTTGATACTACCTCGTGACATGTACATACCCCATTTAAAGCAAGCATGGTTTGTTTACACGTCTACCTCACTAGCAACCCATTTCCTGAAGACAGGCATTACATCTTTCTATTTCTCATTCTTAATCCCTAACCCAGGACACTGAGTGACAGCATCCCAAGGTACTGTCTGAACATTCCTCTCTGATAAAAGCCATCCTTAGCAGATACAGCTGATGACCCCTTTGGGTTTCATGCCTGAAAATTGTTAGATAGGTACCTCCTTAATGGATGGCTCAGTCCCCACATGATCCATGAGCTTGTAGGTGGCAGCCACAAATAACGCTGTTGTTTCCAGTCCTTCTTCAAACTGGAGATACACGCCCCCGAGTTCATCCAGGCGAGCAACAAGGTCCTGCCATAACAAAACAGAAATATGCTGGATGTCAAGTAACAGCAGAAATGAGATGCACGAACCACTGTCAACCCCACTGCAGACAGCTTCGTGACATCTCTCACTCTAAATCTGAAGACCATCTCAGTCACTTCATACTTTCTCAAAAATGGTGCTTAGGCAGAGTAAAGTATATCAAACAGACATTTGAGGAGAGCACTATCTTCTGCAGTTTTGGGAGGGCTCCTTCCTTGGCCCCTTGTATGCAGGCCCAAGCCCAGGAGTCATGGCACAGAACACGCCAGCTGCTTTGGGTGGAAAGCCAGTGGGCCAGGCTGCTGTGCACCCAGGAAGCATCATGACACAGATGGAGTCCATGGCCATCCATTTGAATACAACCTACAAAGCACAGCGTTTCCCAGAATTTCTTAATGCTCCAAAAGACAAAGAGAGACATACTGCTCTCCTAGGCAACATGACTAGGCAACCAACGTGCCTGTGAAGCATCCAGTGAGAACACCATCAGGACTGCTTGTCACTCCTGCCAGGCAGTCCATGACAGAGGTCCCAGAGGAGCATGATATTCTGGGCAAAGGCAAGGATAGAGCAATAATAAAAACCACAGTCACCACGTCCTGAGGACCTATTATGTAATAGGCACAAATATTCCTCAGGACACAATACCTTAATACAAAGAACACAAGTGTGCCATGGATATAAGAAGCAATGTAACCTGTAGTAACAGATCATGCATGGCTATCTGCAAGATTCTTCTGCAGAGTGTCAAAGACAGGAGCTGGGAGATGCATTTGGCAAAAGATTCACACCTCAATCTCCTCCACGATGCTCCTCAGGTCAGCCTGCTGGGACAGGTGGGATGCTGTCTGCAGAGCCTGGACTGTTCTGGAAGGTAAAGAGTAGAACCCCAATGAATGGCAAGTCTTGTTTCATCCACTCACCCCTTCCCGTACTTGGACACTTTCACAAATATCCTACTCTTGTTCTTTAGAAGTACAAGTTGGTCTCAGCCTTTAAGGAGTTTACTTATAATCCAGTTAGGACAGATGTGACAAAACCTGGAAAAGATCATCACAGCTGAGAAGGCAACCCAGGCAACAGAACTGGCAAGAAGAACCGTGGGCATTGGGCTGGGCGCAGTGGCTCACGCCCGTAATCCCAGCATTTTGGGAGTCTGAAGCAGGCAAATTCCTTGAGCCCAGGAGTTCAAGACCAGCCTGGGTAAGATGGTGAAACCCCACCTCTACTAAAAATACTAAAAATGAGCCAGGTATGGTAGCGTGTGCTTGTAGTCCCAACTACTTGGGAGGCTGAGGCCCAGGAGGCAGAGGTTGCAGTGAGCCACTGCACTCCAGCCTGAGCAATAGAGTGAGACCCTGTCTCAGAAAAAAAAAAAAAAAAAAAAAAAGATTGAAGCAAAATTCACATAAAATTAACCATTTTAAAAAGCAAACAATTCAGGGGTGCTTACTACATTCACAATGTTGTGCAACTACCACCTGTCTAGTTCCCAAATATTTCCATCAGTCTAAAATAAAACCCATTGGTTGAGCACGGTGGCTCACACCTGTAATCCCAATACTTTGGGAGGCCGAGGCAGGAGGATCACTTAAGCCTGGGGGTTCGAAACCAGCCTGGGCAATACAGTGAGACCTCATCTTTACAAAAAATTTAAATATTAGCTGGGCATGGTGGCACATGCCTATAGTCCCAGGTACTCAGGAGGCTGAGGTAGGAGGATCACTTGAGCTAGGGAGGTTGAGGCTTCAGTGAGCTGTGATTGCACCACCGCACTCAGCCTAAGTGACAGAGTGAGACCCTGTCTCCAAAAAAAATAGATAAAACCCACCGAGCAGTTTCTCCCCATTGTGTCTCCCCTTAGCCCTCAGCAACCAGCAATCTATGTTCTATCTCTACGGATTTGCCTATTCTGCTATTTCATAGAAATGGAATCATACAATCTGTGTCCTTTTATGTCTGGCTTCTTTCACTCAACAGAATGTTTTCAAGGCTCATCCATGTTGTAGCACGTATCTGCACTTCATTCTTTTTTATGGCTTATTCATATATTTTTATCTATAATTCTGGAAGATAAGCTTTTTAAGATGGAACATGATAGATGTATACATGTAAGACTTATTAGATTCTATTATCTTAATACAGATAATTTGGAAAATATAAATGGTGCTTTTCTGGGTGAAACTGGGAGAGGAGAGGCCCCCTGGTGGTTAAACAGATTGCTGCTTCCACCCCGAATGGTTTCCTAATTCCTAAGAGATGACTGGGCCCTTGTGTAAAACCACCACTTATCAAGTCAATATGTCAGGGAATGTAGAGCAAGAATCTGTCTGCTTATGTCAAGAACATAACAATTTAGATTCTCTCCATGGGAAACTCATTCCATTAAGATGACAAGTTGGAAAACAGCAGAGTCGCAATTTACAGAGAGACAAGCCCCAGAGTATTCAACGACACCTATGGGATGCTTGCTGTTATCATACACTTGAGAAAATGAAACCTGAATTTCCAAACAAGACAAAAATCACACATCTGCCCGTGATAAACGCTGTGCTCAGAAAAGGCAGTTAAGATAGCCTAGAAAGAACTTCTCAATTAAGATATCATTTTTTTCTCTTTGGAATGAGAGAGTGCCGTGCTGGTAACAACCTCAGAAGTTTTAGAATGAAATTAATCCACTGAGTTTTAGAAAGTTTTGTCACTGGCTTTAATTACTTATTCCCCAGCCAGCAATTTCTTTTTCTCTGGAGCATAGTACTGTATTCGAACACTAAGAAAGCAGATCTTATCTTGCTAATATATAGCAGATGATTCAGAGAAATTGATTTATGACAGACTACAATGAGATCTTCTCAGGTGGTTCATTCAAATCTACAAGTATTTTCTTTTTTTCCATTCAAGACAAGTTTACAAATATACACTTCCTAGAAAAAGCCCATTTAAATATAGAAGGCCCATTCAGAAGAGTTCTAATTTATATCAGCTTGCCTTTAATAGCGCAAATTAGTAGTAATATAAGGCAACCTACCAGTTGGATTTCACAATGACCCTACGAGACATTCTCCAGGTTTGCATATGAGAACACTGAGGTTTAGGCGGGCTAAACAACCCACTCATGGTCACAGAGGTTGAGTAGAAGAATGGATTTGAACACAGTTCTTTCTGCTCCAAAGCGTATGTTCTTCCTACCTATGAGCTTTCTACAAGACAACAGAAACACAAAAGTATAGTTTCATCCTTTATTAACTCCGTTGGGTACAGACCATGTGCCAGGCTCTCTAAGCACTGCAAGTAAAGCTTATGGCTGGGTGTGGTGGCATGTGATTATAGTCCCAGCTACTCAGAAGGCTAAGGTGGGAGAATCGCTCACGCCCAAGAGTTTGAGGTTGTAGTGAGCTTTAAATATGATCGCATTGCACTGCAGCCTAGATGACACAGTGAGACCCTGTCTCAAAAAAAAAAAAAAAAAAGCTTATGACCTAACATACAAATAACAACAACGAAGGAAGTAACAAACTCTCTAAGAAGGGGGACCTGTTTGTTAGGGACCTAACAAACAAATGGTCCAGAAAAGGAACTCCGTTTCCTACACGCCCACCAAGAACCAGGCACTGCGCTAGGGTCTTCACACCTATTATCTCATTTAATCCTGTCAGTTGCTTTGATGTAAGAATTATGGGTTTCATTTTAAAGGCAAGGCTCAGAGAAGTTAGAAATTTGGCCAAAGTCAGACACAAGGAATGAAATAGCTGGTGTTCAAACCTAAGTCTGTCTGACTCCAAAGTGGACGTACTTCCCTTGTACTTCTTCCTGGGGTTCTGGGGTTTTGAGGAAGGGGATTTTCCCTTCTGCTTGGAAGGAAATGGGAATTTTTTTTGTAGAAGGTAGCATCAAAGTAAGGCACAGGCACTAACAGTGGCATCATGGCATGAGATGATGGTGACTGGAGAAGCATTCCCCATGAGGGATTAAAAGCAGATATCAAAATATGTCACCTGAAATCAAAGGCCCAAAAGGGCCAAGCACTGGACAAAGTGTGTACAAAATGTCAGCCCTAGAGTCACTGATGATTGACCATGTGAATATAGGGAGGGTGTGAGGAGGGACAGAGAGGGAATGTCAATTGCCTGTGAACCCTGTCCTTAACAAAGCTTTAAGTTTACAGAAAATCTGGTTGTCAGCAAAAAAACAAAAAACAAACAAAAAAACCTGGGAAACAATCTCACTGTTTTGAAAGGGGGATTTGGTATCACCAACCTCTTGCTAAACAACGAACGGGATTCCAGAACGGTGCTCCACACCCTCCTTCAGGGTTTGCAGTGAAACGGTGAACACAAATAAAATGACAAAAAAAATATTGTTTTAAAGGAGCAGTTTAAGTGTTAAAAAAAAAAAAATTACAACCGGCCTGGACAACACAGACAGGCCCCATCTCCACTAAAAACTAAAAAAATTAGCTGGGCAGCCGGGCGCTGTGGCTCACGCCTGTAATCCCAGCACTTTGGGAGGCCAAGGCAGGTAGATTGCTTGAGGTCAGGAGTTCAAGACCTGGCCAACATGGTGAAACCCTGTCTCTACTAAAAATACAAAAATTGGCCAGGCGTGGTGGCGCGCCTGTAATCCCAGCCACTGAAGACGCTGAGGCAGGAGAACTGCTTGAACCCGGGAGGCGGAGGTTGCAGTGAACTGAGATCGCGTCACTGCACTCTAGCCTGGGTAACAGAGTAAGACCACGTCTCAAAAAAAAAAAAAAATTAGCTAGGCGTGGTAGTTTGCACCTGTAGTCCAGCTACTCGGGAGGCTGAGGTAGGAAAATCACTTGAGCCCAGAGTTCAAGGCTGCAGTGAGTTTGATCATACCATTGCACTTCAGCCTGGGTGACAGAGTGAGATCCTGTCTCTAAATAAATAAAAATTTAAAACTACATATATTATCACTTAAGAGCTTAGCAAAAAACACCCTGAAGTTACAATATTTCCATTTATAACAAATAGGAAAGGTGCTTCTCCTTCACCTAAGCCTTTTGCAGAGTAGTAGAGTCTGATTCCTAGAATACTCCACCCTCTGAGCAACCACCTCACCCACCAGATGCTGTCTTTCACAACTTCCAGGGATCCTGAGAGCCCCCACTTTGCAGAGCCTCCACTGCCAACATGTCATCCTGCCCTAGCCAAGCCTCAACAAGACATGCACGTGGCTCCTTCTCAGTTATCTGCCCTTGCTCTAGCCCTCCAACCGCACAAGGCAACTGGATCTCTAGGTGGTGGTGTGCTCATGCTCTGGCTCAGCGCTTGCCTTCTGTCTGCGAGGCTTGCAGAAGACTGTGTCCATGTGAGCTCCACGAGGACACGGACCTTACTTGCCTTCATGCAATCATGTCTGCGGTGCCTTGCAGAGCACCTGGCACACGGAAGTATTTACTGCAAGTACTTGCCCAGAAAGTATTTGCTGAACCAATGAATGAGCCCTCTTCGGATAGGACCCGAGACAAATGAAGCCTGAGAAATGCTCGAGATGACAACTCACGCCAGCACAGTCTCCTCCTTGCTGAGACGAGCAGTAAGGGCACTGAGTGCTTCTTGGGATGCCAAGGGAAGGCCAAAGCCACTTAGAGCTGCAACTGCATGGTAGATCTGGGTAACAGATGAGTCCTCACTGACAGCTGCCAGAAGCAGATCTTTGGTCTCATTTGAAATAGAGATCTAAGAAAGAATTGGCAGACACAGAGTTTTAGAACAGGTCTTGGCAATTTGTGGCAGGCATGGCAAAGACAGAATGCGGAGCAGCTGCCAAAGTCACCTCCGCCTCGCACATGCTCATCCCCCTCTAATCCCCAGACACCAGGATGAAATGTTTGCAAAACTTCGGTACAACACTCCCATGTGAAAAGATGCTGACAAGTTACCTTTCTACTTATATGGTTCTCCTATGTTCAACAAAATGACTTCCAGAAACCTCGTGTGGGGGTACACTTTGAACATTTTTACGTGTTAAAGGCAGATGGAAAGGAAAAAATCAAGACCTACCAGAAGAAAAGCAAAAACTGTACAAAAAGGTTATTTAAAACCCTTGAAAAGTAAAAACTTAGGAGAAACATAAACTATACTTTCTTAAGGAAAAAAAAAATCACAGGAATGGAATTCCCACTCACAATAATGGACTCTCATAATTAAAAAAAGGATGTTTGACATGACTCCTCCCCTTTAAAAATGTACTTTAAATAGTTAAAGTCATTGTCAGCGTAGGAACCCGGACTCACCTCACATCCTGAGAGGGCCTGGCTGGCCTGGGCAGCGTAGAAGAGGGAATCCACATTGCTGGGATCAAGGTTAGATCTGATGTAGGTACATGCTTTCTACACAGTGGGGAAAAGTCAATGTTAAGTGGTGACACATGTAGTGAACCAGGAAAAGCAAAGGCGTTTTTAGATAACATTCTCAGCCATTATAGATGGCTTAAGGAATGAGCTACATGAATTTAGTTAAGTAGTTACTTTCCATAGGACACGGTATTACCCAAAATTGCTCACTTCGTACAAAGAGCAATAAGCCTGAAGGCGCTTGAGTCCTTCCGAACCTTAGAAAGGAAAGAAGGAAACCACTTCCCGGATCACCTGTCTGGCCATGGACTGTGCTGGGTATTTAGGAAGCTCTTCCTTTTAACAACATGATCCTTTGGTAGAGATTATCACTATCCCCATTTACCTGAAAAAGAAACTGGGGCTCCAAATTGGCAAGTAACCTGATGAAGGTGACAAAGCTACCAAGTGGCAGTCTCTTCTGATTCCAACTTTACTGGCATCTCCACTTAGATGTCACCAAGGCCAAGTCAGGCTCAACAAATCTAAAATGAGCTTAACGCTGGGTGCAGTGGCTCACATCTGTAATCCCAGGCCTTTGGGAGGCTGAGGCAGGACTGCTTGAGCTCAGGAGTTGAGACCAGCCTGGGTAACATGGTAAGACCCCATCTCCACAAAAAATTCAAAAAGTAGCAGAGCAGGTGGCGCATGCCTGTGGTCCCAGCTACCTGGGAGGCTGAGGTAGGAGGACTGCTTGAAGTTGAGGCTGCAGTGAGCCATGTTCATGCCACTACACTCCAGTCTGGGAGACAGAGCGAGACCCAGTCCCCCAAAAAAATAAAAATAAAAAAGAAAATGAGCTTAAAACCTTCTATTTCTTCACCAGGACTTCCCAGCTCATGCACAGGTAATACCATGCATCCAGCAACCCAAACCAGAAACATGGGAACCATCCTTGACTTTTCCCCACCCTCCAAGCCTATCAAGTCTACCTCTTTTTCATTTCTCAGGCCCAGTCCCGCCTCTGGTTTCTGTCACTGCCTTACAGCAGGCCCTTGCCATTTCTCACCTACATTGTCCCAGTCAGTCATCTCCTAAGCGGTCTAAAGCCATGCAATCCATTCTGCACACTGCTTCAAGACTGATCTTCACAAAATACAAGTGTAACCGTGTTGCTTTACCTTTAAAACCCTTCAGTGGTTCCCTGTTTTTCTCAGACAAGATCCAACTTCTGACACAGCATGAAATGCCCTCAAGACTGACCCTCCCTCTCCATGCTGCCTGCATCACCATAGCCCTAACTCCAACTCCAAAATCTTACCCTCTAGCCTCCTGCAGCTATACCACGCTCTCGCCATTTGACGTGTTTGACCCTGCTACCCACCCTGCCGGGAGCACCTTTTCCTTGTCCTTCCTGCCTGCCAAACCAGGTCCTATCTTCAACTCTGCTCAGATGTTCACCTCTTCCTGACAGTCCTCCCAGGAGAGGCCAGGTATCCACCCTCTCAAGTGCTCCCCCAAAGCACGTACCACACTGCACTTACTAGTTCCCCCAGTGACTAGTGGCCCAAGATCAGGGACTTTGCCAAATGCCCATCACAGTGACTGGCACAAAGGAAACACATCACAAAATCGCCAAGCCCCCGCTACTACGACTCTCCTCGACTCCAAGAAACAGTATCAAATCAATAGACTGCCAATATTTTGGCTGAAGTAATATAAAATTCAGCTATTCAAAAAGATGTGGTAATAATAACAGTTAAAAGTGGGTGCTGGCTGGGCACAGTGGCTCACGCCTGTAATCCTAACACTTTATGAAGGTGAGGTTGGAGAATCGTTTGAGGCTGCAGTGAGCTGTGATTACACCACTGCAGTCTGGCATGGGTGGCAGGGCAACATCCTGTCTCAAAAAAAAGAAAAAGGCTGGGCGCGGTGGCTCACACCTGTAATACCAGCACTTTGGGAGGTCAAGGCGAGCAGATCACAAGGTCAGGAGATCGAGACCATCCTGGCTAACACGGTGAAACCCCATCTCTACTAAAAACACAAAAACAAAATTAGCTGGGCGTGGTGGTGGGCACCTGTAGTCCCAGCTACTCGGGAGGCTTGAGGCGGGAGACTGATGTGAACCCGGGAGGCAGAGCTTGCAGTGAGCCAAGATCGTGCCACTGCACTCCAGCCTGGGCGACAGAGCGAGACTCCGTCTCAAAAAAAAAAAGGTGGGGGGGAGACTAGGCACGGTGGCGCTCACCTGTAGTTCCAGCTACTCAGGAGGCTGAAGCAGGAGAATCCCTTGAACCCGGGAGGCAGAGGTTGCAGTGAGCCGAGATCGTGCCACTGCACTCCAGCCTGGACGACAGAGTGAGACTCCTCTCCCACCAAAAAAAAAAAGCGCGGGGTGCTCCTGGAGAGTAGGACAGGGTGGAGGGCAAGGGCAGCACGCTGCCTTTCACTAACAGCTATTTTGTATTGTCCAATGTTTTACTGTGTGTACATGCTACTCCAACCAAAGCATTTTTTTAATTTTATGAATGAAATTTAAATAAGAGTCTCAAAACAAATGAGTTTCAACCAGAAGTTTTAAAGAAGCCAGAGAGAGAAAGGAAACAAACAAAATACTTCACTTTGCATCAATTAGGGATCTGAAGAGAATAAGTAAAGCTACTCAAGGAGTCCAAGCAGGGGAATGCAAGGCAGCTGAAAATGTGTGCTTTGTCGCCATCTGGTGCTTTAACAATGGAACGACAACACTGGAGACCCCAAAACAATGACTACCTCTACTTCTACCTCTATCATTACCTCTTTCTGAGCACTTAAAATGTGTCAAACGCTGTTCTAAGTGCTTTATGTGCATTTCTCATTTAATCCCCAATCTATCTCATGGATCAGGCACTCTTATCACCTTAAGTTTACAGGTAAGAAAACTGAGGCATTATAAAGGCAAAGTAACTTGTCCAAAGTCACTCAGCTTTTAACTAGGGGAACTAGAATTCCCTGGCTCCAGAAGAGCCTGGCTCTGGTGTCTGAGCTATAAAACCTCCACTTCTCAAGAGCCCACTAAAAACAATCTATTCTGGAGTAAGACAAGCATCATTCCTACACTTTGCAAAGACAAATCAAGGTAAACCAGTCCGGCGTTCAGTGGCTTCAAAGCCCAAGATGTTGACGGCGGAGTTTACACAGCAGCAGAAGCAGGGACACCTCCCAGAACATGCTCAGCCTGCTCAGTGAGCCCACCCAGTGCTGAGGCTTCAGCCAGCTACTGTCGGGGGACTGGAAACTCTGACTCCAGCTGCCCTCCAACGTTCTAGACTCATCTTCCCGACTGAAGGCTGAAAACTGCCCCCTAAATGTCCACCCCCGATCTGCTTGCTTCCAACTTTCTGTGCTAATACCCCAATTAATCAAACACCCTCTTGAGCAAAGAACACCAGTGCTTTCTTCCATCATAGGTTTTCCCCTACAACTCCCTGAACCTAATCAAATACGGAGGCCTATAGAAAAGACCGCAAATCTCTCTCATCTGCCCTCCCCTCCCCTATTTCCTCCATAAACAGCTCCCCGCTACTCTGGCTGCCTCTCAGACTGTGCTTTGTCATCTCTTCAGACTTTGTTACTGTGATGTGCTGCCCAGGCACACACTGGCTGGGGCCCCACGCCAGACCCTTTCTAACCAGGCCCGCTTTTCCCCAGGTGCTTCCTACTGCACTTCCCCACCCATCTCTGCTCCAGTTGCACAAGCACCTCACTGCCCCAAAGCACAACAAGCACTTGGAAGCCTCCAGGCTTTGTACACCCTGTCTCTCCATCTGGAAGCCCATTACCTCGTCAATTCAACTTCTCCTATAATGTATTAACAAAACTCAAGACTTATTTTAAAATACAACTTCCTGGCTGGGCGTGATGGCTCACGCCTGTGATCCCAGCACTTTGGGAGGCTGAGGCGGGTGGATCACCTGAGGTCAGGAGTTCGAGACCAGCCTGACCAACATGGTGAAACTCCATCTCTACTAAAAATACAAAAATTAGCCAGGCGTGGGGGTGTGCACCTGTAGTCCCAGCTACTTGGGAGGCTGAGGTAGAAGAATCGCTTGAACCTGGGAGGCGGAGGTTGCAGTGAGCCGAGATCGAGCCACAGCACTCCAGCCTGGGTGACAAGAGCGAAACTTTCAAACAACAACAACAACAACAACAACAATTTCCCTCAACCCTTCTCTCCCCTCCAGTGCCACCTTCTCTCTTCCCACACAGCCACACTGCTCCAGTCTTCATGTCCTCACCTCCACTCATTCCAATTTGGCTTCTGCCCCCAGCAGGCCAGTGGCAACCTCCAAATTGTCGAAGCAGAGGACATTTTCCAGTGCTCACTCCTCAACAATGGACAGACCGATCACGTCCTCACTGGGAAACATGCGCGCCCGTAGCCTTCTGGGATGCCACCGCACCCTGCTGGGTCTCCTACTTCTCTGGCAGCTCCTCCCTCAGTTTTGAGCTCTCCTGCTGTTTCTCAGCTCCTAGGCCTGGCTCTCATCCCACCACCCCCTGCCTCCCTAGGCCATCCCATCCATGCCCATGGCTTCATCCCAAAATTCTATGCAGATAATTCTCAGACCCGTACCTCCAGCCCAGACTTCTCTCAACAGCCACTTACATGACTCAAAGGTATTTCAAGCTCACCATGGTAAAGACCAAATTCGTGATCTTTCCCAGACAAACCTCATTGTCTTCCTGTGTTGCTATCTCATGGAATGGCCCAACTACCCATCCATGCAGCAGAAGCAGAAAGTCCAGGCATTATCTTTTGTACCCCTCCTGCATTCAATCTTGCCCTGTAGCCCCCTGCTATAGTCTGTCTTCCAAAAAGCAAGAGAGAAGTCTTTCCAAAATGCAAGGTGAATCACGATACTAGCTATTTAAAATATATTGCTCATTGGAAACAGATCAGAACTCTTCCTATGTGGGCCAAGGCACTATGGCTTGGCCCCAGCCTGCCTCACTCCTCTCCCTCCCTCCCACTCTGTTCCACACACCTCCTCCTTTCAATCTCAAATGTAACCTGCTCTCTATCCTCCGCACAGGCTGTTTCCTCTGCCTGAAGTCCCTTCTCTCCTTCGTCTCACAGTTAACTCCTCCTCTCCCTTTAGAATTCAGATCAATCACATCTTCCTTCACTTCAGTGCCTACCACATGCCAGGTGCTGTTCTAGGAACTGGGGATACACAACAAATAAAATAGACAAAGTCCCTGCCCTTAAGGAGTAGAGTGAGATTAGGGTGATGCAGAGAGGTTTGAGTTTTGGGTTTGGGGTTTGTTTTGTTTTTGTTTTGAGACAGGGTCTTGCCCTCTCACACAGGCTGGAGTGCAGTGGCATGATCGTAGCTCACTGCAGCCTCCAACTCCTGGGCTCCAGCGATCCTCCATCCTCAGCCTCCTGAGTAGTTGGGACTACAGGCACACACCACTACACCAGATAATTTTTTTTTACTTTTTGTAGAGACAGGGTCTCATTTTGTTGCCCAGGCTGGTTTCAGACTCCTGGCTTCAGGCAATCCTCCTGCCTCAGCCTTCCAAAGTGCTAGGATTATAGGTGTGAGCCAACACACTCAGCCCACAATGAGATTTAAATTCGGAGATTTCCTCAGGAAAGCCTTTCCTGGCAAATCAAAGTCCCCTATTCTACCCCTATAAAATCCCCTATTTATAACAGCACATATCTCCCCTTCATAAAACTTACCATTGTTGCAAATATTCGTGCATGTATTTGATTACATGATTAATGCCTGTCTCAGCTATTAGACAACATATTCTTAAGAGTGCAGGGGCCCTCTCCCTCTTTATGGCTCAAGAGTAAATCCCCAGTGCCTAGCACTATACCTAGTGCACAGCAGAAACTCACTATATATTTGCTGAGTGACCAAATGAAGCCTGCAGCAGCCAGCACAGATGGCAGCACTCCAGTGCAAGATTGTGGCTTTCTTGGCAGACAGGGTGAGTGCCGGCTCCCTCTGCTGGACTCCCATGGTACTTTCCACAAACAGCCTGTCTGCCTCTTGGCACTTAGCACTGTATTATGGTACTCTCAATGGATAATGAGCTCTCTTGTCTTCTCTGCACTTAGCACAATGTCTGGCACACAGCAGATGCTCCATAAATGATTACTGCGTGAAGGATTGCCTCATTCTCTGCTATCCCCAGGAATGAACTAGTGCCTGACCCACAAACAAATATACTTACTACTATATGCACTCATCATGTGCCAGGCACTACACTAAGCACTTTACACTTATTATCTCATTTAATGCTCACAACGCTTTATAAGGGAGGCATTTTTTTAAAGTAATTTGGTTTCTTTGAGACAGGGTCTTGCTTTGTTGCCCAGGCTGGACTGCAGTGGTGCCATCACAGCTAACTGCAGCCTTAAACTCCTGGGCTCAAGCAATATCCCTGCCTTTCTGCCTCAGCCACCTAAATAGCTAGGACTAGAGGTGCATGCCACCATGCCCATCTAATTTTACTTTTTGCAGAAATCGGGGGTGGGGGGCGGGTGTCTCACTATGTTGCCCAGGCTAGTCTCCAACTCCTGACCTCAAGTGATCCTCCCACCCCAGCCTCCCAAAGTGCTGGAATTACAGGCATAAGCCACTGTGCCCAGCATGTTCTTAATCTTGTAAAAAGCTAAATAATGATATCTGTAAAATCACCTTTCTGACATGCTTATGTTTTATATAAATATAACTCAAATGAAAAATGCTCACTCTTTCTTTCTTTTGAGACAGAGTCTCAAAAAAAAAAAAAGTAGCTGGGACTACAGGCACCCGCCACCACGCCCAGCTAATTTTTTTGTATTTTTAGTAGAGACGGGGTTTCACTGTATTAGCCAGGATGGTCTTGATTGCCTGACCTCGTGATCCGCCTGCCTCGGCATCCCCAAAGTACTGGGATTACACGTGTGAGCCACCGCGCCTGGCCTTTTTTTTGAGACAGGGTCTCGCTCTGTCACCCAGGCTAGAGTGTAGCAGCACAGTCTCAGCTCACTGCAAAACCTCTGCCTCTGGGTTCAAGCAATTCTCCTGCCTCGGCCTCCCGAGTAGCTGGGATTACAGGCATGCCCACCACGCCCAGCTAACTTCTGTATTTTTAGTAAAGACAGGGTTTTGCCGTGTTGGCCAGGCTGGTCTCGAACTCCTGACCTCAAGGGATCCACCAACCTCAGCCTCCCAAAGTGCTGAGATTACAGGCCTGAGACACCGCACCCAGCCGATGCTCACACTTTATAACACCTAAAATCAACTCTCATTCCACACTGCTGTCTCCATAGTTTCTATTCTCATTAAACCCCATTTCTCCCAGTTTTGCTGCTAAAACCTCTTACGAGATAATAACCAAAATCTCTCCAAATATATCGATCTGTGAGAATAGGCAACAGTGTATCTAGGGGAGCCCAGGGAGTTCTCTCTACTGAGCTGAAGGCAGCAACAGCTGAGCAGGACATGCACCGCTACACGGAAGTGACAGTAATGACATAAATCTCTCAATGGATTTATGTAGTTTGCACATCTAATGAGGAAATTCAACAGCTCTGAAACATGCATACAACTCCCTTTCTTCCATTACTTATAATGCACACACCACCTAATCAACACAGCACATTTCATAAGCAATTAGAATGGAGTATGTGATTAACCTATTTATTTTCTGATTAGCAGGCACATTTAGAGAGCTCCCATTTTGATTGAGCTAAAGTCTACAGTTCAAATATTTGTTAGACACCCGTGTGTCAGATGTATGCTAAGCAGTGAGGATGACAGTCTGAAAAAAAAATGTCAATCAATGTGTACCAACTGCTACTACTATTTATATATAGTCATACTACTCATAAGGGTAATACTACGTATTACCACATGCCATCAACGTGCTAACTACCCTGCACACATTATCTGTGAGCTGAGTATTATTATCTCCATCTTACCGATGACAGAACAACAATTTTGAAAGGTTAAATAAGCTGCACAGGTGACTCAGGTGTGAAGTTTTGAAGTTAACACCTTGAAGGCAACCACTCTGACTTCAGCGTCTGTATTGTAAACATAAAGCCACAGCCAGCCCAATCATGTAATTATCCCAAGTCACACTGCATGGCAGCTGGCCGGATGCCTCTCAATCTACATCTTCAGCCCTAACCAACATCCCGCAAACTTGTGATGATGGCAGAGAATAGCTTTGGGGGTATGTGTTCAACCTAAATCTCCTATAGAACTCCAAATCACGACACAGATCAAAAGACATGCTCTGGATGAAGTGGGAGCACCTCATTCCTCCGTGACCCCCTACACCGAATCCTGTGGTTCCACAAAAGTTTGAAAACCTTCAGGAGAAACTTTTCATCCTGCATTCAAATCCTGCCAGAGGTTAACATTACTATTTCAATGTTATCTCCTATACCTCACAATACAAAACCTCTAGTCAATTTGCTCTTTCTCTCTCCCCAGGGCCTCTAAAGACATCACCAAAAACCAGAGCAGAAGTACGAAGCATCACTACAAAAGGCACTGCGAATACAGTGTCTGTGCCAGGCATTGTCTGAACTCACCTAAACAAAGTATAAATAGAAGCAAACCTTTTCAATGTAAGAACGATAATAGCTACCATTTCCTTTGAGGGGCATACTGTAATTTCACTTTCTTCTTACAATGATTCAGTGAGGTAGGCTTCATAACTCCCTTTGCAGAGAGGTGGAGCCAGAATTAAAAGCTTGAGTTAACTGACTCTGATGGGTATACTCTTACTTTTGAGCAGAACTAATTTTATCAGGAGGTACATTCACCTTTAGGGTTTATAAGAGTGTAATCATGAGGAAACGTCTGTATCTTTAATAGAGTCACACACAGGAAGAAAACATTGGGCAGAAACGGAGAGCTGGTTGTCAGGAAAAAATTTGAGTAAGCTGGATCTCATATAGCTGCGATTAGCAAACTTTTTCTGTAAAGGACCAGTTGGTAAATACTTTAGGCTTTCTGGCCAGTCTAGTAACTATTTAACTCTACAGTTAAACTGAAAACCAGTTGTACCCAATGTGTAAATGAATGGATGTTCACACACACACACACACACACACACACACACACACACATACACACACACAGTTTGGCCCATTGGCAAAAATGGAACATTTTGAGCACCAAAAAGGATAACAATTGAAATGGATTGAAAGATATCAATTGCTGAGAGGGGTGGCTCACACCTATAATCCCAGCACTTTGGGAGGCCAAGGCGGGTGGATCACCTGAGGTCAAGAGTTCAGGACCAGCCTGGCCAACATGGCAAAATCCTGTCACTACCAAAAAACACAAAAATTAGCCAGGCGTGGTGGAGAATGCCTGTAGTCCCAGCTACTTGGGAGGCTGAGGCTGGAGGATCACTTGAACCTACGAGGCGGAGGTTGCAGTGAGCTAAGACTACAAAACTGCACTCCAGCCCGGATGACAGTAAGACTCCATGTCAAACAAACAACAAAAAAAGACATCAATTGGAGGCTGGGCACAGTGGTTCATGTCCATAATCCCAGCACTTTGGGAGGCAGAGGCAGGAGGATGGCTTGACCCGAGGAGTTTGAGACAACCCTGGGCAACATGGCAACACCGTCTCTACAAATATTAAAAAAAAAAAAAATTTAGCTAGGCATGGTGACAGGTGACTGTAGTCCCAGCTACTCGAGGGGCAGAGGTGAAGGATCACCTGAGTCCAGAAGTTTGAGGCTGCAGTGAACCATGATCGCACCACTGCACTCCAACCTGGGCAACAGAGCGAGGCCTTGTCTCAGAAAAAAAAAAAAAGACACCAATTGGGACTATCAATTCTGCCCTTGACAGAATTAAATATATTGAACTTCCCTTCCTACCAAAAATAACTATAAAACTGTATGAAATATATGAAATTGAGACACTGAACAACAGACAGCAAAGGCTGGGATCCTTGAAAGAAGGTTAAAAAGTACGACAATGGGCCGGGCGCGGTGGCTCACACCTGTAATCCCAGCACTTTGGGAGGCCAAGACGGGCAGATCACAAGGTCAGGAGATGGAGACTATCCTGGCCAACATAGTGAAACCTCGTCTCTACCAAAATACAAAAAATCAGCTGGGTGTGGTGGCGTGCACCTATAGGAGGCTGAGGCAGGGGAATCGCTTGAACCCAGCAGGCGGAGGTTGCAGTGGGCCAAGATCGCGCCACTGCACTCCAGCTTGGCAACAGAGTAAGCCTTCATCTCAAAAACAAAAACAAACAAACAAAAAGTATGACAATGATAGCAGAAATGATGAGAGTTTAAATGCAAATACAGTTATAGGGTTCTTTTACTATTTGTGACATGGCAAAATAATAATTCAAGATATACCGTGAGAAATTAAGGATGCATATTAAAATCTCTAAACAAAACTAGACAAACACTAAAAAAAAATTAGATCTGAACAGTCAATAGAAGATATAAAACAGAATATTTAAAAATAATCAAGGGGCTGGGCGCAGTGGCTCACGCGTGTAATCCCAGCATTTTGGGAGGCCGAGGAGGGCAAATCACTTGAGGTCAGGAGTTCAAGACCAGCCTGGCCAACATGGTGAAACCCCATCTCTACCAAAAAATACAAAAAATTAGCCAGGCATGGTGGTGCGCGTCTGTAATCCCAGCTACTTAGGAGGCTGAGATGGGAGGATCACTTGAACCCGGGAGGCAGAGGTCACAGTGAGCAGAGATCACACCACTGCACTCCAGCCTGGGTGACAAGAGTGAGACCCTGTCTCAAAAAAATAAAATAAAACAAAATAAAATATAAAAATAAGACAGGAAAAGAGAGGGAAAAACAGGTAAGCCAATAGGAAACAAATAACAAGATGACAGATGTAAACCCAACAATATAATTAAACATAAATGATTGATCTTTTTTTTTTTTTTTTTTTGAGACGGAGTCTCGCTCTGTCGCCCAGGCTGGAGTGCAGTGGCGGGATCTCGGCTCACTGCAAGCTCCGCCTCCCGGGTTCACGCCATTCTCCTGCCTCAGCCTCCCAAGTAGCTGGGACTACAGGCGCCCGCCACTACGCCCGGCTAATTTTTTGTATTTTTAGTAGAGACGGTGTTTCACCGTTTTAGCCGGGATGGTCTCGATCTCCTGACCTCGTGATCCGCCCGCCTCGGCCTCCCAAAGTGCTGGGATTACAGGCTTGAGCCACCGCGCCCCGCCAAATGATTGATCTTAAACATAAAAAAAGAATCAAAATAAAAAAATAAATGGAATAAACTCCCCAATCAAAAGGTAGAAATTATCAGACTGGATGAAAAAACAAATCCCTACTATATACTATTTATAAGCGATAGATTAGTCTGACAACACCTTAATTTACAACTTCATCATCACTAAAAGTGAAATAACCAGATATTATGTATCTATTAATAGGAAGTCCACAGCACCACCTGTGAAATATTTTCACCAAGAAAACCAACCCTGAATATAATTTAGCCTCAAGAGCTAACTATCAGTTTACAGGGATACAAAGGATAGGGAAATATGTTCAAAAACATCATGAAGATACAATTAATCAAAGGCAGAATGTGGAAAATATTCCAGGACAAATGACCTGACTTATTCCACAAATAAATGGTATGGGGAGAAAAGAGGGAATGGGAACTATTATCGGTGAAAAGAGTCTTAAGAGATACCAGCAAAAAATGGAATGTGTAGACCTTCTTTAGATCCTGATTTAAGCCAACTAACTGTAAAAAACACTTTTGAGATAACTCAAGATAACTGAACATAGACTGAGAATTAAATGACATTAAAGAATTACTGTTGGTCAGGCACAATGGCTCATGCCTGTAATCCCAACACTTTGAGAGGCCGTGGCAGGAGGATTGCTTGAGGTCAGTTCATGACACCAGCCTAGGCAACATAGCGAGACCTCATCTCTACAAAATAAATAAATAAATAGAATAAGAGATACAAGTACAACAATATGTCTGATATTTGCTTGAAGACACTCCATCCAGCAAGCCAGGTGCAGTAGTGTATGCCTAAAGTCCCTACAGATTTGGAGTCATTTCCATGCTAATACAAGAAATGGTAGGCAGAATTCTAAAGACATTCATACTCCTCCCCCTGGATTTCCATCCACTGATTATTCATTTAAACACAAATTTAGGAACTGTTATAAAGTGATTTTGCAGGTATAATTAAAGCCCCAAGTCAGCTGACCTTACAATTCAGAGATTATCCAGGTGGGCTGACCCAAACAGGTGAACCCTTTAATAGCAGTTTTCTCTGGCTGGTGGCTGAAGAGGAAGTCAGAGAGAATTGAAGAGTAAGGACTCACCATGCCATTACTGGTTTAAAGGTGGAGGGGCCATGTGAGAAGAAATACCAATGGCCTTGAGGAACAGAGAGCAACTCCTAGCAGACAGCTAGCAAGGAAATGGAGACCTCAGGCCCACAACCACAGGAACTGGATTTTGCTGACAATACGACAACATGAATGGGCCTGGAGGCAGATTCTTCTCCAGTGCTTCCGGGAGGAGCCCAGTTTGGCCAATGCCTTCACTTTGACCTCAGGAGACACTAAGCAGAGGGCCCAGGCAAGCCTGTCTAGACTTCTGACCTGCAGGATTATCAGCTAACAGCGGGGTGCGGTGGGATGCACCCATAGTCCCAGGTACTCAGGAAGCTGAGACAGGAGGATCACTTGAGCCCAGGAGTTCGAGGTTATAGTGTGCTATAATCATGCCTGTGAATAGCCACTGCACTCCAGCCTGGGCAACACAGTGAGACCCTCTCTTAAATAAAATAAAATAAAGAACTATAAGCCATATAAGCCAATAAGTCGGTGGTGTTTTAAGCCCCTACATTTATGGTAATTTGTTCTTCAGTCAAAGAAAACTAAGGCAGATATGAGAAACTTGGCAAAGGAAAATTGTTTAGTCTAGTTGTCCATACTACTATAATGAATAAAATGTAAATTCACTTTAAGACTGTTCCTGGTCAGGTGGTGGCTCACACCTGTAATCTCAACACTTTGGGAGGCTGAGGCAGGTGGATCACTTGAGCCCAGGAGTTTAAGACCAGCCTGGGCAACATGGCAAAACCCCATCTCTAACGAAAAAATACAAAAATTGCCAGGCATGGTGGTGCACACCTGTAGTCCCAGCTACTAGGGAAGCTGAGGTGGATGGCTTGAGCCCAGGAGACAGAGACTGCAGTGAGCCATGATCATGCCACTGCACTCTAGCCTGGGTGAGCCAGACTCTGTCTCAAAAAAAAAAAAAAAAAGACTGTCCCGAATCCAGGAAAGGTTTTAATCATAATGCATTTTCCTCACCAGAAGTCCAAAAACATGTATCAAAATTGCCTGATGTAGTGACTACCATTATTTAATACATGTGAGTGCCTTCCACCTTGAATTCCCTTATTATTAGCCACACACATAGGGGGGCACTTAGTAAGTACATGTGTTATTGGACAGTCTCACTCCCAGAGCTGAAGTAAAAGTTTCTAGATGATCTATGCTTGCTCTTCTTGACATCCCACTAAAAATAACTGATCTGGTATGATCCTTAACATACATTAGGCAAAAAAACAAAAACAAAAACAGATCTGTCAAACTGAAATAAACTTCTTTTTTTGAGACTGAGTCTCACACTGTTGCCTGGGCTGGAGTGCAATGGCGGGATCTCAGCTCACTGCAACCTCTGCCTCCTGGGTTCACACGATTCTCCTGCCTCAGCCTCCTGAGTAGCTGGGATTACAGGCATGCACCACCACACCCAGCTAATTTTTTCTATTTTTAGCAGAGTCAGGGTTTCACTGCACTGGCCAGGCTGGTCTCGAACTCCTGACCTCGTGATCCACCTGCCTAGACCTCCCAAAGTGCTGGCATTACAGGCGTGAGTCACCACGCCTGGCCAAATATTTCTTATATTGGATTAACCTTGGTTATCCTCAAATGAGCAAGAGTTAGTTTTGAACTACCCCAAAGGAATATAGTGAGGGGATGAAGGTTCTCCTGAACCACCCTGACCACCAGGACAAAAGCAGCCTTACCTTTGCATCTGGCACCTGAGCACCAAGGCTGCTGAGTCCCACGATGGAGTAGAAGGCAGATTCCAAATTTGTGAAAGGGCGATCCAGCGAGGCTTTTAGTCTCTCCACGTCATGCTTGGTGAGGTAGTGAGTGGGCGTCAGAGCCCAGGTGCTGGCTATGATTGTCAGGGCCAACAGGAAGACAGTGCTTGAACCTTGGGGGGAAACAACCATTCAGTACACTCTACACTCTTCCAAGGTGCTATACACAGTCCCAATGATGATGCACACCAAGATCTGGGAACCAAATCACATGGGGAAGGGCGAGGGAATCCAGGGGTTTAACCTGAGGAGAAGCCTTGGGAAGGCAGGGAGCCTGCTCTTCAACTGGTGGAAGGACAGTCCTCCCAGCAGCCTCCAAGCATCTAAAGCACAGGCCTTATCCTACTATTCCCATCTGAAAGATGTCTGTAAGTCCTCTGCCTCTAAGGACAAACCCAATCCTGAATCCTCACACCTTGCCAGCCTCTCAACCAGATCTCCTCCCTCGCGCTTCCCGCTATCTGTTGCTCTCTGGCTTCTTCTCTGTCCTCTAAGAAGCCAGGTTCTTTCCTGCTCAGCATTTTTCCATGTTTTTACCTCAACTTGGCTTAATTTTTACTTTCAGAATTCAGCTCAAGCACCTCTTCCTTAAGCAGCTCTCCCTAGGATTAGTTCCCCAGTACAATAATGTAAGGAAGAACCCAGACTCTGGGGCCAGGCTTAAATCACACCTCTGCCATTTATTAGCAATGTGCCCTTGGCAGTTATTCAACCAGCTGGTGCCTCAGTTTCCTAAAGTGTAAAGTGATAATAGTATCTACCTCAGGTACAATTACACGAGTTAATACAGAAAGATCTGGCCGGGCCAGCACTTTGGGAGGCCGAGGCAGGTGGATCACCTGAGGTCAGGAATTTGAGGCCAGCCTGGCCAACATGGTGAAACCCCGCCTCTACTAAAAATACAAAAAAATTAGCTGGGTGTGGTGGCAGGTGCCTGTAATCCCAGCTACTTGGGAGGCTGAGGCAGGAGAATCGCTTGAACCTGGGAGACAAGAGGTTGCAGAGAGCTGAGAATGCGCCATTGTTGCCAACCTGAGTGACAAGAGCAAAACTCCGTCTCAAAAAAAAAAAAATCTTAGAATAATGACTGGCACATAACAAATGCTATATCAATGTTAGCTACTACTTCTACTACTATTATTATTGTTGTGCTTATATCCACTCATAGCAATCTGTACTTCTCTGTGGGATTTTCTACAACTTTAACAGCGTAATGTCTGATTTCTCTGCTAAACTGTAAGTTCCATGAGGATAAAGACTGCTTCTTTTGTTCATCCCAGTATTTCCAAGTCTTGCACACTGCCTGGCACATAGTTACTGAATAAATATTTGCTGAATAAATGAAAAGAAAAATTAATCCCCATCTATGATGCCCCAGGGGACAGGAAGCTGCAGGAGTGGTACATTTCTACTTCATTTATTTAAAAAAACAAAACAAAAAACACTTTTGAATGGGCTGCTTCTTGATAAAGTGCATTGTCTGGCACCCAAGTAACAGCAGTAACAAATAATCACTAGGCTAACATGAGTGGCCCTAAATCCTTTGCCTTTAGTGTTAAATTAAGCTTGAACTAGAATCCTTGAAAAAAGGCACTATTGGCCAGCGGCACTGGCTCACTTCTGTAATCCCAACACTTGGGGAGGCTGAGGCAGGCGGATGCTTGAGCCCAGGAGTTCAAGACTAGACCAGGCGACATGGCGAAACCCTTTCTCTACAAAAAAGAAAATACAAAAATTAGCCAGGCATGGTGGCGTGTGCCTGTAGTCCCAGCTACTCGGGAGGCGGAGGTAGGAGGATCACTTGAGCCCAGGAGGTTGAGACTGCAGTGAGCTGAGATCACACCATGGCACTCCACCCTGGGTGAGAAAGAGAGACCCTGTCTCAAAAAAATAAAAGACAGCTGGGCACAGTAGCTCACGCCTGTAATCCCAGCACTTTGGGAGGCCGAGGTGGGCGGATCACTTGAAGTCAGGAGTTCAAGACCAGCCTGGCCAACATGGTGAAACCCTGTCTCTACTAAAAAGACAAAAATTAGCCAGGTGTGATGGTGGGTGCCTGTAATCCAAACTACTTGGGAGGCTGAGGCAGGAGAATCACTTAAACCCAGGAGGCGGAAGTTGCAGTGAGCCGAGATCGCACCACTGCACTCCAGCCTGGGTGACAGAGTGAGACTCCATCTCAAAAAAATAAAAATAAATAAATAAAATTAAATTAAAAAAAGAAAAAATCTATCACGTGGTGTATTCATCAAATGTATACTGAGCTACTATGTGCCACACACTACTTTAGGTGTTAAAAATACAGCAGGAAACAAAAGAAACAAAACTCCCACCCTCAAAGAGCTTCTATTCTAGTGACAAAAGACATCACATGAAATAACATTATTTATCACATTACAAAGTAAGTGCTATGGAAAAAAATAAAGTACAGAAGAGATATTTGGGAAGGGCTGCATTTTAAATACGGTAGTCTATGAAGGACTAAGAAATAAACATATTGAGTACAGATCTGAAGAAGAAGCAAGTCATAAAGATATCTGGTGGGAAACTATGCTAAGAAGAAAAACCCAATATGGCCAGGCGCAGTGGCTCACACCTCTAACCCCAGCACTTTGGGAGGCCAAGGCAGGGGGATCACCTGAGGTCGGGAGTTCAAGACAAACCTGGCCAACATGGTGAAACCCCATGTCTACTAAAAATACAAAACATGAGCCGCACATGGTGACTTGGCCTGTAATCCCAGCTACTAGGGAGGCTGAAGCACGAGAATCACTTGATCTGGGAAGCAGAGTGGGCAGTGAGCTGAGATCGTGCCACTGCACTCCAGCCTGGGGCTCTGTCTCAAAAAAAAAAAAAAAAAAGAAAAGAAAAACCAAATGCAAACATTCTGAATCAGGAGTATGTACACATACAGTGTTTTTTGAGATCAGCAAGGACAGTACAGCTTGAGTGGAATAAGCAAAGGGTAAGAAGTAGATGAGGTAACAGAGGTAGCAGAGGACAAATCCAGAGGGCCTTGTATACCACCGTAGTGGAAGCCACTGGAAAGTTCTTTTTTTTTTTTTTAGACAGAGTCTCGCTCTGTTGCCAGGCTGGAGTGCAGTGGCGCGATCTCGGCTCACTGCAGCCTCCGCCTCCCGGGTTCAAGCGATTCTCCTGCCTCAGCCTCCCAAGTAGCTAGGACTACAGGCACGTGCCACCATGCCCAGCTAATTTTTGTCTTTTTAGTAGAGACGGGGTTTCACCATGTTGGCCAGGATGGTCTTGATCTCTTGACCTCGTGATCCGCCCGCCTCAGCCTCCCAAAGTGCTGGGATTACAGGCGTGAGCTACCGCACCCGGCTGGAGACCACTGGAAAGTTCTAAGCAGAGGAGTGATTTGACTTACACTCTAATGGTATTACTGTGTTGAGAATAAACAATACTGTGTGGAGAACAGACCATGCAGGTGCAAGGACAGAGCAGGGGACACCAGTTGGGAGACTACCGCCATAATCCAAGCCAGAAGATGATGGTGGCCCAAACCAGGGCAACAGCAGTGAACATGATGAGAAGTGATGAGAGTTAGTCTGGCTAGAATTCAAAGTCAAAGCCTATCAGAAACTGCTAATGGACAGAAAGACCTAAGAGAGAGCGGAGTCAAGATACTAATGCTGAATCCCCAATGCCTTGTGCACAGGCGGGTACCCAATATATGAAGATCTAGTGAATGGCTGCGACTAGCATTTTCCCACCTAGACCGTAAATTCCCCTAAAACAGCACCTGTGTCAGAATCCTAATCTTCTCACTCCATGTTAACGAGAGCAGTAACTTTTCTGACTAAAAGTTGAGCACTTAATATGTTAGGTATGCCCACGCTATGCTGTGCTTTGCACACACCAAATCATTAAATCCTCACAACATCTAAGCAAGGTGGCTATTTTCTGCATTTCACAGACCAGGAAAGTAAGGCTCAGAAGTAGTTACCTGCCCTAGGACACATCACTGAAAATCAAACTTCAGGCAATTTGAATCCAAAGTCTGCTTTTAACCACTTTACTATCCTGAACTTCTCAAATAATGAAACGGTGAGCCACTGACTCATTCATGTGTCACCCTGGGCAAGTAAGTTCCCTTCCGTGGGATTCCAACTTCTCATCTGTCAAATGGTAGTAACAAGAGTACATGCTTCCAAAGTTACGATGAGGCTACATGAAATTCCACCCTGCACAGCGTCTACTCAGTAACTTCCAATGCAGTTAACTTAGTTCTTACCTAGGGCCATGCACTGTTCTAAACTAAGCACGAAGATTATTTCACTTAATAAAGCAACTCAACGAGGCAGATAACGTGACTAATTTGACTAACTTATTTTACAGATGAGAAACTGAGGTGTAGAGGGGTTAAGTAACCTGCTTTGGGTTACACAATGAATACGTGGCCGACTGCAAGTTTGCACCTAGAGTGTCACTTGAGAACTTATGCTCCAGGCTCCCAGAGAGAAGTGAGGGTTTTCTTTGCCCCTTTCACTGAATGGGAAACTACAGCACAAAGAAGGACAATCTGCCCAAAACCTCACACGGAGTAAGGGGCAGCGCCGGGACCAGAACCTTAGGCCGCCTGGCCCAGAAGCCCGCGCGAGTGAAATGAATGAGGCCAGACCTAGGCTAAGCGCGTCCGCGGTCCCCACGGCTGAGCCTCGGGGCGACCCGTAGCTCCGCGCTGCACCCCTCCCCCAGGCACCAACCCCGCCAGGTCGCGGGCACTCCCACCAGCTCGCAGCCCTCCTTCGGACCCTCGATCCGAGAGCGCCCCAGCCAGAGCTTGTGCCCATGCCCCTGTCCCGCAGGGGAAGGGGATCCCGCCTGGCCGGCTCTCGAGCGGCGACTAGTAACCTCCCGCGGGCGACAGCCCTCTCCCCAAAGCCACGCGCAACTCCTCACCCGGCGGCGCCATTCCTCCGAGCAGGTCCCGCCGGAGTCCGAGCCGCGGGCTGACTTCCGCTCGGGAAAGTGGCTCCAAGAGCCCGCCACAGGGGACGCCAGGGACTCGCGGCAGGCTCTGCGGGCCAGGATGAGTTCTAAGCACAGGTCAGTGTCCGCGGCCCCGCTGAGCTTCGACGCTTCCAGCAGCCGCGGCCGGGATCCCAGTCCTCCCGCTCACAGGGCCTTGCAGTTCCCGAGGACAGACCCGCCTCTCCCCCGCGCCCAGGCCCACTTGGAACCGACCGTCTCGCAACGCTCCTATTCCGGGAGCTACCGGGACGCGGTTGGGCCAGGCCTCGGGGTGGGCCCGAGACGGGGCCGCTTCTGATTGGCCTGTCTGCTGTCACTCACTCGTCTTTCTGCTGCCCGGCCCATTTTAAAGGAACAGGAAGGGTCTCGTCGGGAGGGGATAGCTTAGAAGGGATTTTTTTTTCCTCTTTAGAAAATTGTGGCAGTTTCTGGCCGGGCGCAGTGGCTCACGCCTGTAATCCCAGAACTTTGGGAGGCCGAGGCGGGCGGATTACCTGAGGTGAGGAGTTCGAGATCAGCCTGGGCAACACGGTGAAACCCCGTCTCTACTAAAAATACAAAATTAGCCGGGCGTGGTCACACATGCCTGTAATCCCAGCTACTCGGGAGCCTGAGGCAGGAGAATCGCTTGGACCTGGGAGGCGGAGGATGCGGTGAGCCAAGATCGCGCCATTGCACTCCAGCCTGGGCAACGAGTAAATCTCCGTCTCACCAAAAAAAAAAGAAAAAGAAAATTATGTCAGTTTTTTCCAAAGATTATCAGTGGGGTTGTTAATAACTGACCTACGAGTGACGTTTTATCTGATTTGCAGAGCAATGCAGTGACTCATAGAGAACATATTAGGCCAGTTTTACAGGCTCAACATGGAGGTGGCTCATCCAGGAACACCGCTCTAATAACTAGCGCCAACTACTGAATGTTTACAGTATAACCCGACACTGTGCCGAACGCTCTACAAGCATTATTTCTTTTCTTTCCTTTTTTATTGATACGGGATCTTGCTCTGTCGCCCAGGCTGGAGTGCAGTGGTGCGATCACAGCTTACTGCAGCCTCGACATCCTGGGCTCAAGCAATCTTCCCTCCCGCCTCAGCCTCCGGAGTAGCTGGGACTGCTGCCTTGCGACACCACGCCCAGCTAATCTTTAAAATTATTTTTGGTAGATACCGCGTCTCGCTTTGTTGCCCAGGCTGGTCTGGAACTCGGGCTCAAAGGATCCTTCGGCCTTAGCCTCCCAAAGTGCTGAGATTACAGGCTAATCCCATTTTAAAGAGAAGGAAACAGATTTGAACCTAGGCAGCTGACTCCAGAATCTGTGCTTTTAACTACAGTTTTATGAACATATAAAGTATGCACAATATAACTCTTATTAACGTTATTATTGTCCCAAATGTTATCCCGCATGGGAGAGAGTCAGTTCTTTCTGTGTCTGTTATGATAGCCACTAGCCTTATGTGGATATTTAAATTTGAATTTAAATGGATTAAAATTAAGTAAAATTTAAAATTCAGTCTCTCATTTGTACTAGCCACATTTCAAGTGCTCAGTAGCCACAGATAACTAGTGGATATCAGATTGGACCACTCAAAATTATAGGACATCTTCATTATTGCAGAAAGTTCCATTGGGCAGTGCTGATGTAGAATATATAAAGAATTCTCCCAGCTCAAGAATAAGACAACCAACCAGTGGTGTGCTGGAGCTGTCTCATACTATCTTGAGAGTCCATTGTTAAATTTGCAGTAATTTTGCAAATTGGTTAAATACAGCCATTTAGAAAATTATATCAATTTAGGATGAAATAAAGTATATTGAAAACAAAACTCATTATTTTCTAATTATTTCACTACATTTTACGTTTTGTGTGCTTTTGTGGTTGCTTATATCTGTTGTAACTGTGTGGTGGAAATATATGACAGTATGCCATTGAACATCTCTTCCCAAGGTAGTATTGGTAGCTTGATTTTGGCCATGATGGGAGTATTTACACCACAGACTTAGCATATGCAGCCAGGAATGGTGGCTCAGTCTGTAATCCCAGAGCTTTTGGGAGGCTGAGGTAGGAGGATCACTTGAGTCCAGGAATTCGAGACCCACCTGGGCAACACAGCAAGACCTGCCTCTACAAAAAAAAAATTTTGATTAGCCAGGTGTGGTGGCTCGCATCTGTGGTCCTAGTGACTAGCTGTGGACCACAGATGGGAGCCACCACACCTGACTAATGAAAAAGAAAAAGACCAACAATAGCAAATGTTGGCAAGGATGTGGAGCAACAGGATCTCTCATATCCTGCTGATGGAAATGTAAAGTGGTACGACCATTTTGGAAACAGATTGACAGCTTCTTCGTTGTTTGTTTGTTTGTTTTGAGACAAAGTCTCCCTCTGTCACCCAGGCTGGAGTGCAATGGCACAATCTCAGTTCACTGCAACTTCCATCTCCTGGGTTCAAGCGATTCTCGTGTCTCAGCCTCCCGAGTAGCTGGGATTACAGGCGCGCGCCACACTGCCTGGCTGAATTTTTTTGTATTTTTAGTAGAGACGGGGTTTCACCATGTTGGCCAGGCTGGTCTCAAACTCCTGACCTCAAGTGATCCACTCACCTCAGCCTCCCAAAGTGCTGGGATTACAGGCGTGAGCCACTGGCGGTGGTTGTTTTTTACGAGGCAAGGTCTCCATCTGTCGCTCAGGCTGGAATACAGTGATGGAATCATAGCTCACTGCCGCCTTCACCTCCTGGACTCTAGGACCCTCTTGCCTTGGCTTCCTGAGTAACTGGGACTACAGGCACATGCCACCACCCCCAGCTAATTTTTTGTAGAGATCGGATTTTGCTATGTTACCCAGGCTTGTCTCAAACTCTTGGTATCAGGCAATCCTTTCGCCTTAGCCTCCCAAAGGCAATGGGAATACAGGCGTGAGACACAACACGTGGCCAGGCAGCATCTTAAGAAGTCAGTTACACAATCTACCACACAACCCAACCATTCTGCTCCTAGAGGGTTTCTTTGTTTTTAATGAACTCATTTTTTATTAAAGAAATATATGCATACAGGACAGAGTTCAAACTTTATTGGTTTGGGGTGTCCTTCCAAAATTGTTTTATTGGCTGGGCGCCGTGGCTCATGCCTGTGATCCCCACACTTCGGGAGGCCAAAGTGGGCAGATCACCTGAGGTCAGGAGTTTGAGACCAGCCTGGCCAACATGACGAAACCCTGTCTCTACTAAAAATATAAAAATTAGCCGGGCGTGGTGGCAGGCACCTGTAATCCCAGCTACTCAGAAGGCTGAGGCATGAGAATCACGTGAACCCAGGAGGCAGAGAGGTTGCAGTGAGCTGAGATTGCACCACTGCACTTCAGCCTGAGCGACAAAGTGAGACTCTGTGTCAAAAAAAATAAAAATTAAAAATAATAAATAATTTTAAAAAATGAATTCCGTAAGTTGTGTTTTTGTTTCTTCTAGAGACAAGTTCTCTCTGTCAGTCAAGCTGGAGTGCAGTGGTGCCATCATAGCTTAAACTCTGCAGTCTTAAACTCCTGGGCTTAAGGGATCATCTTGCCTCAGCCTCCTGAGTAGCTAGGACTACAGGCACATGCCACCACACCTAGCTAATTTTTTACTTTTTTTTTCTTTTTTTTGAGATGGAGTCTCGCTCTGTCGCCTGGGCTGGAGTACAGTGGTGCAACCTCGGCTTACTGCAAGCTCCACCTCCCGGGTTCACGCCATTCTCCTGCCTCAGCCTCCCGAGTAGCTGGGACTACAGGCGCCCGCCACCGTGCCCGGCTAATTTTTTTGTTTTTTTTTTTTTTAGTAGAGATGGGGTTTCACCCTGTTAGCCAGGATGGTCTCAATCTCCTGAACTCATGATCCGCCCTCCTCAGCCTCCCAAAGTGCTGGGATTACAGGTATGAGCCACCGCTCCTGGCCAATTTTTTACTTTTTTGTAGAGATGAGGTCTCACCGTGTTGCCCAGGCTAGTCTCGAAGTCCTGAGCTCAAGCAGTCCTCCCACTTCAACCTCCCAAAATGCTGAGATTACAGAGTGAGCCACCATACCCAGCCTCCATAAGTTTTTTTTCATGTATGCCAACATTTGTGTGTGTGTGTTTCTGTGTGTATACACATATACTTATACTTTTGTGAAAATAGTTTTGTTTTAATGAAAAATGTCATATCCATTGTTTGACAGCTTGCTTTTTCTTTCATGAATCTATGCTAAACATTCAGTAAATAGAGACCTGCTCAATCATTTACTCTGCCAATAATTGTTGAGCACTTCTGTATGTCACTGTTCTAGACTCCTGGGATACATTCATGAACAAAGCAGCCAAAGATTCTTGCCCTCATGAAGCTTACATTTTAGCAGGAGGAAATAAATGACAATGAACATCATAAACAAGTGAAAGATATATTGGAAGGTGTTACGTGCTATGGTAAAAAGAAAAAGTAGGAAAGGGTAAGGAAGATAGAGGGAGTTTGGTGAGGTGTTCTACCTCAATCTGGTTTTTTTGATGGGTTTGTTTGTTTTTTGAGATGGAGTCTTGCTATGTCACCCAGGCTGGAGTGCAGTGGCACAATCTCGGCTCACTACAACCTCCACCTCCCAGTTGAAGTGATTCTCCTGCCTTAGTGTCCCGAGTAGCTGGGATTACAGGCATGTGCCACCATGCCCGGCTATTTTTTGTATTTTTAGTAGAGACCAGGTTTTGCCATGTTGGCCAGGCTGGTCTTGAACTCCTGATCTCAGGTGATCTGCCCGCCTCAGCCTCCCAAAGTGCTGAGATTACAGGCGTGAGCCACCTGCACCCAGCATTGTTTTTAACAGCAGCATAGTATTTCTTACCTATCCATTCACTCCTAATGAGACTGACAACATGCTAGGTAGGTATTGGGGATACAAATGTGACCATGTAGACGAGGGTTCTCTCTAATGGAGTTTATAGTCTGATAGGAGACAGTCAAACAAATAAACCAAATGAGCAAGGTAATTGTAGGTGGTGGTTAAATACCATGAAAAAAATAAGAAGGTAACTGTGGGGCCAGGATGGTGGGAGCTACTTAATCTAGATTGGTGATGAATAAATGCCTCTCTCAGAAAGTGACATTGAGGCTTTCAAATAAATGATGAGACAGAAGCAGTCCTGGAAAACTAATTTTTCGCATCTCCTCTTTATTCCTAGGATCTGTAGTCAGGAAGAAGTAGTGATCCCCTGTGCCTATGACAGTGATTCAGAAAGTGTGGATTTGGAGCTGAGCAACTTAGAGATTATTAAAAAAGGCTCAAGTAGCATTGAACTGACAGGTAAAAAGGAGAAAGGACTAGAAAGGGGAGGGGAGGGGAAAAGAGAATGTATTTTCAACTCAGGCCAAGAGGTATTGATTGAGTACTTGCTGGGTGACCAGCCCTTGACTAGACTTTGATGATGAATTTGGTCCCTGACTTTGAGACCTTGAAATACAGTTGGCAAAATGAGATACATGGTTCGTGATGTCCAGGAAACTAAGGTTGGTCCTGAGACAGTTCTGCAGAAGAGTGTGAGTGCTTGAGGGATTCTGAGGAGGGAAAGGGCAGTGTGGGATACCTTGGAGTGGGAGGACTTTATGCAGAAGGTAAGATCTGGATTGGGCTTCAGAATAACTTTCATTCTACAAAACATGTATTGAGTACCAGGAGCTGGGAATACAACAGTAGACATGACCAACATGGTCACTGCCCTCATAGAACTTACATTATTGTGCAGAAAAGAGACCAAAAAGAGTAAACAGTCACTGAAGTAACTACAACTTGTAGTAAGCAGTATGGAAGAACAGGCTGAGACAAAAATAAGGGCAATAGGAACCTACTTGAAACTCTGGTTGTCAGAGAACACCTGTATGAGACCATGAGTGCTATTTAAATCTAAAGGAGGCTTGAAAGATGTGAGAGTAACTCATGTGAGTATAGGGAGTACTACAGATAGATGGGGACAGCATGTGCATGACACAGGAAAGATCCTGGTGTGTTTGAAGCTACCTTCATTCATTCATACATTCATTCAGCAAATACTTAATGAAGCCCTCCTGTGCTCTAAGCTTAATCTAGCAGCTGGAGATATAGCATCGAACAGAACAGACACAGTATACCTACGGATGAACAGGCAAATGGAACTCAGTGCAATCAGTGTGATGGGGGTGGGAGAGCCAGAGTGGATACAGAGCGGTTTATTAGTGACTTGGGGATACTTAGCCAAAATAGGCAAAAAGGGCATACACGAAAGGCATCCTGGAGCTGAGACTTGAAGGATGAGTAGGAGTTAGCAAGGCAAAGATAGGTAAGGGAAGGTGGGGGAGAAGAAGGAGAAAAATGCAGGCAGAAGGAACAGCCTGTGCACAGATCAGAATGAGAACATGGCTTCAATTATTGCAATTAGTGGATGATAGGAATATGGCAGGAAGTGGGTAGAGTTTACTGAAGAGGCATTCAAGAAATCAAAAAGAATGCAAAAGTAGAGTGGTGGCCGGGCACGGTGGCTCACATCTGTAATCCCAGCATTTTGGGAGGCTGAGGCGGGTGGATCACCTGAGGTCAGGAGTTCGAGACCTTGCTTGGCCAACATAGCGAAATCCCATCTCTACTAAAAATACGAAAATTACCTGGGGGTGGTGGCGTGTGCCTGTAATTCCAGCTACTTGGGAATCTGAGGCACAAGAATCGCTTGAACCCAGGAGGCAGAGGTTGTAGTGAGCCAAGATCGCGCCACTGTACTCCAGCCTGAGCGACAGAGTGAGACTCTTGTCTCAAAAAAAAAAAAAAAAGAATGGTAAAAATCTTCAGATGAAAGATGTGTTAAGGGGGAAATACTTCTGGGATCAGTTCTTTGCATGTATTACCTCATTTAATTCTTATAATAACCCTGTTTTACAGAAAAGGAAACTTAGGTTTCAGGAGGCAAACTAGCTTGATAAAGGTCATACAAATAGTAAGTGGTAGAGCCAAGATTCAAACTAGTCTCAAATTGAGATTTAAAGTCCATAGTCTTAACCATTCTGCTACAGCTCAGTCCCAAAGGTTTTTTGTAGCTTAGGAGGCCCTTAGAGAACATTGAATTTATTTTTGAGAAAACTGAGTCTAGGAGACAGGATGGGACTTGGTTAAGGTCATAGAGCAAGTAGTAAAGGTGAGCCAGAGGTACTCCATACTAAACCTTATCACTTTACACAGTACGGAGGCATCATCCAGTGTCTTTCTTTCAATGTTAGACTTGGACATCCCTGACATCCCTGGACTCCATTGTGAGCCCCTGTCACATAGCCCCAGACACCTGACCCAACAGGACCCGCTCAGTGAGGCCATTGTTGAGAAACTGATCCAGTCCATCCAGAAGGTTTTCAATGGTGAGCTAAAGGTATGCACAAGCAATTTTTATGAGTTATCCAACTTATTCCTCCATTTTAACAAATATTTTAAACATATTATTTCTTGATTATACAAATAATTTTATATTATAGGTTATAAAACATGTTTGTTTTATATTTATAATACATATATTTACATATATTTATAAATTATACTTACATATATAATTATGAAATTAATGTAAAAACAAAGAAAACCATAATAAAAATTAAAAGCTAATCTTCCCTAATTCCAGTCTCAAATAACTACTGCTGACATTTTGGTTTATATTTTTTTAGACTTTTTTTTTTTTTTTTTCTGAGACAGTGTCTCACTCTGTCGCCCAGGCTGGAGTGCAGTGGCACAATCTCAGCTCACTGCAACCTCTGCCTCCCGGGTTCAAGTGATTCTCCTGCCTCAGCCTCCTGAGTAGCTGGGATTACAGGCACGTGCCACCATTGCCCAGCTAATTTTTGTATTTTTAGTAGACATGGGTTTCACCATGTTGACCAAGCAGGTCTTGAACTCTTGACCTCAAGCAATCCACATGCCTTGGCCTCCCAAAGTGCTGGGATTACAGGCATGAGCCGCTGTGCCTGGTCCTCTATGGCTTTTAAATCCCATTCACCCAATCAACAAGTAATGAATGAACAGCTACCATTTATAAGGCACTATGCTAGACGCAGGGAAGAAGTTGGAGTAGTAAGATTAAAGACTATTCACAGATAAACAAACTGGGCCACAAACAGACCGAGACCCTGTCTCAAAAAATATAATACTATTCAGCAATTAAAGGAGGGAACTATCGATACAACAGCAAAGATGAATCGCAGAGGCATTGTGTTGAGTGAAAGAAACCAATCAGAAAAGGTTACAGACTGTATGATTCCAGTTGTGTGACATTCTTGAAAAGACAAAACATGGTGATGCAGAACAGATTAGTGATTCCTAGGCATTAGGGTGGGGAGAGGATGTGACTAAAAAGGGATAGCAGGAGAGAAATTTAGGGGATGGTGGAACTGTTCGTATCCTGATTGTGGTGATGGTTACACATGTGTATGTGTGTGTTATAACACATGGAACCACATGCTTCCTGCCGAAATCAGTTTTACTGTATGATACATTTTTAAAAATCATGTTGTCACTTTGTACCGCATAAATATATACAACCATAATTTGTCAATTTACCAAAACACACACAAAACACACACATACACATACACACAAAACCACACAGAGCCTCCACTGGAAGGAGGATGAGGGAAACTTCAGGAATGCTAGTAATAATCTGTTGCTGGCTACAGGGTGTTTTTTGGTTTGTGAAAATCCACCAAACTGTACATTTTCTTTATGTAGAATACCAATGAAAAATAAAAATAAAACATTTAAAGCCAACATGTTGGCCTTCACTTTTGACTTCAGCTAATCCTTATACTTCATATCAGCATGGTTTTCTTTCGATTTCTTTGTAGTTAATGAAGGGCTTGGATTGCTGCCATGAATTGAAACAAAAAAGCCCATTACCTGCCTTGAGCTGATTCCACAGTCAGTCAGGGAAATAGATTAATAAGAAGGTCATTATGTCAGAGTATCGCAAGTGCTGTGATAGCAATTTATTCATGTGGTTTGTAGATACACTTAGAAAGGACACTGGACCAGCCAGGCGCAGTGGCTCACACCTGTAATCCCAGCACTTTGGTAGGCCAAGGTGGGCAGATCACGAGGTCAGGAGTTCAACACCAGCCTGGCTAACATGGTGAAACCCCCATCTCTACTAAAGATACAAAAAATTAGCCGGGCATGGTGGCAGGTGCCTGTAATCCCAGCTACTTGGGAGGCTGAGACAGGAGAATAGCTTGAACCTGGGAGGCGGAGGTTGCAGTGAGCCAAGATCATGCCATTGCACTCCAGCCTGGGCAACAGGGTGAGACTCTGTCTCAAAAGAAAAAAAAGAAAGGACACTGGACCCTGCTTCAGGAGCAAACGCATTCTCCAAGTCTTAAGATATATAGAGATTTTTTTTTTCTTTTTTGAGACAGAGTCTTGCTCTGTCACCCAAGCTATAGTTCAGTGGCGCGATTTTGGCTCATTGCAACCTCCGTCTCCCAGGTTCAAGCACACCTATAGTCCCAACTACTCAGGAGGCTGAAGTACAAGGATCCCATGAGCCCAGGAGATGTAGACTGCAGTGAGTGGTGATCACGCCACTGCACTCCAGCCTGGATGACAGAGCAAGACCCTGTCTTAAAAAAAAAAAAAAGGTTCTATGATAAATAGGAATTTTATATATATATGTATGTATGTATAATTAGAAAAGAGGCCGGGTGCAGTGGCTCACGCCTGTAATCCCAGCATTTTGGGAGGCCAAGGCAGGCAGATCATCTGAGGTCAGGAGTTCGAGACCAGCCTGGCCAAGATGATAAAACCCCATCTCTACTAAAAATACAAAAATTAGCTTGGTGTGGTGGTGCATGCCTGTAGTCCCAGCTACTTGGGAGGCTGTGGCAGGAGAATCACTTGAACCCAGGTGTACCACTGCAGTCCAGCCTGGGTGACAGAGCGAGACTCCATCTCAAAAAAAAAAAAAAAAAAAGAAAAAGAAAAAGAGAGGCCAGGCATGGTGGTTCTCACCTGTCATCCCGTCATCCCAGCACTTTGGGAAGCCAAGGCAGGTGGATCACTTGAGCTCAGGAGTTTGAGACCAGCCTGGGCAACATAATACAAATAATTAGCTGGACGTGGTGGTGCGTGCCTGTGGTCCCAGCTAGTTGGGAGGCTGAGGCGGGAGGATTGCTTGAGCCCAGGAGGTTGAGGTTGCAGTGAGCTGAGATCGTGCCACTGCACTCCAGCCTGGGTGACAGAGCGAGACTCCATGTCAAAAAAATAATAATAATAATAGTAATAATAAAATAAAAAAGAAAAAGAGAATGTTAGTACTGAGAGATTTTATTCTTCCAATCAGAACTTGGATTTTAATAGGAAATTTTAAAAGCAAAATAATGAATTTTTAATGACATTGAAAGAACTAGAAGTAACAGAATCAGAGAGGTCACCTTTAGGAAGCTTTTTTTTTTTTGAGATGGGATCTCACTCTGTCACCCAGGCTGGAGTGCAGCGGCACCATCTCAGCTCACTGCAACCTCCGCTTCCCAGGTTCAAGTGATTCTCGTGCCTCAGCCTCCCAAGTAGCTGGGACTACAGGCACAGGCACGCGCCACCACGCCTGGCTACTTTTTTGTATTTTTAGTAGAGACAGGGTTTCACCATGTTGGCCATGCTGGTCTGGAACTCCTGACCTCAGGTGATCTGTCCACCTCGGCCTCCTAAAGTGCTGGGATTACAGGCATGAGCCACCATGCCCAGCCTAGGAAGCTTAATCAGGCAACACTACACAGGACAGGCAGGTAGAAAAGCAAAGACTAAGAGTGGGGAAAGCCAGGATGGAACATGGAGCTGAGAGGAGAGCCGAGGTCTCAAAGCAAGGCAGGGCCAGCGGACAAGGAATTTCACTGAAATCTTCCGTAATTTACTCATTCTTTGTAATAAAAGACTGATATTGGGTTGAAAGAGATGTCAGATATTTAAAGCATTCCAAGAAACTTTTCAAAAACTCTCCACAGTTATTCAAATAAGATTATGACATATAATTGTATTTTTATCATTTTCCCACAAATTCAGGGTGAACTTGAAAAGCTGAAATTCCTAGGAGATCTGTCTTCTCTCAGCCAAGCTTTACCTTATGATGAAACCGCAAAATCATTCATTCACAGCCACATAGCAGACATTGTGCATACCTTAAATGTAAGTATTATGACCTTATCACAAATGATTGGGATCACACAAATTCAGTGACTTGGCCAAAGCATTTTTTAGTGGCTTCACCTATGTTATCAATTCACTTGAACTCTTCTAGTATCAGTATCTCCACATGGAGGAGAAATACTCATGGCCACCCCACACATGTAATCACCCTTGAAAACCAATTAAAAGAAGAGTAGAAAGGACAGGAACAGCATTTGAATTTCTCAGCAAGGCCAACGCTACATTCTCATGACTCAAGCAGTAGTTCCCAGACAGTCCCCATAATCGTATGCCTAGGTTCAGGGGACAGCCCTGCCTTTTTATAGCTGTGAAACTGTAGGAAATTACTTCACTTCTCAATGCCTCAGTTTCCTCCCCTATAAAACAAGAATAGCTATATCTACTTCACAGAGCTATTGTGACCATTAAATTCAAAATAAATATAAGCCATGTCCATGGTACCTAATACACACGAGCCACTTGAGAAACATGACTATATTATTGTTATCGTATTTTGTTCTATTTGTACTTACTCCAGCCACACTCTGCCACCAACTCATCCATTCATTCCCTCATTAAGTGCCTGACAGTTCCAGGAACTGTCTTGGGAATTTGGGCTACAAAGACAAAGAAGACAAAATCCCTATTTATGCAGCCAAGCAAGGTATAATAAAATGTCACAGGAACTGTGACAAGTTTAAATAGGCATATGGGGGGCTGAGAGTAGAGATTGAGTGGTCAGTTCCATGGCAAAGGATCCAGAAGGGCATTGCAAAGGAGCTGATGCACTCAAGCAAGTACTTCTTGGTGTTTTAGTTTTCTCATCTGTGAAATGTCTCCTTCAGTTTCTCTAAAGCTTTAAAATTCTGATGTTGAAATTTCTTACATACTCCAGAAATATGAGTAGTTCTTTCTCATATCACAGATCTATAAGGCTGATTAGACTGATAGCTTTTATAATTCAAGGCTAACCAGCTAACAGTTTTAAGTAATGGACAGTTACCAAGGATCTTCTATATCCAAACACACTGTGGTGCTTTGATAAAGGTTACGCATTTCCTGGAAACCTTAATCCTTGCCCTTGAAGGGTTTAGGATCCATCTGTAAGTAGCCATATTTCAAAAAGTAAATAGGTTGAGAACTATTCCAAATAATACATTAAGAAGAACAGGATGATATAATACAGGTTTAACAACAAAAAGCGGCGGCTCACATGTGTAATTCCAGCACTCTGGGAGGCCGAGGTGGGCGAATCACTTGCGGTCAGGAGATTGAGATCAGCCTGGCCAACATGGTGAAACCCCGTCTCTACTAAAAATACAAAAAATAGCCGGGCATGGTGGCAGGCGCCTGTAATCACAGCTTCTCCTGAGGCAGGAGAATTGCTTGAACCTGGGAGGTGGAGGTTGCAGTGAGCTGAGATGACACAACTGCACTCCAGCCTGGGCAACAGAGTGAGACTCTGTCTCAAAAAAGAAACAAACAAACAAGCAAATAAAAAAACAGTTTGAGACCAGTTTGGGCAATGTGGTAAAACTCAATCTCTTAAAAAAAAAAAAAAAATTAGCCGGATGTGGTGGTGCATGCCTGTAGTCCCAGCTACTCGGGAGGCTAAGGTGGGAGGATCAGCTGAGTCCAGGAGACAGAGATTGCAGTGAGCCGAGATCAAGCCACTCTATTCCAGCCTGGGTGACAGAGTGACACCCCATCTCAAAACAAAAACAAAAACAAACAGAAAACAAATGCAGCTTTCTACTTGGCTGTACTCCTTGGGAAAGGGGATGTAGGCAACCGCAGGATCATAGGACCCAGCCAGAGTGGCATGTTTCTAGAGCTCTAGTTTCACCAAACTTGGCAACAATGGGTTGCCACATGGTTCAACCAGCCAGTCCATAAAATCCACAAATGCAGGTCTCAACAGCAACAATGTACTGAATTACACACTGAATCTGCATTTGCATCTGTCCACCCAGTAATAAAATGCCCACATCAGATGTCAATCAAAGTATAGGCTGGCAGGGGATTCAGCCTAGAAGAGTTAAAGGTAGCTAGTATCCATGAGAAAATTGCATGGATCACTGCAGCATTGTGTAAGTCTACAAAGTCCCCACAGGCCCACACATGGGGGCTGAAAAAGCACAGCTCCCAGCAACCAAAGGGAGAGGTGCCCAAGAGGAGAAGCATTTCTGCTGAGGAACCGACAAGGAGGAAGAAGCCAGGGTCATTATAGAGAAAGAAAACGTTAAGGCATTTACCAGTGCTTGTGACCCAAACCAGTGCATGGCTCCAAGTATCCAAATTAAAAAAGCCAAGGAAGCCAACAATAGAAAGTGGAAAGAAGGGGGAAAAAATGTTATGGCACTTCACCAAATATTTCTTTTTCTTTTTTTTTTTTTTTTCTGAGATGGAGTCTTATTCTGTCACACAGGCTGGAGTGCAGTGGCACAATCTCAGGTTACTGCAACCTCCGCATCCCGGGTTCAAGTGATTCTCCTGCCTCAGCCTCCCAAGTAGCTGGGATTACAGGCACCTGCCACTGTACCCAGCTAATTTTGTGCGGTTTTATTAGAGACAGGGTTTCACAGTAGAGACCAGCCCAGGCTGGTCTTGAACTCCTGACCTCAGGTGATCTGCCTGCCTCAGCCTATCAAAGTGCTGGGATGACAGGCATGAGTTCACCAAAAATTTCTCAAAATAAGCACATGAAAAGATGCTGATCATTGTGATTAGGGAAAAGCAAACTAAAACAACAGTAAGCTTCAACTATACACCTACTAAAATGGCTAAAATAAAAAAGAAAGGCAATACCAAATATTGGCAAGGATATGGAGCAACTAAAACTCTCATACAGTGTTGCCAGGAATGTGAAATGGCACAACCACTTTGGAAAACAATTTGGCAGTTTCTTAAAAAGTGAAACATGCACTTACCATATGACCCAGCAGTTTCACTCCTAGGTAAAACAAAACATATGTCCACACAATGATGCATGCACAAATGTTTACAGCAGCTCTATATGTAAAAGCCAAACCCTAGAAGAAGCCCAAGTGTTCATTAGCAGGTGAACGGATAAAGAAATTGTGGTATTGTATATCCACATGATGGAATACTACGTGAGAATGAAAAGGAACTATTGAAATATGCTACAACTTGGAACAATCTCAAAATAGTTATGCTGAGTGAAAGAACCCAGATAAAAAAGAGGATATCATGCGTGATTCTATTTACATGAAATTCGAGAAAATGCCAATGAATCTATAGTGACAGCAGAGCAATGGTAACCTAGAGGCAGAGGTTGAGTGAGGAGGAGAAGGAGCGAGGAATCACAAAGTAGCACAAAGAAACTTTTGGAAGTGATAGAAATGTTCATTCTCTTGAGGATGGTGATGGTTTCATGGATATATACATATATCAAAAATCATCAAACTGTATGCTTTAAATATGTACAGTTTATTGTATATTGTAAAAAATATACAATATACAATATAATATAAAAATATACATTATATAATGTTGAGAACTTTAATGAAAAAGAAAAGAGGCTGGGTGTGGTAGCACCTGCCTGTAGTCCCAGCCACTGTCGAGGCTGAGGCAGGAGGAACACTTGAGCCCAGAAGTTGGAGGCTGTAGTGAGCTATGATTGTACTTACGAATAGCTACTGCACTCCAGCCTCAGGAACATAGTGAGACCCCCATCTTTAAAGAAATAGAGAGAGAGGGAGAGGGAGACAGAGAGAGGAAGAGAAGGAGGAGGGAGGGAGGGGAGGGAAGGGAAAGGGAGAAAGAGGAGTGAGGGAAGGAAAGAAGGAAGGAAGGAAGGAAGGGAGGAAGGGAGGGAGGGAGCGAGGGAGGGAAGGGAAGGGGAAGAGAAGGGAAGGAGGGAGAGAGGAGGGAGGCAGGGAAGGAAGGAAGGAGAAAGGAAGGAAGGAGAGAAAGAAAAAAGAAAAAAAGGAAGGAGAGAAAGAAAAAAAGGAAAGAAAAAAAGGAGAGAAAGAAAGAAAGGAAAGAAAAAGAAGAAAGGAAGGAGAGAAAGAAAAAGAAAGGAGAGAGAAAGAAAAAGAAAGGAAAGACAAAGGAAAGAAGAACGAAAGAAAAGAGAAGAGGAGAAATGAAAAGAAAGAAAAAGAGGAAGGAAGGAAAGGGAAGGGAGGCAGGCTGTGGCAACTGGGATATAGAATAAAGTGACAGCAGGATTAGGGTGAAATTAATCCAGGTGGATCTGACCTAATCTTTGAAAGATATGATGGATAGGATTGAGAGAAGAGAGAAAGGACCACTGGGTAAGGACTTCAGATGGTAAGCTGAAGAATGCTACTTGGCTATGCCAAGGCTAGGGTTCTGCATTCTGCAATATGGCAGAGTGGCCAGGAGATGGTTTTTAGTGACTCAACAACAGACATGAGCACCAAGACCTACTGTAATAAAATTTTAATGTAACCAGATTTGCCTCTTAATTCTCCTCTGCCACCATGGGACTCCATCGGAATTCTATATCTGAGGTCCTCCACAAAACCCTCCCCACCTTGGACAAATCACTTAGCTTATCTGAACATCAGTAGCTCTACCAGTAAAATAAAGATATTCACATCTGCTCGGCTTTTGTTAAGACCTTTGAGACAGGCTGGGCACAGTGGCTCATGCCTGTAATCCCAGCATTTTGGGAGGCTGAGGTGGGCAGATCACCTGATGTCAGGAGTTTGAGACCAGCCTTGCCAACATGGTGAAACCCCGTCTCTACTAAAAATACAAAGATTAGCCAGGCATGGTGATAGGCGCCTGTAGTCCCAGCTACTCCGGAGGCTGAGGCAGGAGAATCGCTTGAACTTGGGAGGCAGAGGTTGCAGTGAGCCAAGATCACACCACTGCACTCCAGCCTGGGCGACAGAGCCAGACTCTGTCTCACAAAAAAAAAAAAAAAAAAAAAAAAAAAAAAAAAAAAAAAGACCTTTGAGACAAAACGTCTAATTTTGTTTGGATTAGTTAGGATTCTTCAGGCAAGAAACAAAAATCACCTCTGGCTCACGTAAGTTACCAAAAAAAAAAAAAAAAAAAAAAAGGATGCTGGGATATCTCTCTTAGACTCTAAGGATGAGGTTTAAACAAGCCTCCAGAAAAGTAAGTTTCAGGACAGCTCCAGAGCTCTCAGAGGCAGGGGCTTCGCTACCATCACCATGACTCAACCCTCTAGCAACTCCCGCTTTGTGCCTGTCACTGTAAGATTCCAAATTCTGCAAGAGAAAATCTGATTGGCCCAAACTAGTCTGTTCCCCACCCCTGCATCAATCAGGTTTGCCTGGGGGCAAGATCATATAGTAATGATATGACTTCTGGGTGTCCCACCCTGCGTTTCGGAGGCGTTCCGAGGGAGAAAGGGTGATTGCTGTGATCTGGGCAGTCACCCAGAAAGTTCCTGCTACACACATACTCTACTAACAAAAAATACCCTCTCACTTTTGAATTCCCTGTGGAGGCCAGCATAACTGTGAACAAATAATAAACCTTCAATACCCAACTGATTAAAAAAAGAAAAGATGATTCTGGCAGAAGTGGATCAAGTCAATTGAAGTCAGAGGGGATTGCAAGCCCGGGGCTTCAGCTAAGAGACCCTGCTTTCATCCATATGAAGGCGTATGGCTCCAGGAATGGAGAGTCACAGAAACCGTGCAGAGCAGGGGGTGGCTGATGCTATAACTGATAGGAGGTAGGGCTTGAACAAAAGAAAGAATCATGAATCACCTTTTTAGTGAGCCCTGGGAAAGGGAACAGTTGACAGCTATTAAAGGATAGGAAGCTGTGTTCTTCGCACGGGGACCACAGTGAACTGACTTTAATGCCAAAATTCTGGGGATGTTAGTGGTGTGCCCTGGAGATAACCAGATGCAGATGAGTAGAGCCCTGGGAGAGCTGTCAGGGCTAAAGATAGAGTCTTAGGCTTTGTCCCTTCTGGACTATAAAGCCGCAAGAATAAATGTGCTCCTTGAGAAAATAAGGAAGAAAGCAGCAGCCCACCAGCAAGATCGGAGTCAGACCAAAGCTGGAAAGTAAGAGGAGAAAAACTCAGAAAGGGGCAAGAAAGGGAACCTTGTAGTGTTTAGTGAGCACTTACTGCATCCTAAGTTTTTTTGTTGTTTTTGAGACGGAGTTTTGCTCTTGTTGCCCAGGCTGGAGTGCAATGACACCATCTCGGCTCACTGCAACCTCCGCCTCCCGAGTTCAAGCGATTCTCCTGCCTCACCCTCCCAAGTAGCTAGGATTACAGGTGCCCACCATCATGTCTGGCTAATTTTTGTATTTTTAGTAGAGATGGGGTTTCACCATGTTGGCCAGGCTGGTCTCGAACTCCTGACCTCAGGTGATCTACCCGCCTCAGCCTCCCAAAGTGCTAGGATTACAGGCGTGAGCCACTGCGCCCAGCCTGCATCCTAAGTTCCTAGTGAGATCTTCTTGGTTGCAGGTAAGAGAAATCCTCTAGAAGCAGCTGAAACACAAAAGGTGAGATTTGTTCTAAGGATCACTGAGTGCTTCCCAGAACCCCTTGACAGGAGGAGCAGCCTGACCCAGGAAGGGAATGAATCTAGAAAATAAAAACCTTCCACATACTCAAGGAGAACTTTCCATATCTTATTTTTGCTCCTTTGTATGAATTTCCATTTCTCCTCTCTCTCTCCCTTTCCCCCCACCCCGTCTCCCTCTCCCCCATCTTCTCTCCCCAAAATTGGCCCTCTCAGTTGCCTCATCCACAGGGACCAGTGCTTCCAAATTTTAAATTTTTTCCTTTAGAAGACCATCCAGACTGAGATTGAAGCTCTGTGTCCCAATTCCAGATTCCAGAGAGAATCTAATAGACCTTGGTGTCTACTCTGGGACAGATGAGCTGTAGCCAGTGGGACAGAATGACCTAGCAGACACAGAGCTTTGAAGTACCCATTTCTGTGGGTTGGGGACAGTTCCCAGAGGGGCCTGGTGGACAGTCCAGCAAGGCTTCTGCTACAGTCTTTTTTGTTGTTGTTGTTGGGGGGACAGAGTTTCACTCTTTCACCCAGGCTGGGGTGCAGTGGTGCAACCTTGGCTCACTGGAACCTCCACCTCCCGGGTTCCAGCGATTCTCCTACCTCAGCTTCCTGAGTAGCTGGGATTATAGGCGCCGGCTTTCGAACTCCTGACCTGAGGTGATCCACCCGCCTCAGCCTCCCAAAGTGCTAGGATTACAGGCGTGAGCCACTGCGTCCAGCCAGCTACAGTCATTTACATTAGCTCATTTTCTCCATACAGATAAGGCAACTCAGGCACAGGGAGTTAAATGACACATTCAGGCTCACACAGTGAGTGAGTGGCAGAGCCAGTGCGCAGCCCAGGGACTGTCCCACTCCAGAGCCCCTGCTTATCACTCCACGGGTTTTTCCAGCACAGCAATGCACTTTCCCTCTGCCAGTTTGTAAATTGGAAAGTTATTCTTTTTCCGGGACAAGTAACTCAGAATAATATTAGATGTGATCATAGAGAGATGGCTGGTTTAGTGGAGAGAGGAGTTAGAATGCCTAAACTAGAAATAATCACTGGTGATAAAAAGAGTGAATAACAGACACTAACAATTACACAGGGCTGCTGGGTGTCATGAATTTGCTCAGTGAGTACTCATAGCCGCCCCATGAAGGTAAGTATTCCTGTTTTCTGGTTTTACAGATGAGGAACTGAGGCACAAGGAGGTTAAATAATTTGTGTCAGCTCAAACACCTGGTAAGAGGCAGAGCCAGGGTCTGGGGTCTGGCTCAAGAGAATAAACCCCTATCCCTGTCACTGTCCTGCTGCCAGGCATCTGGGGCCTAAGAGCAGGGCTGGCTGAAGGACCTTTTGTGGTTCTTGCTGGCCACCCAGTCTCTGATCGTCACTGGCCTAATGAATGGGTACTTTCTCAACTCTCAAGTTCTTTCCCTCTCATTGCAGGTACTGGTACAAGAGGAACGCCCGCATTCTCTGTCCAGTTCCATGCGCCAGGAGGTCTTTGTCACCATCGCTGATCTCAGGTGATGCCCACACGCCCCTTACACGGGCATCCTGGTTCCTCTCAGGGCCAATGCCAGGTCCAACTGACATGACCCTTTTTTTTTTTTTTTTTTTGTTTCAAAAAAAAAAATTTTCAATGGAGTCCATTTCAATGGAGTCTCGCTCTGTCCCCCAGGCTGGAGTGCAGTGGCACAATCTTGACTCGCTGCAACCTCTGCCTCCTGGGTTCAAGCAATTCTCCTGCCTCACTCAGCCTCCCGAGTAGCTGGGATTACAGGCGTGCACTACCATGCCTGGCTAATTTTTGTATTTTTAGTAGAGACGGGGTTTCGCCATGTTGGCCAGGCTCGTCTCAAATTCCTGACCTCAAGTGATCCACCCACCTCACCCTCCAAAAGTGCTGGGATTACAGGCGTGAGCCACTGCGCCTGGCCATGATCCATATTTTTAACTTTTGAAAACTGTTTATGTAGAAAAGAGGAAGCCAAATCCGTGTTTTTGAGTAAGCACTTTGATTTCATATATGCTACTATCCATATCTGAAAGACTTTATTGGAATCTCTTTGGAGTTCAGTTTTGTCCAAAGTATATTTGGCAGGAAGTTACTCCCATATATGTCTCATGACATTAGAGTTCCGGCTTCTAAGAAATTTGGAAGGGCTGCCTATTGTCTACCTCTCAGAGATTTATATTGTAGTGATTAAGCTGATCAAAGACCCTGAGAAGTCTTGTGGTTAAAAAGTTTTTTAACTAGATTCAACCCATGATTCCCCAAATGAACATTCAGCAGAATATGCTTTGGAAAATTGTGGCTTACCACGTTAGACTGTAGCAGGCTTCCCTCTGTGGCTGAACTGAAGGGAAGCCTGGAAGGATATTGCTCCAGTAACTTCTTGGGGGAAAACTTCCTCTAACCTTTTGTGAGATTTATCTGAACAGACTGACAAGCTATGCCATTTATTTCTCACATCAGAACAGTACACTAGCCTGTCTACCCTTTCCTTTTTAGTTGATCTCTGCTTATCAGTATCAAATCAAACCGTCTTTCCAGCTTGCTGTTCCCAAACTGTCTTTTCTTAGTTACCAAGATGTCCATTTGCTGTTGGGCTCTGAAGATCGAGCTGAGTTGTTCAGTCTTACCATCAAGAGTATAATCACTCTGCCCTCTGTAAGGACCCTTACCCAGATACAGGAAATCATGCCCAATGGGACCTGCAACACAGAGGTAACTCATGCTTTGCTTTAGTAACTTTCCATCCACAGGGTCAGCTGATCTTGGCCTTTGGAGAGTGCATTTGATTTTTTGAAACTAGCCAAAAACCATAAGCCAAGTCTGGTAAATAAAATAGGTGGTTAAATTAGAAGATAGCTTCTTTCAACCCTTCATTTTGTCTTCTTTCCTTTTCCCTTTATTCTTTCCTTCCTTTTGGCTTTAAAATAAGGTGGGAGCACTCGCTTGTGTGCTTAACGTTTATTTAAGCACACAATGTGCCGTATGTCATCATATGCCAAAAATGATGATAGGCAGTAGGAATACAGCAGTCCAGTCCCACTCACGGAACTTACATTCTAGTGCAGAGAGACAAACTGTTGATACATGCATATAATATGTCAGCTGATAATAAGTGTTATGAAAATGTAAAGCAGGGAAAGAGCAGGATCAAGGGCCCTGTGGTTGGGAGGCACATGGGTGGTCAGGCAAAGCCTTCATGATGGGATGATAATTGAAAGAAAAGAGGTGTGGGTATGTCTGGAGAGAAAGCTTTCAAGCAGAGGGAAGGGTACGTGCAGGCCTTGATCTCTTCTTCAGTGGCGAATAAACTGGTTGGTAAAGCAGTTACCCAAGAGGACTTTATTCCCCTCTGTTTGAAGATATCAGAAAGAGTCACAAGCCAACTTTAAAGAATCTTGATGACCCTTAAGCAGTTCCCCAGATGTAGTAAGACTCAGTCAGCTGTGATCCCTCTAGTGCCGAGGCGCCTGTTTGAAATGAAGATGTATTCCTTTTTACCTCATGCCACAAACAACCTACTAGTACCTTTACACTGGTACTGCAACTTTGAGTAAAGTCTTAGGGTCACATGAAGAGCCTCCAAAGTGTCCCATGCTAGGGGAACTTCACGTGGGGCCAGGGAGTGTTGCTGATCCTGTGCCTTTTCAGTGTCTTTACAGGCAGACGTTTCAGGCATTCTCTGAGATGCTCCAGAGTTTGGTGGTAAAAGACCCACATTTGGAAAATCTTGACACCATTATTAAGGTAAACAAGATATCAAGGGAGAGTGGGAAATGATTCCTATTAACTGGTGAAAGTGGGAGATGAAAATGTGGAAGTATTCAGTGGTAAGAGGCAACGTAGTAAAGAGTATCAGCTATCAACTTTGAGTCAGAGACTTGGGTTCAAATGCTGACTCTGCCATTCATTGGTTACACGTCCTCCCGCTAGAAATTCTGCAAGGAATTTGCTCTCTCAGTGTTGCATTTCTTCACATTTACATGGAGATAATAATTACTGTGAATATTGAATAAGTGGCCTTCAATAAATTATTTGTTTATTTATTTTCAGAGACAGGGTCTTGCTCTGTGGCCTAGGCTGGAGTGAAGTGGCACCATTATAGCTCCCTGCAGCCTCGAATTCTTGGCCTCAAGTTATCCTCCCACCTCAGCCTCCCAAAGTGCTGGGATTACAGGCATGAGCTACTGCACCCTGTCACAATAAATTGTTTAAATAGTTGCTTAATTATTCCTTAAATTATTCCTGGGGGCAGGGCGCAGTGTTTCACGCCTGTAATCCCAGCACAGGCCAAGGCAGGTGGATTATTTGAGGCCAGGAGTTCGAGACCAGCCTCACCAACATGGCACAACCCTGACTCTACTAAAAAATAAATAAATAAATAAATACAGAAATTAGCCAGGTGTGGTGGTACACACCTGTAATCCCAGCTACTCAGGAAGCTGAGGCATGAGAATCACTTGAACCCAGGAGGAGGAGGTTGCAGTGAGCAGAGATCGCACCACTGCACTCCAGCCTGTGTGACAGAGAAAGACTCTATTTCAAAAAAAAAAAAAAATTATTATTCCTCACTAGTATAGAAGGGTTTTATTCAGTGATGAGGGAAGGGTCAGCCTCAAGAGTTAGTAAGGCCAGGCACGGTGGCTCATGCCTGTAATCCCAGCATTTTGGGAGGCCAAGGCAGGCGAATCAATCATTTGAGGTCAGGAGTTCAAGACCAGCCTGGCTAACATGGTGAAAACCTGTCCCTACTAAAAATGCAAAATTAGCCAGGCATGGTGGCGCATGCCTGTAGTCCCAGCTACTCGGGAGGCTGAGGCAGGAGAATTGCTTGAACCCAGGGGGCAGAGGTTGCAGTGAGCCAAGATTGCGCCACTGTACTCCAGCCTAGGCGATAGAGCGAGACTTCTTCTCAAAAACAAAACAAAACAAAAAAAGAGTTAGTAAATAAGCAGCTTCCTACCAGATGATACTCAAAGGTTATAATGACGAACTGCTCTGACCTGCACCTGTTCCTGTATATGCTCTTCCATCACTAGAGATTGATTCATTGGAATTCATTCACTGCATTCAGGTATCTTGCTCTCCTACCCTTTTTTTATTGTTGTTATTTTATTTTTATTTTTCTTATCCTTTTTTTAAGATGCAGATATCCCAGAAAGGGATAAGGCTTTAAGCTATTATTAATCGTTTGCACCCAAATGATGCATTTATTGTTGTCCTAACTGACAAGCAAGGCACAAAAACCTAGGCAGTCGAGTGGTTTGGCTGCTACAGGAGCTTATTTTCTAGCTTATTTTCTTAAATGCTCTGATGGGCATTTATTCTCATCCTAACTGACCTTAATACTACTTCTCATTCCTCTTCTATTTGTACATTAGCATACCAGCCAGATTGGGTTTCTCCTCTTTATGCAGTTGTACTTTGTACTTTCCTGCCTTGGCAGCTTAATTCAAGCCTTTCTTTTTCTCTTTTTTTTGAGACTGGATCTCGCTCTGTCACTTAGGCTGGAGTACAGTGGCGCGATTTCAGCTCACTGCAGTTTCCGCCTCCCGGGCTCAAGCAGTCGTCCCACCTCAGCCTCCCGAGCAGCTGGGACTACAGGCACACGCCACCATGCCCAGCTAATTTTTGTATTTTTTTGTAAAGATGGGGTTTCACCATGTTGCCCAGGCTGGTCTCCAACTCCTGGGCTCAAGCAGTCAGTATAATCCCTCCGGCAGTGCTGGGATTACAAGCATGAGCAACCACACCTGGCTGTCCTCAGAGTTAAACTTTAAAATTAGTAGCATGTTGTTAACTTTATTTCTTTCCAAAGCAGATTTGAAAGAGCTAAAAACATTCAGAAGTACAGAATAATTAATTGAAGAATTGGGCTGAAGAGAAAGTAAGTCTAGAAAATAAGCTCTGGCCAGGCACAGTGGCTCACGCCTGTAATCCCAGCACTTTGGGAGGCCAAGGCGGGCAGATCACCTGAGGTCAGGAGTTCGAGATCAGCCTGGCCAACATGGTGAAACCCCGTCTCTACAAAAATACAGAATTAGCTGGGCGTGGTGGCGAGTGCCTGTAGTCCCAGCTACTCGAGAGGCTGAGGCAAGAGAATCACTTGAATTTGGGAGGCAGAGGTTGCAGTGAGCCAAGATCACACCATTGCACTCCAGCCTGGGCAACAGAACAAGACTCCATCTCAAAAAAAAAAAAGAAAAGAAGCTCCTAAGCTCCTATATAACAACCAAACCACCCACCACCCATGTCTTTGTGCCTTGCTTGTCATTCTACCACTTTTATTTCCAACCTGAGCTATAATAGCATTTAGCAAAGTATTTTGAGATCTGGTAGCAACATGGAACTTGTCACTCCACATTTCTTTCTAAACACAATAAGGATGGTATCCCAAATCTTCCTGATAAACCATTTAGCCTCCCTTTATTTCTCACAGCACTTGGTCCCCTGGTTACAGTCAGTCAAAGACCATGAGCGGGAACGGGCCACGGCCAGCATGGCTCAAGTTCTGAAGTGCCTATCCAAACATCTCAACTTGAAGGTGAGCGGCCCTTCAGTTGCAGAGGAGGAAAGATCCAAAGCCATTCCCTCACTGCCGATTTCTCCTCCTCTTTATAACTCCCCAGGCTGGTTCTGTGTCCCCTTCGTGCTCATGTACTATCATAGCACTTAGCATTGTCTTCTTATCTGCTCTTCTCCTGAGCAGCTTGGGGCCAGTTGCTGTGTTGATTAATCTTTGCATCTCCATTGCTTAACACAACAGCTGGAACATAATGATATAGTAACTATAACCTGAAAATACCTGAGGCCCATGGTGGCTAGTCTCTGTATAGTATTATATTTGAGTACAGCAGGCAAATTTAAATAAATCAACTTCAATATCTCCCAGCAACTCAAAGAGAGTGGTACTATGGCACCTCTTCAGATCCTCACATTTCTCTTTCTCTCTCTCACTTCTCAGTTCTGAATCATCTCCCCTATGGCATCTCATTATTATGATGATCATTATTCAAGGCAGGGTCTTGATCCATCACTCAGGCTGGAGTGCAGTGGGGCCATCATAGCTCACTGCAGCCTTGAACTCCTGGCCTCAGGCAATCTTCCTGCCTCAGCCTTCCAAGTAGGTGGGACTACAGTCACACGCCACCACGCCTGGCTAATTTTTATTTATTTATTTATTTATTTTGGTAGAGATGGGGTTTCACCATGTTGCCCTGGCTGGTCTCAAATTCCCAGGTTCAAGTGGTCCTCCTTCCTTGGCTTTCCAAAGTGCTGGGATTACAGACGTGAGCCACCACGCCCGTCCTCTTCTGGATTTTTCTGAGGAAGGTCCATAGTTTTTTTTTAAATCAATTTTATTGAGGTATAATTTGTATACAATGAATTTATCCAATTTAAGTATACAGTTCAATGAGTTTTGACAAATATATATTATCTGGGTCTCTAACTTTTTTCATATTCTCAAAGAAATCTAAAGAATAAAGAATAAAAAAGGAAATGCTGAAGAAGCATTTAGTAATCAAACTAGGAGCGTAATTCTTCAGTGGCCTTTTTTGTCTTGATAAAGTTTGGGGGTTCTTAATATTATGATTATAAAACTTAGGGCCGGGCGCGGTGGCTCACGCCTGTAATCCCAGCACTTTGGGAGGCCGAGGTGGGCGGATCACGAGGTCAGGAGATGGAGACCATCCTGGCTAACACGGTGAATCCCCGTCTCTAATAAAAATACAAAAAATTAGCCGGGCGTGGTGACGGGCGCCTGTAGTCCCAGCTACTCGGGATGCTGAGGTAGGAGAATGGCGTGAACCCGGGAGGCAGAGCTTTCAGTGAGCCGAGATCACGCAACTGCACTCCAGCCTGGGCGACAGAGCGAGACTCCATCTCAAAAAAAAAAAACAAAACTTATTAACTGTTTGTCATTCAGTGACAGGTGCAGGCCACCACGCCTGGCTAATTTTTGTAGTTTTAGTAGAGACGGAGTTTCACCATGTTGGCCAGGCTGGTCTCGAATCCTTGGCCTCAAGTGATCTGCTTGCCTCGGCCTCCCAAAGTTCTGGGATTACAGGCAGAGCCACCGCGCCTGGCACCTTCCAAGTTCTTTTTTGTGCATGAGTGTGTTGGGGTGGGGGCTTCCATTTCCAATTTGTTCTCTACATATAGCCAGAGTCATCCTCTTCAGACCCATGTCATTCTTGCTTTTGTTTTGTTTCCTTGTTTTCTCCCCTGTGTTTTCTTTATTTTTCTTCATTTTCTTTTTTTGCCCCATGTCACTTCTTTGATCCAGTGATTTCCAAACTGATCTTAGAATACGGGGTCATGTCTGATGTAGGTCTGTCTACCTCTCTACACCTAAGTCCCCTGACTTATCACACAGCAGCCACCTTTACCTTCCTTCTTCCCACATAAGGCTCATCTTGCCTCATGGCCTTTGCACTTGCTGCCTTCTCTGCTTGGAATGACCTTCCCTAGCTCTGCACAGAGCCAGCCCCTCCTGGTTCTTTAGCACTGTGTTCAGATGTCTCGACCTCAAAAGGGCCTCTGCTCACCACAGACAGACCTACGCTTGCTCTCTGTCTCATCACTCTCTCCTTCCTAGGGCTGTCTAGAATCAGAGGTTATCTGGCTTGATTCTTTCTTTACTGCTGTGTTATCTGTTTCCCACTAATAGAATGTAAATTCTACCAGTGATTATGCTTGTCTTTTTTTTTTTTTTTTATGTGAGACAGGGTCTTGCTCTGTCACCCAAGTTGGAGTACAGTAGCACAATCACAGCTCACTGCAGCCTCAACCTCCTGGCCTTAAGCAATGCTCCTGCCTTAGCCTCCTGAGTAGCTGGGACTACAGGCATGTGCCACCATGCCTGGTTAATTTTTTTGTTTTTTATACAGATGGGGGTCTCACTATATTGCCCAAGGTGGTCCAAACTCTTGGGCTCAAACAATCCTCCCACCTCTGCCTCCCAGAATGCTGGGATTACAGACATGAGCCACTGTGCCTTGCAATTATACTTGTCTTGTTCAGCACAGTAGCCTCAGTGCCTGCCTAGCACAGAATCGGCCATGTGGTTGATGCTCAATTCAATATTGATTGAGTAAATGTGAGTCAACCCATGTCCCTTCTCTGCTCAAGACCCTCCGACGGCCAAAGTCCTCACAATGTTCTACAGGTTGCGACACCTTCTGGCCCATTCTTCATCTACTTCCTATTTCTTTCCCTATCGTTAACATCGCTGCAGCCAACCTAACCTACTTATGGTTCCTCAGAAACACCAAACATACCTTCTCAGTCCTTGGCGCTTGCCATTCTCTCTGCCCAGAATACTCTTCTCCCAGGTATCAATCTCTCATTTCAATATTAGTGAGGCCTTCCCTGACCATCCTAAAATAATAATTCTTATCCCTTTCCCCTGAATTTTTGTTAATCATGACATTTATCATCATTTGATACATAATACATTTTACATATTTATTTTGTTTACTTTGTGTTTCCCCAACTAGATCATCACCTCCACAAGCAGGGATATTCTCTTTTGTTGACTGCTTATATCCCCAGTGCCAGTCATAGTTCCTGGCATATAACAGACACTGTATTTATTGGTTGATTGAATGAATGAAGGTTATATCAGTGAATTAAAGATGTTACATAGCTTTGCATGTTGCTACGTGTTTACTGTAAATAGGTTGTAAATGCTGTTCACAATATTTCTGTGTCTTATTTCTGTAGAGCCATGGAAGAAATTTCTTTCCATCTCAACCCTAGGAAAAGCTATGCTTCCTCCACGTGGCTAGTTGCTTCTTATCTTAAGGACAGCGTGAATCATGTTATATGGATCATTGTGTGCACCTCTACATTAGCCATGAGAGAGTTCAGAGCCTTGCTCTGTGGCCTGCCTCAAGCAAATGATGATTATGCATTCTGCATGCCAACCAAATTCTTTTTTTTTTTTTTTTTTTGCATGCTGCCTTCAAGCATCTGTTTAACAAAGCACATCTTGCACCGCCCTTAATCCATTTAACCCTGAGTTGACACAGCACATGTTTCAGAGAGCACGGGGTTGGGGGTAAGGTTATAGATTAACAGCATCCCAAGGCAGAAGAATTTTTCTTAGTACAGAACAAAATGGAGTCTCCTATGTCTACTTCTTTCTACACAGACACAGTAACAATCTGATCTCTCTTTCTTTTCCCCACATTTCCCCCTTTTCTATTCAACAAAACCGCCATCGTTCTCGTGGCCGTTCTCAATGAGCTGTTGGGTACACCTCCCAGACGGGGTGGCGGCTGGGCAGAGGGACTTCTCACTTCCCAGACGTGGCAGCCGGGCAGAGGGGCCCACCACCCCCCAGACGGGGCGGCTGCCAGGCGGGGGCACCCCCCACCTCCCGGACAGGGCGGCTGCCGGGCGGGGGCGCCCCCCACCTCCCAGACGGGGCGGCTGCCGGGCGGGGGCGCCCCCCACCTCTCGGACGGGGCGTCTGGGCAGAGGGGCTCCTCACTTCTTGGATGGGGCGGCCGGGCAGAGGCGCTCCTCAGTTCCCAGACGGGGTCGCGGCCGGGCAGAGGCGCTCCTCACCTCTCAGACAGGGTGGCGGCCGGGCAGAGGCGCTCCCCACATCCCAGACGATGGGCGGCCAGGCAGAGACGCTCCTCACTTCCTAGACGGGATGACGGCCAGGAAGAGGCACTCCTCACTTCCCAGACTGGGTGGCTGGGCAGAGGGGCTCCTCACATCCCAGACGATGGGCGGCCAGGCAGAGACGCTCCTCACTTCCTAGACGGGGTGGTGGCCGGGAAGAGGCGCTCCTCACTTCCCAGACTGGGCGGCCGGGCAGAGGGGCTCCTCACATCCCAGACGATGGGCAGCCAGGCAGAGACGCTCCTCACTTCCTAGACAGGGTGGCGGCCGGGCAGAGGCTGCAATCTCAGCACTTCGGGAGGCCAAGGCAGGTGGCTGGGAGGTGGGGGTTGTAGCGAGCCGAGATCACGCCACTGCACTCCAGCCTGGGCAACATTGAGCACTGAGTGAGCGAGACTCCGTCTGCAATCCCGGCACCTCGGGAGGCCGAGGCGGGCAGATCACTCGAGGTCAGGAGCTGGAGACCAGCCCGGCCAACATGGCGAAACCCCGTCTCCACCAAAAAACACAAAAACCAGTCAGGCGTGGCGGCGCGTGCCTGCAATCCCAGGCACTCGGCAGGCTGAGGCAGGAGAATCAGGCAGGAAGGTTGCAGTGAGCCGAGATCGCGGCAGTACAGTCCAGCCTCGGCAACAGAGGGAGACCGTGGAAAGTGGGAGACGGAGACGAGGGAGAGGGGGAGACCGTGGAAAGCGGGAGACGGAGATGAAGGAGAGGGAGAGCGCCAACCAAATTCTTAACTTCATTTATCTTTTCTACCTTAATGTTTTTTTATTATTTTTAATTTTTTTAATTTTTATTTATTTATTTATTTTGAAATGGAGTCTCATTCTGTTGCCCCGGCTGGAGTACAGTGGTGCAATCTCGGCTGACTGCAACCTCCGCCTACCAGGTTCAAGCAATTCTCCTGCCTCAGCCTCCCGAGTAGCTGGGATTACAGGCATGTGCCACCACGCCCAGCTAATTTTTTTGTGTTTTTAGTAGAGACGGGGTTTCACCATGTTGGCCAGGCTGGTCTTGAACTCCTGACCTCAAATGATATGTCCGCCTTGGCCTCCCAAAGTGCTGGGGTTATAGGCATGAACCACCGCGCCCAGCCAATTTTTTAATTTATCCAGTTTTCTCCAGTATTTATTTAAAGTTATATTTCTTTTTCTGGTATGATTTTTCCAGCTACATTACATGGATTTTTTTTCCATAATCAAGCAGGATATTAAAAAATGAATTTTATAAATAGAATTAAGTGCTATATCTCAACTTTGCGTTCAGCTTATTTTTATTTTTTATTTTATGTATGTATGTATGTATGTATTTATGTATTTATTTATTTATTTTGAAATGGAGTCTCACTCTCGTCACCCAGGCTGGAGTGCAGTGGCACGATCTCAGCTTACTACAACCTGCACCTCCCAGGTTCAAGCGATTCTCCTTCCTCAACCTCCTGAGTAGCTGGGATTACAGGTGCCCACCACCACACCTGGCTGATTTTCATACTTTTAGTAGAGATGGGGTTTTGCCATGTTGGCCAGGCAGGCTGGTCTCGAATCCCTGACCTCAGGTGATCCACCCGCCTCAGCCTCCCAAAGTGCTGGGATTACTGGCATGAGCCACTGCACCTGGCCACATTCAGCTTTTTTACTTAGCAGAATAGCACATTATAAATTCCTTAGATACTTGATTTTTAATGGTTGTGTTCATAGACTGGCTGTAGGATAATTCCTTTTACTACTGTCATGCAATTATTTCCAAAGCGCGGTCCTTAGACCACCGCTGGGTCTATACCCCAAAGAAAGGAAATCAGTATATGGAAGCGATATCTGCACTCCCTTGTTTGTTGCGACACTCTTCACCATAGCCAAGGTTTGGAAGCAGCCTAAGTGTCCACCAACAGATGAATGGATAAAGAAAATGTGGTTCTTATACACAATGAAGTACTATTCAGCCATAAAAGGAATGAGATCCTGTCATTTGCAACAACATGGATGGAACTGGAGGTCATTATGCTAAGTGAAATGTGCCAGGCATAGAAAGACAAACATCACATGTTTTCACATATTGTGGGACCTGAAAATCAAAACAGTTTAACTCATGGAGATAGAGAATGGAAGGATAGTTATCAGAGGCTGGGAAGGGTCGTGGCAGGATTGGGGAGAGGTGGGCATGGTTAATAGGTACCAAAAACATTGTTAGAATGAATAAGACCTAATATTTTATAGCACAACAGGGTGACTATTGTGCATTAGTAATTTTTAAATAATATTAAAATTTTAATACATTTTTATTTAGTAATATTAAATGTACGTTTATTGGCCAGCTGCAGTGGCTCAGGCCTGTAATTTGGGAAGCTGAGGTGGGTGGATCACTTGAGGTCAGGAGTTTGAGACCAGCCTGGCCAACACAGCGAAACCCCATCTCTACTAAAGATACAAAAATCAGCTGGGTGTGGTGGCTCACACCTGTAATTCCAGCTACTCGGGAGGCTGAGGCAGGAGAATCGCTTGAACCGGGGAGGCAGAGGTTGCAGTGAGCTGAGATTGTGCCATTGCACTCCAGCCTGAGTGAAAAGGGCAAAACTCTGTTTCAAAAAAAAAAATTATTAAAATAACTAAAAGAATATAATTGGACTGTTTATAACACAAAGGATAAATGCTTGAGGGGGTGGATACTCCATTTTACATGATGTGATTACTATGCATTGCATGCCTGTATCAAAACATCTGTATACCCCACAAATATATAGACCTACTATGTACTCCCAAAAATTAAAATTAAAAAATAAAAATAAAAACAGTGCTGGAATTAACATCTTTATGCACAAAGCTTTTTCGTTTTTCAGATTGTTTCCTTAGGTTAGCATTTCCCTATTTCTTAATAACACCATCTACTGACTATACTGTGTCTACCTGTGTTAAATATGAACCCTACAGAGATCCACAGGCTGATTGTGACCCTTAAACTTCTTGAGTTGAGAGTAGAATTGGGATTACTTCTCAACAACTCAAATCGAAGGCACTAAATGCACGTGTATTCTAATGACATTTTTCTTTTTCTTTCTCAAGCTTCCACTGCGATTCCAAAGACTTGGACACCTAGTGGCTCTGATGGCACTGCTCTGTGGGGACCCACAGGAAAAGGTGGCTGAGGAGGCTGCAGAGGGCATTCACTCCCTGCTGCATATCACCCTGAGGCTGAAGTGTAAGGCACTGCTGAAGGCCGCGAGGTCCTGAGTGAATTCTCCAGCACAACATAAGTACCTGCCCTCCTTACGCATTCAGTCCCCATGTTCTGGAAAGGCCTTTTACAGTAGTTCCTAAAGAGAAGGATACATGGTCCATAGGCAGAGATGAAGCAACACTGACTTAATAATTAGAATCCTAACACTAGATCAGACCCATCATTGCCATCCATCTGCATAGCCAGGGAGTGGCTAAACATGTGGCCCTGTGGACAAACTAGAGTGATTAGTTTGGTCAGAAGTAGGAGTGAGGCTGGGCGCAGTGGCTCACTCCTATGTTCATAGCATTTTGCCAGGCCAAGCCGGGAGGACTGCGTGGGCCCAGGAGTTCAAGGCCAGCCTGGGCAACAGGGAAAACCCCTTCTCTACAGAAAATTTTAAAAATTAGCTGGCATGGTGGAGTATGCCTATAATCTCAACTACTCAGGAGACGAAAGTGGGAGAATCGCTTGAGCCCAGGAGGTCGAGGCTGCAGGAAAATTAATGTCCTTATGAAGGGAAATTACAGGGGCCATGAGTAAGAATCAAATCTAGTTGCTGGGTTCAGGAAAGGTAATCCAGAGAATAAAGAGCAGTTTGCCACCTGAAGAGGTAAGAAGAGTATATTAGGCAGAAGGAATGGCTAAGGAAAGGAACCTGGGTAGGCATGAGCTTGAGGAGTTTGAAAAATAGAGAGAGGGCCAGTGTGGTCAAGGAATGAATCACTGACTTCCATGGTTAGAAGGGACTTTAGAGGATATCTAACCCAGCATTCCCCCAGTGTTTGAATCTCAGTCTACTCCATCCCTACCAAGTACAGTCATGCACCATATAATGACATTTCAGTCAACAACTGATCATGTATGGGTCACGTAAGATTAGAATGGAGCTGAAATTTTTCTTTTTATTTTATTTTATTTTATTTTGAGATGGAGTCTCGCTCTGTCACCCAGGCTGGAGTGCAGTGGTGTGATCTTGGCTCACTGCACCCTCCACCTCCCAGGTTCAAGCAGTTCTCGTGCCTCAGCCTCCTGAGTAGCTGGGATTACAGGCAGCCGCCACCACACCCAGCCAATTTTTGTATTTTTAGTAGAGATGGGGTTTCACCATCCCTACTAAATGTTACTTAATGTTGGCCAGGCTGGTCCCGAATTCCTGATCTCAAGTGATCTGCCCGCCTCAGCATCCCAAAGTGGTAGGATTACAGGCGTGAACCACCACGCCCAGCCTTATTATTTTTTTTTTTTAAGGAAGTCTCGACTTGGCACAGTGGCTCACACCTGTAATCCCAGCACTTTGGGAGGCCGAGGCGGGTGGATCACGATGTCAAGAGATTGAGACCATCCTGGCCAACCTGGTGAAACCCCGTCTCTACTAAAAATACAAAAATTAGCTGAGCGTGGTGGCATGCCTGTAGTCCCAGCTACTTGGGGTGCTGAGGCAGGAGAATCGCTTGAACCTGGGAGGCAGAGGTTGCAGTGAGCCAAGATCACACCACGGTACTCCAGCCTGGTGACAGAGCAAGACTCCATCTCAAAAAGAAAAAAAAAAAAGAAAGAAAAAAGAATAAAAAGAAACGAAGTCTCACTATGTTGCCCAGGCTGGTCTCCAACTCCTGAACTCAAGCAGTCCTCCTACCTCAGCCTCCTAAAGTGCAGGGACTACAGGTGTCCACCACCGTACCCAGCTGAGCTGAAAGTTTTCTATCACCTAGTGACATTGTAGCCATCATAACATTACAGTACAATGCATTATTCATGTTTGTGGTGATACTGGTGTAAACAAACCTACTGCACTGCCAGTCATATAAAAGTATAGCACCTACAATTAGGTACAGTATATATCCTTGGTAATGATAATAAATAACTATGTTACTGGTTCATTTATTTACTATACATTTTATCATTAGTTTAGCATGACTCCTTCTACTTATTAAAAAAACAGTTAGCTGTGAAACATCCCCAGGCAGGCCCTTCAGGAGGTATTCCTAAAGAAGGCATTGTTATCATAGGAGATGACAGTTCCATGCGTGTTATTGCCCTGAATACCTTCCAGTGGGGCAGGATGTGGAGATGGAAGACAGTGGTATTGATTATCCTGATCTTGTGTAGGCCTAGGCTAGTGTGTGTTTTTTGTCTTAGTTTTTAACAAAAACACTTTAGAATGTAAAAAAAAAAAAAATTAGGCCAGGCACAGTGGCTCATGCCTGTAATCCCAGCACTTTGGGAGGCCAAGGAGGGTCCATCACCTGAGGTCAGGAATTCAAGACCAGCCTGGCCAACAGGGCAAAACCCCATCTCTACTAAAAATACAAAAATTAGCCTGGCGTGATGGCGCGTGCCTATAGTCCCAGCTACCCAGGAGGCTGAGGCAGGAGAATCGCTTAAACGTGAGAGGTGGAGGTTGCAGTGAGCTGAGATCACGCCACTGCACTCCAGCCTGGGTGACAGAGTGAGAGACTCTGTCTTAAAAAAAAAAAAAGAAGGTACTCTCTATGTGATGTTCATGCAGTGACGCAATAGCCTAACAGTGCATTTCTCAAAACATATCCCTGTTGTTAAGCTACACACAACCGTAGTTCCTCTGCCTCAGTCTGCGCTTCACATGGATGAGGAAGCTCCATGCTTCCCAAAGCAACTGTCCTGTCATTGGGCACAGTATGAGCAATCTCTACCAGGTATACAGCCAAAGAAATACGTTGATTATTGATTCAGCAAATAGTTATGAAGCATTTATTGTTCTAGTGATGCATCAGTAATCAAGACAAACAAGATACCTTCCCCCAGGGAACTTATTTTCTAGTTGGAGAGAAAGTATCCTCAGCCAAGGGCTCAAAGATAAATTTTCCATCTACGAATTTCCAGCAAATATTAGGTCACAATGAAACATGAGAAAAACAAGACACTACAAGGAGCATTGGCATACTTGACACATGATGAAGAGTTCTGATATCAGAATTATCATACACAGTATAGAGTTGGGCAATTTTTTCTGGGAACCTAAGCTTCATAGGGAGACCCCTCACAGTTCCTCACCAGTGGGGAAATAAGGTAGCATGCTTTGGTTGTACTCACAAATCACTCAAATGCTCTGGTCTTACAAAAAGCTCTTTGCTTTTGCTTTTTTCTTCTTCTTCTTCTTTTTAAAGACAGGGTTGGCTGGGCATGGTGGCTCATGCCTGTAATCCCAGCACTGGGGGAGGCTGAGGTGGGTGGATCACCTGAGGTCAGGAGTTCGAGGCCAGTCTGAACCAAAATGGAGAAACCCCATCTCTACTAAAAATACAAAATTAGCTGGGCATGGTGGCGCATGCCTGTAATCCCAGCTACTCAGGAGGCTGAGGCAGGAGAATCACCTCCAGGAGGCAGAGGTTGCGGTGAGCTGAGATCGCGCCATTGCACTCCAGCCTGGGTGATAAGAGTGAAACTCTGCCTCAAAAAAAAAATTTAAAAAAGAAAAGACAGGGTCTTAACTCTGTCACCCAGGCTGGAGTGCAGTGGCGTGATCTCGGTTCACTGCAAGCTCCACCTCTTGGGTTCAAGTGATCCTCCCACCTCAGCCTCCCAAGTAGTTGGGACTACAGGAGTGCGCCACCATGCTTGGCTAATTTTTTTATTTTTCGGTATCGCCATGTTGGCCAGGTTTGTCTCGAAATCTTGACTTCAAGTGATCCATCTGCCTCGACCTCCTCTTTGTTTTTTCTTTTGGTTCTTTTTATGTATTGTTCTAGAAGGAAAGAGAAATAAATCAGCCTTCAGATGAACAAACACTCCCTCCCCCAGGCATTTTTGTTCAAGTGAAAAAGAAGAGTGAGATCTTGGAATCCACTTTAAACTGAAGATCAACCAGACCTGTAAAATCAAGAAGAAAAAAAGAAGCCAGAAAGTATTAATATTTTATATTTTCTTTTCAGATATCACTCATGACAAGAAAGATCAGCAAAACTTGAAAAGAGCATTGACAAAATGTCGAGAATTCCTGGAGCTCCACAGCTCTGCCGCTAAATGCTTCTACAACTGTCCCTTCAGAATTGCCCAGGTAATAAGAATGGCTAAAATTATAACCACAGCCAGAAGTGTTGGCAAGGATGGGGAACAACCAGAAGTCTCCTGCCATTTATTCATGGAAACGTAAAACAGTAAAAACCACTTTGGAAAAAGTTCTGGTAGTTTCTTATAAAACAAAACCATACACAATTGCCCAGGAAACGTGGTCTCTAAACGTTCCGTAGTTTGGAGACAAGGCACCATGTTCCTGGCCCATATATGCCTTGCCTTCTTAGTTTGGGGGTTAAGGTCAACCTGCCATTGAGGCCAGTATCCCTGGACTTCACTTCATACCAGCTCTGCTCCTACTATTCATAATTGCGAGTCTCTTGCAAATGTAAATGCTGGTCACAAAAAGGAGCTGCAAGAGAGTATGGTTGATCCAACAAGCCAGACTTTTTAAATTAATGTAGTTATTCATTATTCAATAAATACTTATACATCTGCCAGGTACCAGGTATGCTAGGGAATAGGGGAAAATAAAGAAAACCCACAGATCTTACTCATGTAGGGTGAAAGGTACCAAGTAATTTCATCTCTCTGCACATCAGTTTTCTCATCTGTGCGATGGAGATCTGTAAAAATTGGGACAGTTTTTACAATTTCTTTTTTACAATTTATACTGTTTACAATTCAGTCGTTGTTAAAGGAGATACCGTATGGAAAATGCTTTGCTAAATGCTTGTCACATAGTAAGTGCCCAGTAGATTGTACCTATTATAATCATGTGAAGGACTTTACTACCAAATGCAATGAGAAACAGAATGACACATTCTTTTAGTATGTTGTCTCCTGACAAGGCATTTTAATTATGCCTGGGAACCTGTCAGCTGTGTAACATTAGGGCCTTTTTTTAAGTCCTATCGTATAAAAGTATGACTCTTTCTGAAGATCTCATAATAAAGCTTCTTTCTTTTTCTTTTCTTTCCTTTTCTTTTTGTTTTGTTTTGTTTTGTTTTGTTTTGTTTTGTTTGGGGGGGCTGTTTCTTTGAGACAGAGTTTCGCTCTTGTTGCCCAGGCTGGAATGCAATGGCGCAATCTTGGCTCACTGCAACCTCCGCCTCCTGGGTTCAAGCAATTCTCCTGCCTCAGCCTCTTGAGTAGCTGGGATTATAGGCATGTGCCACTACACCCGGCTAATTTTGTATTTTTAGTAGAGATGGGGTTTCTCCATGTTGGTCAGGCTGATTTTGAACTCTGACCTCAGGTGATCCACCTGCCTTGGCCTCCCAACCAAAGTGGTGGGATTATAGACATGAGCCACATGCCAGGCTTCTTTTTTTTTTTTTTTTTTTTTTTTTTTTGAGACGGAGTCTTGCTCTGTCGCCCAGGCTGGAGTGTAGTGGCACGATCTCGTCTCACCGCAACCTCCGCCTCCCAGATTCAAGCAATTCTCCTCCCGCAGCCTCCCAGGTAGCTGGGATTACAGGCAAGCACCACCACGCCCAGCTAATTTTTGTATTTTTAGTAGAGACAGTGTTTCTCCATGTTGGCCAAGTGGCTAGTCTCAAGTCGTGGGCTCAAGTATTTCTCCCGCTTTAGGGTCCCAAACAACTGGTATTACAGGCATGAGCCACTGCACCTGGTCAATAAAGCTTCTTTCTAAATGTAAGAGCAGCAGGCTGGATGCAGTGGCTCACCCCTGTCATCCCAGCACTTTGGTTGGCTGAGGCGGAAGGATCACTTGAGCCTAGGATTCGAGACCATCCTGGGCAACATAGCGAGACCTCATCTCCACAAATAAAAAAATTAGCTGGCTGTGGTGGTGCACGCCTGTAGTCCTAGCTACTCAGGAAGCTGAAGTGGGAGGATGACTTCAGCCTGGGAGGTCCAGGCTGCAGTGAGCTGTGATCGCACCACTGCACTCCAGCCTCAGTGTCAGAGCAGCAAAAGGCCATGCACAGATGCTAGCAGTGGACATTTGGATTGCTTCCACCTTTTTACCATGGTAAACAAGACTGGGCTGGGTGCATGGCTTGCACCTATAATCCTGACACTTTGGGAGGCTGAGGCAGAAGGATTACTTGAGCCAAGAGTTCACAGCCAGCCTGGGCAACATAGTGAGACCCCTGACTTCACAAAAAATTTTAAAAATTATCAGAGTGTAGTAGCAGGTGCCTGTAGCCTCAGCTACTCAGAAGGCTGAGGCAGGAGGATCACTTGAGCCCAAGAGGTTGAGGCTACAGTGAGCCGTGATTGTGCCCCTACCTGGATGACAGAGTAAGATGCTATCTCCAAAAACAAAACAAAACCACAAGACTCAAATAAAACAGCCTTGTACATCTTTGTCCACTTCTCTGATTGTTAACTTAGACTCAAGTCCTTGTTCAGGACACTTTCTATCATACCATATTTCCCTATTTCTTGGAAGTTCATTTTCCTACATCATTTCAGGTCTTTGAAGGTTTTCTTGATTCAAATGAGCTCTGCCAGTTTATAATGACTACATTTGATACCCTGAAAACCCTGAAACATCCCTGCATCCAGCGATCAGCAGGAGAATTACTGCTAACTTTGGCAAAAAATACAGAGTCCCAATTTGAGAAGGTAAACTTTCAGTGGCAATTTCCTGGGTTCAAAAAGCCAGTAGAACCTCTTCATCCCTGCAGCTATTGAAGTCTCTGCTTGTCCTTCTCAGCTGAGAACGACTACTCATGAGTACAGGGTCAAACCTTAGTCTGTTTAGTCATAAATATCCACTCTATAAACATACACCAAACAACTACTGTGTATGTAACCAGGGAGGGAGACTTTTTTTTTTTTAATCTAAGATGTGGTCTATGACCAGGCACGGTGGCTCGCGCCTGTAATCCCAGCACTTTGGGAGGCTGAGGCGGGTGGATCATGAGGTCAAGAAATCGAGACCATCCTGGCCAACATGGTGAAACCCCGTCTCAACTAAAAATACAAAAAGTAGCTGGGCGTGGTGGCGCGTGCCTGTAGTCCCAGCTACTTGGGAGGCTGTGGCAGGAGAATCGCTTGAACCTTGGAGGTGGAGGTTGCAGTGAGCCAAGATCGCACCACTGCACTCCAGCCTGGGCGACAGGGCGAGACTCCATCTCAAAAAAAAAAAAAAAGATGCGGTCCATATTTTCTAGAAGAGTAGAGTTTTTCTGGGGAGATATAACTAACACATATGAGAATAACTTTAATTTAGATACTCATCCAGATGGGTTAAAGGTATCAAGATTTAAAAAGCTGTAAGTGGTCAGGCGCAGTGGCTCACGCCTGTAATCCCAGTACTTTGGGAGGCAAAGGTGGGCAGATGGCTTGAGCTCAAGAGTTTGAGACCAGCCTCGGCAACATAGCTTAACCCTGTCTCTACTTAAAATACAAAAATTAGCCAGGCATGGTGGTGCACACCTGCATTGCCAGCTATTTGGATGGCTGAGGCAAGAGAATTGCTTTAACCCAGGAAGCGGAGGCTGCAGTGAGCTGAGATCGCGTCACTGCCCTCCAGCTTGGGCGACAAGCTGCCTCAAAATAAATAAATAAAAGTAAATAAAAAGCCATAAGTGACCCTAGAAGGAGGCAGACTTACAAATCAAAATTAAGAGAATTTATCTAAATATATCTAAAATTAATACATTAAGAAATAACTATATAGTTATGTTATTTAGAAATAGAGAAGGACATGCTGGAAGAGACAAAAGGGATAAAAGTAGTTCTCTCTGAAGAACAGACCTGGGGAATAGGGAGGAAAGAAGCTTGAAATACCACTGGATGTTGTAGTTGGGTACAAATAAAAAATAATTTAAGAATGATGAGAACCGGCCAGGTATGGTGGCTCACACTTATAATCCCAGCACTTTGGGAGGTTGAGGCAGGCAAATTGCTTGGGCCCAGGAGTTCAAGACCAGCCTGGGCAACATAGTGAGACCCCATCTCTACAAAAAAATTTTTTTAAATTAGCCAGGCATGGTGGCACACACCTGTGTTCCCAGCTACTTGGGAAGCTGAGGCAGGAGGGTTGCTTGAGCCCAGTAAGACAAGGCTGCAGGGAGCCATGATCATGCCTTTACATTCCAGCCTGGGCGACAGAGGGAGATCTTGTCTCAAAAAACAACAACAAATAAAACAAATTAAAAACAACAACAACAAATGATGAGCACCCTTTTTTTAACCTATTAAAATAACAAAGATGCAAAAAGAATAACACGATAAGAGCAGGTGAGATGGGCATTTGTATCAGTTGGGTGCTTTTAGCAGCAAAAAAAGCCCAGCAGGTAGAAGTTTAACCAAAGGATTTATTCTTTCACATAATAACAAGTCTGGACATAGAGTATTTTCCAAGATTGATTCAGTGATTCAACAGTGTTATTGAAGACCCAGGGGTTTCTTCATCCTTCTGCCTTGTCTGTTCATGTGGTCATAAGGTAGTCAGAGCAATTTTGGACTTTCTGAGTGGAGTAGACTAAGTCCAAGAAGAAGAAAGATGTTGCCTTCCTTTTTATGTCTTGATTCAGGGAAGAAAATCTTTCCGCAAAACGCCGGTAAATTTACCCTTGTGTTTGTTAGCCAGAATTATTATCATTATTATTATTATTATTATTATTTTGTTTATTTGTTTTTGGAGACAGCATTTTGCTCTGTTGCTCAGGCTTGAGTGCAGTGGTGCAGTCTTGCTCCCTGCAACCTCCGCCTCCCAGGTTGCTGTGATTCTTCCACCTCAGCCTCCCAAGTAGATGGGATTACAGGCGCCTGCCATGACACCAAGCTAATTTTTTGTATTTTTAGCAGAGATGGGGTTTCACCATGTTGGCAAGGCAGGTCTTGAACTCCTGACCTCAAGTGATCCGCCTGCCGCAGCCTCCCAAAGTGCTGGGATTACTGCTATGAGCCACCATGCCCAGCCTACTGGTGCTGATGATGGCCATTTTATATTAAGTGGTTGAGGTGTGCCTCTCTGAGAAGCTGACATTTCCACAGAGACAGGAACCCATGCGTCTGTGGGTGGGAAGAGCGGTCCAAGCAGAGAAATAGACCAAAGCCCAGTGGCTCCTATTTCCCTTACCTAAGCCTGATGGACATCTCTGGAAAGAAGATAGGTAAGGACTCCACTGCCATTCTCAGAGTCACAGTGGAAAAAAGCCCAGCTTCCTTGCAACACTTTTATTAGTTTGTCTTGTTATAAAATCAATACATCAATTATTGAGGAAAAATTAGAAAAAATATAGAAGCAAAAAAATCTAATACTCTGTCCCTCAAAAACACAGTATTGACAGCTTTGATTATAAATCTTTCCAAATCCTTCATATGTGTATACACACATACAGATATATTTTAAGTAGTTTTAATCATAAACTTCAAAAAATAATAAACAGTTTGTTTAAAAGTCACCCCCTAGGGGTCAGGCGCAGTGGCTTATACCTGTAATTCCAGCACTTTGGGAGGCCAAGCAGGAGGATCGCTTGAGCCCAGGAATTCAAGACCAGTCTGGGCAACATAGAGAGATCTTGTCTCTACAAAAAAATACAACAATGACCTGGGTGTGGTGGTGTGTGCCTGTAGTCCCAGCTACTCAGGAGGCTGAGGTGGGAGGATCATTTGAGGCCAGGGGTTCAAGGCTGCAGTGAGCTATGTTTGCACCGCTGCATTCCAGGCTGGGCAACAGAGCAAGACCCTGTCTTTAAAAAAAAGTCACCCCCCCAAGACCTTTCAGAAATGGCCACAGTATCCTCAGTAACCATCAGTGTCCTATAGGATTACAGTCTTAGTAATTTCTTTTTCCTCTTCAGGTGCCAGAAATTATGGGAGTTATCTGTGCCCAGTTATCCATAATCAGCCAGCCTAGAGTCCGCCAACAAATCATAAATACCGTGAGTTTATTTATATCCAGACCCAAGTACACAGATATAGTGCTCAGCTTCCTTCTGTGTCATCCAGTGCCGTATAACAGGTAACAGAACCCCGTACAGCCTCTGGATTAAATTGGATTATGTGACACAGCTCTGGGTATTGTGAAACATGGTTGCCCTCAAAAATCTAATGATTGTCTTGTGGAGAAGACACAGTATACATAAAGCTGGTGATATAAATCAGAACATAATGCATAATCATCAGAAAAGAATCCCACAAATCCCAAATGAAGAACATTCTGTAAGATAATTGAACTGGACTCTTCAAAAAAATTAACATCATGGAAGTAAAACTGGTGGTGAGGGAACTGTCCTAGATAAAAAGATATTCAAAAACATACCCAAACGCACTGCGTGACCTTGATTGGATCCTGGTTCAAAAACAAAAGCTATAAAAGAAAGCTTGGAGAAAATTTAAATATGGACTCTATACTAGAATATTAAATTGGTGTAATTTTCTGGCTAGGCACAATGGCTGACACCTGTAATTCCAGCACTTTGGGAGGCAGAAGTGGGCAGATTACTTAAGGCCAGGAGTTCAAGACCAGCCTGGCCAACATGGTGAAACCTCATCTCTACTAAAAATACAAAATTTACCCCCGGGCATGGTGGCAGATGCCTCTAATCCCAGCTACTTGGGAGGCTGAGGCAGGAGAATCTCTTGAACCCAGGAGGAGGAGGTTATAATGAGCCAAGATCACACCACTGCACTCCAGCCTGGGTGACAGAGTAAGACTCTGTCTCAGACAAACAAACAAAAAAAATTAGTGTAATTTTCTTAGGTGTGAAATACTGTGGTTATGCAGAAGGATGTCCTTATTCTTAAGAGATAAGATACTAAAGTTATTTAGAGGTAAAGTGTCATAATGTCTGCAACTGACTTGAGAATGATTTTGCCTAAAAATAAGGCAATAAATATATACATTTAAAAAGTAGATACGCATACATAAAGAAGAATGGAATCAGAGAGAGGATCAAACAGGATGGGTTTTTTGTTTATTTTTGTGGGTACATAGTAGGTGTAAAGACGGTTTTTTCGATTAGTGTTTTTCACATTTGGAGGCACCCTGGAAAGTTCCACAAAGATGCCTACGGATGGGGCAGGAAGGCTTCAGAATAAAGTTCCATGCCCCCACCCCACTTTAACCAGAGCAGCGCTTCTTTTTATCTGCTTTCTCTATTGTGATTCTGGGCAATTATTTTATTTAAGAAGAGATTTCCCTGCTTTAAACTATTTGAAAAATATTCTTTTAAGTGAATGGTTCTCACATAATATCTTGATGTAGTGCTTATTGTGTTCTCTAAACTGAACTAAATCAAATAATGGAAGACTTTTACCCATTCAGAGAAAAAAAAGAATGCGGATTTTTTTAAAAGCTGGGCGTGGTGGCACGCGCCTGTAGTCCTAGCTACTCAGGAGGCTGAGGCAGGAGAATCACTGGAGGCCAGGAGTTTGGGGCCATCGTATATGATGATTGGACTTGTGAATAGCCACTGCACTCCAGCTTGGAGTAACAGTCTTACTTTTTTTTTTTTTTTAAAGACAGTTTCTCAATCATGGCTCACTGCAGCCTTGAACTCCTGGGCTCAAGTGATCTTCCCACCTCAGCTGCCTGAGTAGCTGAGACTATAGGTGTGTACCACCACACTCAAGCTTTTTAAATTTTTTAAAATTTTTTGAGCTTGCTTTTGTATATTTCTCTAACAAATTGTTCTTAAATGTTTGGTACTTGCTACAGCTTATCCGTACTCAACTCTTATATAAAAATTAATCTTTCAGAGGCCAAAGGGGGTGGATCACCCAAGGTCAGGAGTTCCAGACCAGCCTGGCCAACATGGTGAAACCCCATCTGTATTAAAAAAATACAAAAATTAGCCTGGCATGGTGATGCGCACCTGTAATCACAGCTACTTGGGAGGCTGAGGCAGGAGAATCTCTTGAACCTGGGAGGCGGAGGTTGCAGTGAGCCGAGATCGCGCCACTGCACTCCAGCCTGGGAGACAAAGCAAGACTCTGTCTCAAATTAAATAAATAAATAAATAAATCTAAGTACAAAATACTAAATATATTTAGTTTTGTTTTTTGTGGGGTTTTTAAAGACAGGGTCTTTCTCTGTCACCCAGGCTGCAGTGTAGTGACACAGTCATAGTTCACTGCAGCCTCGACCTTCCAGGCTCAAGCAGTCTTCCCACCTCAGCCACTGGAGCAACTGGGACTACAGGCCCACACCACCTGGCCCAGCTAAATTTTTTATTTTTTGTGGTTTCTCAATGTTATCCAGGCTGGTCTCGAACTTCTGGGCTCAAGTGATCCACCTGCCTCAGCTTCCCAAAGTGCTAGGATGACAGACATGAGCCACCGTGTGCTGCCCTATTTAATTATTTTAAGTATGCTTTTAGCATTATTCTCTTGTTTGTATTTGTTCTACCTCTGGGAGGACTTTGAGAACTGCTGTAGATCATACGCAAACTATGGAATCTTTTAGAAATTTAACTGACTTATTCAGGAAATGTTATTATTATTATTATTATTAATTTTTTTTGAGACAGAGTCTTGCTCTGTCACCCAGGCTGGAGTGCAGTGGCGCGAACTCGGCTCACTGCAAGCTCCGCCTCCCGGGTTCACGCCATTCTCCTGGCTTAGCCTCCCAAGTAGCTGGGACTACAGGCACCCGCCACCACCCAGCTAATTTTTTGTATTTTTAGTAGAGATGGGGTTTCACCGTGGTCTCAATCTCCTGACCTCGTGATCCGCCCGCCTCGGCCTCCCAGAGTGCTGGGATTACAGTATTTTTAGTAGAGAGGGGGTTTCACCGTGGTCTCAATCTCCTGACCTCGTGATCTGCCCGCCTCAGCCTCCCAAAGTGCTGGGATTACAGGCATGAGCCACCGCGCCCGGCCAGGAAATGTTATTCTGATTATATTTTTGTCATTTACCTGAAGTTCATTATGTCACAGGGGAGCAAGGACTGGGCTGGTGGCGCTGGGGTAAAAGAATTTACCAAGACAGTTGTGGGTAGAGGAAGGCAGATTTATTAGAGAAAGTAGGAAAATAATGGCGCCAGAGAGACAACAGACAGCCTGCAAAAGAGAAGCGGACTGCCAGGAGACAAAGACTTGTTGAAGATTTTACAGCATAGTGTTCATGCTGCGTGTTGAAGAGGGCCTTGTGCAGTATAGATAATGCCAAGTTGCAATGAGCTAATTTGCAGGTGTCTGGTGATAGTTGGGCACAGGAAGATGGGGAGTTGATTGCACAGAAGGGCCGTGTCCTGGACCATGAAGAAAGGCAGACTTACAGCTTATCTGCTTTTTCTTTTTGCTTTCCCTTGCTCCCGCCAGCCTGGCTTCCTTCCCCTAATTAGGACTCCACACGTTAGTGGGTTTACATATAGATTGGAGTGGTTGTTCTTAGGAGGCTGCCTAAAGCATCAACTATGTGCAAGGTGCTATTAGGACCCATAAGTAATGGACAGGACATGCACCCCGCCCTTAAGCAGCACAGTCTGGTAGCCCCATAGATGCATAAGTATTCTAAAGCTAAGTAGGGAGTTCTGTGGAAGCCCCTAGGTCAGGACTTAATTAAATGAAGGGTCAGGAAGTGATTTCTGAAAGCAGAGCTGCCCCCAAGCTGATGAATGCTAAGAGCCAGATGCAGATCAAAGTGGCTGGAGAGGAAAGTAGATAGTAAGAAGGGCTCAGATACCAGGGATCTTTTTGCAGTGATGGAAATGTTCTAAAATTGGATCGTCGTCATGGTTGCACAACTTTGTAAATTTACTAAAAGTCAGTGAGTTGTATACTTAAGACAGTATTCACTAATTATTTTTTCATTTTCTATAGTAATATAATCCCTGAACTTTAGTTGGGTATTTGAAATACTCTTATTTCCTAGACTTTTTGCATATAGGTGTGACTATTTGTCTAAATTCTGGATGCAAATTGAAGTAGTACATGCAACCTATGGCAAATAACCTTAAAGGGAGAGAGTAGGCTCATCATCTTTCTTCTTCCTGCCACCTGGAAAGTGATGTGATGGCTAGAGCTGAAGCATGTTGGCCAGGATGGTCTCAATCTCCTGACCTCATGATCCGCCCGCTTTGGCCTCCCAAAGTGCTGGGATTTCAGGCGTAAGCTACCACGCCCAGCTACTAAAGCTGCTTTTAAAAAGTGGTCAGAAGTTAGCAGCGATAGATTGGGACCAACTAAGAACTACAATAGTGGACTTTATACTACAGGAGTTGGGAAGCCACTGAAGAACTTTAGTTAAGGGACTTACATCATCAGATGCAGATTTTTAGTGTGACTCTGATGGAAATGGATTAGAGGCTGTTCTACCAAACAGGAAGAGAGACAGGCAGTTAAGCAGTTGCACCTTTTCCAGGCAAAAGATGATGATGCCCTGATTAGGGCAGTGGCTTCAGAGATGGAGAGGAGGAGGGAGTAAAGAAACAGGAGCATTGGCCAGACACGGTGGCTCACGCCTGTAATCCTAGGACTTTGGGAGGCCAAGGCAGGTGGATCGCCTGAGGTCAGGAGTTCGAGACCATTCTGGCCAACATGGCGAACCCCATCTCTCCTAAAAATACAAAAATTAGCCGGGCTTGGTGGCATGTGCCTGTAATCCCAGCCACTCTGCAGGCTGAGGCAGGAGAATTGGCTTGAACAGTGAGCCAGGATCACACGACTTCACTCCAGCCTGGGCAACAGAGCAAAACTCCATTTCAAAAAAAGAAAAAGAAAAAAAGAAATAGGAGCATCTGTAGGCAGACCTTGATTGAATCAGAAAGGAATGGCAGGGAGGAAGAAGGCATTCAGGCTAACTCCCCACTCCTCAGTTTTTGGCTTTGGAGGCCAAGTTAATGGTGGTATCATTTACTGACACAGGAATTACACTACATTTTCACCACTGACTGTTTCTCTATGGGACATGAAATACTTTAAGAAACTCAGTTCACTAATGCAGGACCAAAGAAGTCATAGAGTACATATGTGACATGTGTCCCTCATACTACCCTGGTGCAGTGCTCTGTCCCAGTACTCCACCAGAAAAGACAAGAGGCTGTTTCTCTTTCTATTCTGTAAGGATGCTACAGCAAGATATTTGTTCTTAAAGATGTAGGCTTCTTCAGTCTCCTAGTGCAGTGTTTGTTAAAGTGTCTGAAACACTGCCTCAGAATCCCCTATGATGCTTGTTAAAAAAAAAATGTATCTTCTGGCTAGGTGTGGTGGCTCATACCTGTAATCCTAGCACTTTAGGAGGTTGAGACGGGTGGATGGCTTGAGCCCAATAGTTCAAGACCAGCCTGAGCAATATGGTGAAACCCTGTCTCTACAGAAAGTGCAAAATTTGCCAGTTGTGGTGGCACACGCCTATAGTTCCAAATACTCAGGAGGCTGAGGTGGGAGAATTTACCTGAGCCCAGGAAATTGAGACTGCAGTGAGCTGTGATCACACCACTGCACTCCAGCCTGAGCATCAGAGTAAAACCCTGTCTCAAAGAAGAAAAGCATTTTCCAAGACCCTACATCACACATACTATATTAGTCAGGACTCTTGGTTGGAAGTAGCAGAAACTGAGCTCACACTACCTTAAGAAATTGTATAGGCTTATATTACAGCAAAGTCCAAGGGTCTGTCGTCAGGATTGAATCCCGAGACTCAGTTTATTTCATCAGGGCTCCATTCATCTCTCAGATGGACTTGCACTAAAGGTGGCAAAGATGGTTACTATCAGCTCAAAACTGCAGTGGAAAGGGTGTGTCATTTCCTTTTAAGCTTTTTAGTCCTGGGCAGGACTCTGATTAGCCTGGCTTGGAGTCAGCTCCCACCAAACTACACGAACCAAATAGGATTGTTAAGGATCTTGAAAAGGTGGTTTCCCAAAGGGATGATGGGCAAACAAAACCCATGTCACAACTACAGACAGAATCAGAATCACTGGAGGTGGGAAGATTTTTTCCATATTTTAAACAAACTCTCCAGATGTTTCTCACACTGAAATTCATGAACCATTGGCTTAAAGGCTGTGCGCTTTCTAAATTCAGATGCATTTTCAGCACACTTAAAATGTGTGGCAAACTAAAAGCATTTTGCAACACTTCTCTCACAATAAACAGCTTCTCAAAGTACTTCATTTACTCCCTCAGGAATCCAAAGAAAATAACCGAGGGTAAGTAAATATGAGAATTTCTTTATGTCATCCCAGATGAATGTTCCTATTCTGCCGTCTCATCATTCTGCAGCTGTGAGTTTTTTCAGCATCCTATATTGCCTTTCTGGCCTTTTCTTTAGGAGTTCTTTAGGACCTTCTTACTTTGTTTTATTCACAAATTAGAATCACTGAGGTGAGGAGTGAAATGTTGGGATAGTCTTTAAGCCTCTCAAGTTTTAGGATGAGTCTCACAGTTGAAAGACCACACTTTTTTTCTTTTTTTTCTTTTCTTTTCTTTTTTCCTTTTTTTTCCCCCCGAGACAGTCTCACCCTGCCACCCAGGCTGGAGTGCAGTGGTATGATTTTGGCTCACCTCAGTCTCTGCCTTCTGGGTTCAAATGATCCTCCCACCTCAGCCTCCTGAGTAGCTGGGACTACAGGCACACACCACAACACCTGGCTAATTTTGCATTTTTTGTAGAGACAGGGTTTTGCCATGTTTCCCAGGCTGGTCTTGAACTCCTGGGCTCAAGCAGTCCTCCCATCTCAGCCTTCCAAAGTGCTGGGATTACAGGTGCTGCGATTACAAGCTACTGGGATTGCAGTTGCTGGAATTACAGAGTGTTAGGATTACAAAGTGCTGGGATTACAGGATTATAGGCCACCACGTCTGGCCTGGAAGATCACACTTTAAAAACTTACTCTAGCATACCAAGATGCCTAAATGGATTCTGAAAATAAAAGAATGGATTAAAAGCATGAGTAACTCCCAATTTTCTTCCCACTGTAATGTTCTCCCACAATGTTTATGTAACTCTCAGGCCCTACATTTGAATCAATGACAGAGAAGTTATTACATATTATTTTTCTTTAGAAGATATCTCTTCTAGGCAGGATCAAAGCTTTATTTCAAGGATTAACTTTAGCCAAAATTTGAGGACCACAGACCACATCGAATATATGTGTCTATAATTTAACCTTCTATGAACCTGGCATTGTGCAAGTCCCTGAGGAATTCCTAGAAGAAGAGCCAGAAAGAATCCTTTCCTTCAGAGCGAACAGATACACACATAAAGAACTGATGATAGCACACATAAGATTGAAGTGACCTCTAAGAAGAAGAAACTTTTTAAGTGCTATGAGAACTCTTACGAAAGACATGGTGAAGAAGCAACCAAGGCTTCCTAGGAGACATGACACTGGAGCTGGACCTTGAAGGATTTTGATGGGCAGAGAAGAGTTTTGGAAAGGGCCTTCCAGTTTAAGAAAGTGACATAAGGGTCGGGTACAGTGGCTCATGCCTGTAATCCCAGCACTTTGGAAGGCCGAGGTGGGTAGATCGCTTGAGCCTAGGAGTTCAAGACCAGCCTGGGCAACATGGCGAGACCCCATCTTTACAAAAACAAATTTAAAAATTAGCCAGGTGTGGTGGCACATGCTTGTGGTCCCAGCTATTCGGGTGGCTGAGGCAGGAGGATTGCTTGAGCTCAGGAGTTCAAGGCTGCAGTGAGCTGTGTATGGCACCACTGCACTCCAGCCTGGGTGACGGAGTGAGACCCTGTCTAAAAAAAAAGGACAGTGACATAAGCAAAGGTATAGGGTTTTCAAAGTCTGTGTTTTCTTAGGTAAAGGTGAATGGTCTGAATGGTCTGGATGGTTTGAGCACAGAGTGTGTGATGGGGAAGAGATGAGGCCAAAAAGTTAAGTCAGGACCAGGTTATGAATAGCCTTGAAGTCCACGCTGAGGCAATGGGAACTTGATTCGATAAAACCTGGGGACTTCAGGGGTGGGGGGCAAGGGGAGGGAGACCAATAGGACAAATACCTAATGCGTGTGGGCTTAAAACCTAGATGACGGGTTGAGAGGTGCAACAAACCACCATGGCACATGGATACCTATGTAACAAACCTGCACATTCTGCACATGTATCCTGGAACTTAAAGTAAAATTTTAAAAATCGGCTGGGTGCAGTGGCTCACGCCTGTAATCCCAGCACTTTGGGAGGCCAGGGCGGGCAGATCACTTGAGGTCGGGAGTTCGAGACCAGCCTGGCTAACATGGCGACACCCTGGCTCTACTAAAAATACAAAAATTAGCCGGGCGTGGTGGCGGGCACCTGTAATCCCAGCTACTCAGGAGACTGAAGCAAGGGAATTGATTGAACCCAGGAGACAGAGGTTGCAATGAGCCAAGATCACGCCACTGACTCCAGCCTGAGTGACAGAGCAAGACACCGTGTCAAAATAATAATAATAATAATAAAATTTAAAAAATAAATAAGTAAATAAAAGAAAATATGGAGCAATAGGAATCCTACTCTGCTTGTTGGCAAATAAATGGATACAACCACCTTTTTTTTTTTTTTTTGAGACAGGGTCTCACAAAAAGGAAAAAAATAAACCTGGGGAGTTACTGTTATGAAATCAAAGTCAGTCTTTTGACACCCTGAAGAGCTGAGTAGAGAGGAGAACCTCTTGTAGATTGCATTGGAATCAGCCATTCTCCTCTTGCTCTTTGGGATTTCCAGGCACCTGGCTGAGGTGTGGAGAATGCTGTCGGTGGAGCTTCCCAGCACGACCTGGATTCTGTGGAGGCTCCTGAGGAAGCTGCAGAAATGCCATAATGAGCCTGCACAGGAGAAGATGGCATATGTGGCTGTGGCTGTAAGCCCTTGAGCTTTGCCCCTCTAATGTCAGCCCCTCCCAGGATGACTGACCCCACACCCCAGTGGAGAGTGTTCCTTTTGGTCCCTCTCAAAGCCTGCATCTGTCATCCATTTATAAGTCTACAGTGTTTCTGCCAAGGGATTGACATGGAGGGAGCTGGGGAGAGTGAAGGAGTCAGAATGCCTTAATACAAACTCGTCCAACCTGCCTTTTTTTGTTTTTGTTGTTCTGTTCTGTTTTGTTTTAGGCTTTTAGAAGCCTGAAGCCATGGTATTTAGTTTCTGTCTCTAGTGATAAGCGGAAAAGAGGTATGAGGAAGGGGCTTTATTGACCCAACCAGAAACAGAAACTAAGAACCCATGACTGTCATCTGTCCCTTGGAAACATCCCTGGTTTAATATGTTTAAAACATTCCTTCCCTCATCCTCTAAAAAATATGTATCATCATAGTTAAAGAGAAATGCAAACTTGTGGGAAAAAAACCTCAAATATCGTAGAACTGTATAAAACAAAGTGCAGACTAGACGCGGTGGCTCACGCCTGTAATCCCAGCACTTTGGGAGGCCAAGGTGGGTAGATCACCTGAGGTCAGGAGTTCAAGACCAGCCTGGCCAATATGGTGAAACCCCATCTCTAGTAAAATACAAAAATTAGCCAGGTGTAGTGGCGCCCACCTGTAATCCCAGCTACTCAAGAGGCTGAGGCAGGAGACTTGCTTGAACCCGGGAGGCAGAGGTTGCAGTGAGCCGAGATCACGCTACTGCACTCCAGCCTGGGCAACAGAGTGAGACTCCATCTCAAAAAAAAAAAAAAAAAAAAAGGCCAGGCACAGTGGCTCTTGCCTGTAATTCCAGCACTCTGGGAGGCCGAGGCGAGCCAATCACTTGAGGTCAGGAGTTTGAGACCAGCCTGGCCAACATGATGCAACCCCGTCTCTACTTAAAATACAAAAATTAGCCAGGCATGGTGGCGGCCGCCTGTAATCCCAGCTACTCAGGAGGCTAAGGCAGGAGAATTACTTAAACCAGGGAGGCAGAGGTTGCAGTGAGCCGAGATCACGCCACTGCACTCCAGCCTGGGTGACAGAGAGAGTCTCAAAAAAAAAAAAAAAAGAAAGTGCAGATCTCCCTGAGCAGAAGTTGGCCAACTTTCTATAAGAGACCAGATGGTAAATATATAGTCTCTGTCACATATTCTTTGGATTTCTTTTAAACAATCTTTGGATTTTGGATTTTTTAAAACAATCCTTTTATTAAAAAATGTAAAAACCATTCTTAGCTCATGTCTGTAACAATCTCCCTAAAAATGAATTTTCCAGAAGTCTTTATACATATATAAACTTTTGGTATATCTATTTGGTATACTTTTTTCATTTTTTCCTTTTAAATACTTTATTTTTTAGAGCAGTTTTAAGTTCACAGAAAAATTCAGCAGAAAGTACAGCGTTCCCATAAACCTGCCTCCACACACACACAGCCTGCCCTACTATCAACATTTACTTTTTACTTTATTTTCTCCCCTACCAGTTTATGGTTCAGCTTTCTGTGGTCTAAATTATTGTTATTTTTCTTTTTTCTTTTTTTATTTTTTTATTTTATTTTTTTTTTGAGACAAAGTTTCGCTCTGTCGCCCAGGCTGGAGTGCAGTGGCGCGATCTCGACTCACTGCAAGCTCCGCCTCCCGGGTTCACGCCATTCTCCTGCCTCAGCCTCCCGTGTAGCTGGGACTACAGGCGCGCGCCACCATGCCCGGCTAATTTTTGTATTTTTAGTAGAGACGGGGTTTCACCGTGTTAGCCAGGATGGTCTCGATCTCCTGACCTCGTGATCCGCCCGTCTCGGCCTCCCAAAGTGCTGGGATTACAGGCGTGAGCCACCGCGCCCGGCCTTTTATTTTTTATTGATCATTCTTGGATGTTTCTCGCAGAGGGGGATTTGGCAGGGTCATAGGACAATAGTGGAGGGAAGGTCAGCAGATTAACAAGTGAACAAAGGTCTCTGGTTTTCCTAGGGAGAGGACCCTGCGGCCTTCCGCAGTGTTTGTGTCCCTGGGTACTTGAGATTAGGGAGTGGTGATGACTCTTAACCAGCATGCTGCCTTCAGGATCTGTTTAACAAAGCACATCTTGCACCGCCCTTAATCCATTCAACCCTGAGTGGACTAAGCACATGTTTCAGAGAGCACAGGGTTGGGGGTAAGGTCACAGATCAACAGGATCCCAAGGCAGAAGAATTTTTCTTAGTACAGAACAAAATGAAAAGTCTCCCATGTCTACTTCTTTCTACACAGACACGGCAACCATCCGATTTCTCAATCTTTTCCCCACCTTTCCCCCCTTTCTATTCCACAAAACCGCCATTGTCATCCTGGCCCGTTCTCAATGAGCTGTTGGGTACACCTCCCAGACGGGGTGGTGGCCGGGCAGAGGGGCTCCTCACTTCCCAGTAGGGGTGGCCACCTCCCGGACGGGGCAGCTGGCCGGGCAGGGGGCTGACCACCCTCCTCCCTCCTGGAGGGGGCGGCTGGCCGGGCAGAGGGGCTCCTCACTTCCCAGTAGGGGCGGCCGGGCAGAGGCGCCCCTCACCTCCCAGACGGGGCGGCTGGCCGGGCGGGGGGCCGACCCCCCGACCTCCCTCCCGGACGGGGCGGCTGGCCGGGCGGGGGGCCGACCCCCCCACCTCCCTCCCGGACGGGGCGGCTGGCCGGCGGGGGGCTGACCCCCCCACCTCCCTCCCGGACGGGGCGGCTGGCCGGGCGGGGGGCTGACCCCCCCACCTCCCTCCCAGACGGGGCAGCTGGCCGGGCAGAGGGGCTCCTCACTTCCCAGTAGGGGCGGCTGGGCAGAGGCGCCCCTCACCTCCCGGACGGGGCGGTTGGCCGGGCGTGGGGCTGACCCCCCCACCTCCCTCCCGGACGGGGTGGCTGCCGGGCGGAGACGCTCCTCACTTCCCAGACGGGGTGGCTGCCTTGCGGAGAGGCTCCTCACTTCTCAGACGGGGCGGCTGCCGGGTGGAGGGGCTCCTCACTTCTCAGACGGGGCGGTTGCCAGGCAGAGGGTCTCCTCACTTCTCAGACGGGGCTGCCGGGCAGAGACGCTCTTCCCCTCCCAGACGGGGTCACGGCCGGGCAGAGGCGCTCCTCACATCCCAGACGGGGCGGCAGGGCAGAGGCGCTCCCCACATCTCAGACGATGGGCGGCCGGGCAGAGACGCTCCTCACTTCCTAGATGTGATGGCAGCCGGGAAGAGGCTCTCCTCACTTCCTAGATGGGATGGCGGCCGGGCGGAGACGCTCCTCACCTTCCAGACTGGGCAGCCAGGCAGAGGGGCTCCTCACATCCCAGACGATGGGCGGCCAGGCAGAGACGCTCCTCACTTCCCAGACGGGGTGGCGGCCGGGCAGAGGCTGCAATCTCGGCACTTTGGGAGGCCAAGGCAGGCGGCTGGGAGGTGGAGGTTGTAGCGAGCCGAGATCACGCCACTGCACTCCAGCCTGGGCACCATTGAGCACTGAGTGAACGAGACTCCATCTGCAATCCCGGCACCTCGGGAGGCCGAGGCTGGCGGACCACTCGCGGTTAGGAGCTGGAGACCGGCCCGGCCAACACAGCGAAACCCCGTCTCCACCAAAAAAATACGAAAACCAGTCAGGCGTGGCGGCGCATGCCTGCAATCGCAGGCACTCGGCAGGCTGAGGCAGGAGAACCAGGCAGGGAGGTTGCAGTGAGCCGAGATGGCAGCAGTACAGTCCAGCTTCGGCTCGGCATCAGAGGGAGACCGTGGAAAGAGGGAGAGGGGAGACCGTGGAAAGGGGAGGGGGAGAGGGAAGGGGAGAAGGAGAGGGAGAGGGAGAGCGAGAGGCTGTTATTTTTCTTTTTGAGACAGAGTCCCACTCTGTTGCCCAGGCTGGACTGCAGTGGCATGATCTCAGCTCACTGCAACCTCTTCCTCCTGGGCTGAAGCGATCCTCCCACATCAGCCTCCTGAGTAGCTGGGAATACAGGAGAGTGCCACCATGCCTGGCTAATTTTTGTATTTTTTAGTAGAGACGGGGATTCCCCATGTTGCCCAGTCTGGTCTCAAACTCCTGGGCTCAAACAATCCTCCCGCCTTAGCCTCCCAAAATGCTGATTACGGACGTGAGCCACCACACCCAGCCTTGTATATGTTTTTAATTGGCCGTTTGTATTTCTTTTATGACTTGTTTGTTCATGCCCTGTACACTAGTCCTTCTCAGATTTAATATGCACACAAACCACAATCACTTTGGGATATTATTAAAATGCAGGTTCTCAGCTGGGCGCAGTGGCTCACACCTGTAATCCCAGCACTTTGGGAGGCCGAGGCGGGTGGATCACGAGGTCAGGAGATCGAGACCATCTTGGCTAACATGGTGAAACACCGTCTCTACTAAAAATATGAAAAATTAGCCGGGCGTGGTGGCGGGCACCTGTAGTCCCAGCTACTCGAGAGGCTAAGGCGGTAGAATGGCGTGAACCCGGGAGGCAGAGCTTGCGGTGAGCAGAGATCTCACCACTGCACTCCAGCCTGGGTGACAGAGCGAGACTCTGTCTCAAAAACAAAAAATAAAAAATAATAATAAAATACAGGTTCTGATATGGAAGGCCTGGGATGGGGCTTGAAATTCTCCCTGTTTAACCAGCTCCCAGGTGATGACAATGCTACTGGTGTGTGGCCTACCCTTTGAGTAATTTTTTTACTGCTACGTAAGAGCATTTTATATAGTAAGAACAATATATTGATACAAATACTTCTCCAGGTTGTTGCCATCTAACTCTTTTTTTTTGAGACAGAGTCTCGCTCTGTCACTCAAGCTGGAGTGCAATGGCACGATCTCGGCTCACTGCAACCTCCACCTCTAAGGTTCAAGCGATTCTCCTGCCTCTGCCTCCCGAGTAGCTGGGATTACAGGCATGAGCCACCACACCTGGCTAATTTTTTTGTATTTTTAGTAGAGATGGGGTTTCACTCTGTTGACCAAGCTGGTCTCAAACTCCTGACCTAAGGTGATCCACCCGCCTTGGCCTCCCAAAGTGCTGGGATTGCAGACATGAGCCACTGCACCTGGCCTGTTGTCATCTAACTTTATGATAAATGTTGCCCTGGCTTTATATTTGTATGTAGTCAAATATGTTAATAGTTTCCTTCATGACTTCCGTATTTCAAAATGGCAGGTGCTTAGTTCCTCTCTGTGTCTTTTCCACCACAGGCAACAGATGCCCTTTATGAGGTGTTTTTGGGAAACAGGCTTCGAGCAGCTACGTTCCGACTCTTTCCTCAGCTTCTCATGACACTGCTTATCCAGATTCATCACAGCATCGGCCTCACCATGTCTGATGTCGACATCCCAAGTGGCCTGTACACAGAACAGGAAGTGCCTTCAGAGGTCACCCCTTTGTGGTACTGCCCATCATTATTTCATTGACATTAAGTAACACGTACTAAGCACTGGGCACTGTGGTGAACACAGGGATAGCCAAGATGTAGTCCCAACTGAAGGGGAGCTTACAACCTTCAACCCTCATGAGCCATCAAGATGAAATGCCCAGGAATCATTCTGAGCTTTCATTGGCTATCTTTGGTTTTATTAGTAACAAGGTAAATTTGGCTATCTGGGTTATATCTGGGTTAGCCAAATGTGATATTGTGTTAGCCCTTTCCTAATAAATCAAGTACAGACAGAAACAAAACAGCCTAAACCTACCTCCAAAACTGTACTGATCCACCATGCAGTGATTTCTGCTTTCTGTTTTATTGCATGGAGAGATATTTTTAAGTCCCATTAGAGTCTCAGTAGAAATTTCTTAGTGTTGTTGGTTGGGCATGGTGGCTCATGCCTGTAATCCCAGCACTTTGGGAGGCTGAGACAGGTGGATCACCTGAGGTCAAGAGTTTGAGACCAGCCTGGCCAACATGTGAAACCCTGTCTCTACTAAAAATACAAAAATTAGCTGGGCGTGGTGGCACATGCCTATAATTCCAGCTACTCAGGAGGCTGAGGCACGAGAATCACTTGAGCCCGGGAGGCAGAGATTGCAGTGAGCCGAGATCGTGCCGTTGCACTCCAGCCTGGGCAACAGAGCAAGACTCTGTCTCAAAAAGTAATAATAATAATAAAGACGTTTCTTAGTGTTGCTATGGCACATGGATTTCTTTCAGAGAAAGTACTATAATGTGACATATTTAAGAACACCAGACTAAGTCAGTAGACCTGAGTTCTAGTGCAGTTCTCATTCATCCATTCAACTAGTTCTATACCCTGGGCAAATCTATTGTTCTGTGCCTCAGTTTCCTTATCTATAAATGGAAAGGTCAGGCAAGGTGATCTCAAAGGACCATTCCAGCTTTATTATTTTGTTTTATTTTTTGAGACAGGGTCTCCATCTGTCACCCAGGCTGGAGTGCAGTGGCATGATCATGGCTCACTGCAGCCTCAACATCCTGGGCTCACGTGATCCTCCCACCTCAGCCTCCTGCGTAGCTGAACCACAGTTGCCTGCCACCATGCCCAGCTAATTATTTTTATTTTTTGTAGAGAAGGGGTCTCACTGTGTTGCTCAGGCTCCTTCCAGCTTTAAGATTCTCTGATGCTAGGTCCGGGATAACAGTTCAGTAAGTAGCTTTTAAAGGCAGTGGACGGCCAGGCACAATGGCTCATTCCTGTAATCCCAGCACTTTGGGAGGCCAAGGCAGGAGGATCATTTGAAGCTAGGAGTTTAAGAACAGCTTAGGCAATAGGGCAAGAGCCTGTCTCTACAAAAAATTTTTAGGCTGGGTGCAGTGGCCCACATGTGTAATGCCAACACTTTCGGAGGCCGAGGCAGGAGGACTACTTGAGCTCAGGAGTTCAACACCAGCCTGGGCAACGTGGTGAAACCCTGTCTCTATAAAAATTAGCCAGGTGTGTTGGAACACACTTGTGGTCCCAACTACTCGGGAGGCTGAGGTGGGAAGATTGCTTGAGCTTAGGAGATTGAGACTGCAGTGAGCAGAAATCGCGCCACCGCACTCCAGCCTGGGAGACAGAGCCAGACCCTGTCTCAGAAAAAAATTTTTTTTTCTTAAATTATTGGAGCCTGATGGCACATGCCTGTAATCCCAGCTGCCCTGGATGCTGAGGCAGGAGGATCACTTGAGCCCAGGAGCTCAAGGCTGCAGTGAGCCATGATGGCACCCTTGCCCTCCAGCTTGGGTGACAAAACAAGATCCTGTCTCAGTAAATAAATAAATAATAAAAACAGTGGAGATAAATAGTGTGGGGTAAATTGTATCTCAGTAAAGCTTTTAAAAAAGCAGTGTGTGTCTGTTTAGCATCCCAGATCATTTCTTTTATCATAGATTTCCTTCTAAACTCCTGGGGAAATGAGACCTAGTTAGATTTCTTTATGCTGAGATCTTGTGTAAAGGGCCTTACAAGTTATTAGAGCATTAAGACTCTTCTGGTCTCACTACTGCACTTGACTAGTCTTGAAAGTAGGCCGGGCACGGTAGCTCATGCCTGTAATTCCAACACTTTGGGAGGCCGAGACAGGCATATCATCTGAGGTCAGGAGTTTGAGACCAGCCTGACCAACATGGTGAAACCCAGTCTCTACTAAAAATAGAAAAATTAGCCAGGTGTGGTGGCGTGCACCTGTAATCCCAGCTACTCAGGAGGCTGAGGCAGGAGAATCGCTTGAACCAGGGAGGCAGAGGTTGCAGCAAGCCACGATCTCACCACTGCACTCTGGCCTGGGCAACAGAGCAAGCCTCCGTCTCAAAAAAAAAAAAAAAAAAAAAAAAGGAAGAAAGAAAAAGAAGAAGAAGAAAGTAAAAGAAAAAAGAGAAGAGTCTTTTGGGCAATTTGGAAAGCAGAGAATTACAGTCCAGCAGTTGTCAATGCATGACCCTCCTCACTGAGAATGGGATGACTGTGTGCTGGTAAGTTGGAGGGACCTGTTCAAATCACCCACACTGTTTTCGTTTGATTTAGCTTTGCCATGCAGGCTACAAAGACTCTCCTCCTCAGAACATGCTGCTTGCAGGAATTCAACATCATGGAAAAGAATAAAGGATGGGCTCTCCTGGGAGGAAAAGATGGCCATCTTCAGGGACTATTTCTCCTTGCCAAGTAAGGCTTCCTTGTCATGCATACACCCACCTGTTCTAAATCGGCATTGTTTTGAGTATTTATTTCCCTTCTAGTTATCACAGCAACTAAGGTTGAATAACCTCCTTATAAGAGGGTGGGCAAATATCCATAATGCTAGGCAAATTTTTCAGAGGTCCTGGCCCTACCGTATACTATCCTGTAGCTGGGCAAGAACTTCTAGAGGGTCCCCAGCCCTGAGACAATGCCCTCTGGATGGGAGCATTCCTGAGAGTCATTCTGTTGGTGTTGTGTTTTGCAGCGCATTGCTGGAAAGAAATCAGCTCCTTGCACAGAAGGTCATGTACTTATTAGTCCCTCTTCTTAACCGAGGGAATGATAAACATAAACTCACATCTGCAGGCTTTTTTGTGGAGGTAAGACTCATTGTTTAGAAGCTGGATTCAGGAAGCCTATGAAGCAGCAATCCCTGCCTTCCTAGGCTACATCGAGTTAGTGGCATGTTGGGATCTGTTTCAAGAGTGAGATAGAAATAATTTTCAGATTCAAGGGCAGGCGCGGTGGCTCACGCCTGTAATCCCAGCACTTTGGGAGGTTGAAGCGGGCGGATCACCTGAGTTCAGGAGTTCAAAACTAGCCTGGCCAACATGGTGAAACCCCGTCTCTACTAAAAATACAAAATAATTAGCTGGGCATGGTGGCGGGCACCTGTAATCTCAGCTACTCGGGATGAGGCATGAGAATCGCTTGAACCCGGGAGGCAGAGATTGCAGTGAGCCAAGATCGCACCACTGCACTCCAGCCTGGGCAACAGAGTGAGACTCCATCTCAAAAAAACAAAACAAAACAAACACACAAAAAAGAAAGAATTTTCAGATTCAAGCCTCTCAAAAATCTTCTTTCCACACATGCATAATTCAGTATTCTTTGTGTACCTATAGGGTAAATAAACATCATCCTGTATGTTCTGTAATAGAGATTTAAAAGGAAAATATGTACTTTAGCATTGGTGGGAAGGTAGCTCCCCACATGAAAAAGGGCTTAAAGGTCATTTTTTGGGCTGATCTCTGGGTTCTTTCAGCTTCTCCGGAGTCCAGTGGCCAAGAGACTGCCCAGCATATACTCTGTTGCCCGCTTTAAAGACTGGCTACAAGATGGAAATCATCTCTTTAGAATTCTCGGCCTGAGGGGACTGTACAATCTTGTTGGACACCAGGAGATGGTAGGAGGGGCCCCCAGACCATGGATTCTTTTCTTTTCTTTTCTTTTCTTTTCTTTTCTTTCTCTTTCTTTCTGTCCCTCTCTTTCTTTCTTTCTTTCTCTTCCTTCCTTTCTTTCTTTCCCTTCTTTCTTTCCTTTTTCTTTCTTTCCTTCCTTTCTTCCTTTCCTTCTCTTTCTTTTCTTTTCTCTCCTTCCTTCCTTCTTTCTTTCTTTTTTTTTTTTTCTTTTTTTAAGATAGGGTCTTGCTTTGTGACCCAGGCTGGAGTTCAGTGACACCATCGCTGCGTGCCGCAGCTTCAACCTCCCGGGCTCAAGTGATCCTCTCACCTCAGCCTCCTGAGTAGCGGGGACCACAGGCACATGCCACTATGCCCAGCTGATTTTTAAAATTTTTGTAGAGACAGAGTCTCACTGTGTTGCCAGGGCTGCTCTCGAACTCCTGGTCTCAAGTGATCTGTCCACCTCAGCCTCCCAAAATACTGGGATTACAGGTGTGAGCCACAGCGCCTGGCCCAGATCACTGATTCCTAAGATACCAATTAATCACCCCAAAATAATACCTAAGAAACTGAAAATAGCTGAAGACAATTGGGTAGCCTGGGGACAGGAGTAGGTGGGAGAGGGTCTTTTTTCCTGCACATCCTTTTGTATCATTTAAAGTTTTATGCCTAAGAAATAGGCAAGTACTGACTATTTAAAAATTAATGAAATTGGCCAGGCGTGATGGCTCACGCCTGTAATCACAGCACTTTGGGAGGCCGAGGCGAGTGGATCACGAGGTCAGGAGTTTGAGACCAGCCGGACCAACATGGTGAAACCCCATCTCTACTAAAAATATAAAAATTAGCTGGGCATGATGGCACATGCCTGTAATCCCAGCTACTCAGTAGGCTGAGGCAGGAGAATCGCATGAACCCGGGAGGCAGAGGTTGCAGTGAGCCAAGATGGCACCACTGCACTCTAGCCTGGGTAACAGAGCAAGACTCCGTCTCGGGAAAAAAAAAAAAAGTTAGGCCAGGCACGGTGGCTCACGCTTATAATCCCAGCACTTTGGGAGCCGAGGCGGGTGAATCACCTGAGGTCGAGAGTTTGAGACTAGCCTAACCAACATGGAGAAACCCCGTCTCTACTAAAAATACAAAAAAATTAGCCAGGTGTGGTGGCACATGCCTGTAATCCCAGCTACTTGGGAGGCTGAGGCAGGAGAATCGTCTGAACCCAGGAAGCGGAGGTTGCAGTGAGCCGAGATCGCACTATTGCACTCCAGCCTCGGCAACAAGCGCGAAACTCTGTCTCACAAAAAAAGAGAAAAAAAGAGTTAATGGAATTAAATGAAATAAATAAAAAGTCCAAATTATATATATTCATAATAGTTGATAGCTGCAATTTGCAGGGGAGGTATACTCATTATCACAACCTGGACAGCATTTAGGTATTGTTTTATGCCTTGTACCGTGTTGCCCCATGGAGTAGATTGAAAAGACCATTGATATGCTCCCAAGATGCTTGTCATCTAAAAAAAAGATCACTGACATTCATGTTGGAAGAAAGCTCATCTTCCATAGGCCTGGTGAGAAAACTAAGCCTAAGCCAGAAGACATGAGGAATTTCTGAAGCTTCAGTTTTGTCACTGGAGTTCTATTCTTTTTTTTTTTTTTTTTGAGACAGGGACTCTCTTTGTCACCCAGGCTAGAGTGCAGTGGCACAATCTCGGCTCGCCGCAACCTCTGCCTCCCGGCTTCAAGTGATTCTCCAAGTCTCCAAGTCCCAGCTTTCCAAATACCTGGGACTACAGGCATCTGCCACTACACCTGGCTAATTTTTGTATGTTTTAGTAGGGACAGGGTTTCACCATGTTGGCCAGGCTGGTCTCGAACTCCTGACCTCAAGCGATCTGGCTGCCTCACCCTTCCAAAATGCTGGGATTACAGGTGTGAGCCACCACAGGTGGCTTGGAGTTCTATTTTATTTATTTATTTATTTTTACTTTTTTTTTTTTTTTTTGAGACAGAGTCTTGCTCTGTCACCCAGGCTGAAGTGCAGTGGCACAATCTCGGCTCACTGCAACCTCCGCCTCCCGGGTTCATGCCATTCCCCTGCCTAATTTTTTGTATTTTTAGTAGAGACAGGGTTTCATGTGTTAGCTAGGATGGTCTCGATCTCCTGACCTCATGATCCGCCCGCCTCGGCCTCCCAAAGTGCTGGGATTACAGGCGTGAGCCACCACACCTGGCCTATTTTTACTTTTTAAATTTTTTTAGAGACAGGGTCTTGCTCTGTTGCCCAGGCTAGAGAACAGTGGCATGATCATGGCTCACTGCAGCCTTGAACTCCTGGCCTTAAGCAGTCCTCTTACCTCAGCCTGCAGAGTAGCTGGGATTACAGGCATGAGCCGCTTCACCAAATATTTTATTTAAAAATATTTGGGGCCAGGCGCAGTGGCTAGCGCCTGTAACCCCAGCACTTCGGGAGGCCAAGGCGAGCAGATCACATGAAGTCAGGAGTTTGAGACCAACCTGGCCAACATAGTGAAACCCCATCTCTACTAAAAATGCAAAAATTAGCCATGGTAGCATGTGCCTGTAGTCCCAGCTACTTGGGAGGCTGAGGCAGGAGAATTGCTTAAACCCGTGAGGCAGAGGTTGTAGTGAGCCGAGATTGCGCCACTGCACTCCAGCCTGAATGACAGAGCGACATACTGTCTCAAAAAAAAAAAAAAGAAAAAAGTGTTTCTGAAGCAAAAATGACGAATGTCAGTGTATGTTAATTCTGGTTGATTGGATACATTAATATCGCTTTATTCTACTTACTTTTTCTTTTTTTTAAAACTGGCTTCCTAACTTGTGTTTATATTCTACTTACTTTTTCATGTGTACGTTTAAACTTTACAACCCTGAGATTGTTTCCTTTCAGTAGTTTCAGAAGAGCAGAATCCCCATTCAGAATGAGAAGAACCCTTAAGTCCTCGGTCAAATTCTGCTTGAATTCCTGCCAGGGGATCCATTTTCACACTGCTATAAAGATACTCCCTGAGCTGGGTAATTTATAAACGAAGGAGGTTTACTAGACTCACAATTCTGCATGGCTAGGGAGGCCTCAGGAAACTTACAATCATGGTGGAAGGCAAAGGGGAAGCAGGTACATCTTCACAATGGCGGAGCAGGAGAGAGACAGAAAGCAGGGGAAACTGCCACTTTTATTTTATTTTTTATTTTTATTTTTTTTGAGATTGAGTCTCTCTGTGTCACCTAGGGTGGAGTGCAGTGGTGTGATCTCAGCTCACTGCAACCTCTGCCATTTGAGTTCAAGCTATAGCAATTCTCCTGCCTCAGCCTCCTGAGTAGCTGGGACTACAGGCAGGCACCACCACACCAGGCTTTTTTTTTTTTTTTTTTTTTTTGAGACAGAGTTTTGTTCTTGTAACCCAGGCTGGAGTACAATGGTGCGATCTCGGCTCACTACAACCTCCACCTCCCTGGTTCAAGCTATTCTGCCTCAGCCTCCCAGGTAGCTGGGATTACAGGTATGTGCCACCATGCCTGGCGAATTTTTGTATTTTTAGTAGAGACAGGGTTTTGCCATGTTGGTCAGGTTGGGCTCGAACTCCTGACTGCAGGTGATCCGCCCACCTCGGCCTCCTAAAGTGCTGGGATTACGGGCGTGAGCCACTGTGCCCAGCCTAATTTTTGTATTTTTAGTAGAGGTGGGGTTTCGCTGTATTGGCCAGGCTGGTCTCGAACTCCTGACCTCGAGTAATTCACCTGCCTCGGCCTCCCAAAGTGCTGGGATTACAGGCATGAGCCACTGCACCCAGCCAAAACTGCCATTTTAAAACCATCAGATCTCCTGAGAACTCCCTCACTATCATGAGAACAGCATGGGGGAAACAGCCCTCATGATCCAATCACTTCCCACCAAGTCTCTCCCTCTACAAGTGGGAATTACAGTTCGAGATGAGATTTAGGTGGGGACACAGAGCCAAACCATATCAGGATCTTTGAGCCTCTGTTTGGATATCTTGTGTGTTTGGGAGCTCACCGTGGCCTGAGCTACCTGTTCCACTTTCCCTTGTTAGCAGAGCTCTTCCTTACAGTGAGCCCAAGCCCATAGCCCTAGACCTTCCCTGCCTGGTCCCACTTTTGCCCTTGAGGCAACTCAAAGCAGCTCTGCCCCTCTTCTATGTATCAGACCTCCAGTACTGAGAGAAGGCCATCATATCCCCTTCTTCTCCCTTCTGGATCTACCACCCCTAACAAAAATCAGTGAGCACTAGGTACTGAGTAAAGATGGGGAGCACCCCCTTTGGTACCAGGTGACGTGCGATTTGGAGAAAAGGTGATATGCTCCCTTTGGCCATGCAGAGAGAAGACATCAAGAGCCTGTTGCCATACATTGTAGACAGCTTGCGTGAAACCGATGAGAAGATCGTTCTGTCAGCCATCCAGATACTCCTGCAACTTGTTAGAACAATGGATTTCACTACCCTGGCTGCCATGATGAGGACCCTGTTCTCCTTATTTGGTGATGTAAGACAATCAGAGAGGACAGACTTTCCTAGGAGGAGGGTAATGGGCATAACAGCAAACAGAAGTTGGTATAGTAATAAATACACTCTACTTGGTATAGGACTTTTACTTTCAGAGCATTTCAAACCTCCTCTCTTAAGACCCTACTAGGTAACCTGTGATGTTGATAGGGCAGATGTTATTGTTTTTCAGGTTTAACCAAAAAAAAAAAAAACAACTGAACATAGAAACTTGCTAAGGTACTACCCTGCTTTGTGATGGGGAAGGGGAAAACATTGTCTTTCCCTTCAAGAACTATCAGAACTGGGTCAAGATGGTGGATGATACTTATGTCCCTGTCCCAAATGCCATATATTTCTCAAGAGGAAATGCATAGAGCACAATGACCAGCATCCTTGGAAGAGTAAAACATACCAAGGCTGGGATTTCGAATTTCAACAAAGCAGCCTGTGTGAATGGTTCCTGCCTGTACCAGGCACGAGGTTTGCCGACTACAGGTGAGACTATGTGCATCTCTCACTTGTAGGGTGAGAAAACAAGTAGTGCCAAAGCAGCAAGTCTTACTGTGTCCATATATAGAGAGAGAGGGGGAGGGAGACGGAGTCTTGCTCTGTCACCCAGGCTGGAGTGCAGTGGCATGATCTTGGCCTACTGCAACCTCCACCTCCTGGGTTCAAGCGATTCTCCTGCCTCAGCCTCCCGAGTAGCTGGGACTACAGGCATGCGCCACCACGCCCAGCTAATTTTTGTATTTTTAGTGGAGATGGGGTTTCCCCATATTGGCCAGGCTGGTCTTGAACTCCTGACCTCAAGTGATCTGCCTGCCTCAGCCTCCTAAAGTGCTGGGATTACAGGCGTGAGCCACTGCGCCTGGCCTGTGTCCACGTATATTTTATTTCTTGCCTTCAGCTACATACAGCTAAATAGCCTCATTGTCAGGACTGGCTTTTCAACCCCTCCCAGGTTGTTACAAGCTAAGCACGCACACGTTCAGTGAATTGCTTCCCTTTGGCTACTCCCTTCCCAGGTGAGATCTGATGTTCATCGTTTCTCCGTGACTCTCTTTGGAGCCGCCATAAAGTCTGTAAAAAACCCAGATAAGAAGAGTATAGAGAACCAAGTCCTGGACAGCTTGGTCCCACTACTTCTGTATTCTCAGGATGAAAATGATGCAGTAGCTGAGGTAAGGCCTACTGTCGGTGTCTCTCATCCCTCAAACTTCAAATCCAGAGCCAACTCTGCAAAGAAAAGAAGCATTCATATACTCATATAGATAGATACATACATACATACATACATTCATACCTACATACATACATAGACAGACAGACAGACAGACAGACAGATAGATATACATATATATTTTTGAGACAGGGTCTCTGTCGCCCAGGCTGGAGTGCAGTGGTGTGATCTCGGATCACTGCAACCTCCACCTCCTGGGTTCAAGCAACTCTTCTGCCTCAGCCTCCTGAGTAGCTGGGATTACAACTGCCCACTACCATGCCTGGCTAATTTTTGTATTTTTAGTAGAGATGGGGTTTTGCCATGTTGGCCAGGCTGGTCTCGAACTCCTGACCTCAAATCATCTACCTGCTTGGCCTCCCAGAGAGCTGGGATTACAGGCATGAGCCACTGTGCCTGGCCTGACATTTCAATTTTTCGTGATTACAGTTCTGCAATTATTTTACCTGTTTCCTTGTGCACGCATATGAGAGTTTCTTGAGGGCATAAAACCTCAAGTAGAATATCTAGGTATCTTTAACTTTTTATTAGATATTTATAAATCACTAAACACAGTGGCTGAAGTAATTTATATGCCCATCAGTAGCCAAAGGAATTTTTATGGCCCAAACATCTAGTGGACCTGAGATAAAATACTGGCTTGGAGATTCATCAGAGGTGTTGCATGGTGTATGGGTGGCATTCTGAGAACAATGAACTAGAAAAGAGACCCACTTGCTAAATTTTGCTCAAGGATGTGGATCAGGAAGAGATCAGTCCTCTAGAGTTCCTTCCTTCCAACCCAGAGATGCCACAAGGACAGAAGTCAGGGGCTACACTTCCTTTGTAGAGTGACAGAAAAATGGCATAGGAACAGTAAGTGGAGGTGGGAGCTTCATCTCTAGGGCACAGGGTAATGGGAATTCCTGCCCAAACCTCTGGTCTAGGGATTACATCTGCAAGCTGTCACTTTTGCCCAACACCAGTGGTTTCTACATCCTCCCCAGAACCCTAGGGTTTTTGTGGATTCCACGTAAGGACTATTTGGAGAAGTTGGAGGAGGAGGGCAGGATTCTAGTTCCTTTCCGCTCTTCTGCTCTCTTTTATCAGTTTTTCATATTGTACTTTAGTACTAGTTTTATTGAAGAAAGATTACCTCTGTTTAAAAATGAGGCTGGGCACGGTGGTTCACGCCTGTAATCCCAGCACTTTGGGAGGCCAGGGTGGATGGATCACCCGAGGCCAGGAGTTCAAGACCAGCCTGGCCAACATGGCAAAACCCTGTCTCTACTAAAAATACAAAAATTAACCGGGCATGGTGGTGGGCGCCTATAATCCCAGCTACTCAGGAGGCTGAGGGAAGAGAATTGCTTGAACCCGGGAGGTGGAGGTCGCAGTGAGCCAAGATGGCACTGCTGTAGTCCAGCCTGAGCGACAGCATGAGATTCCAGCTCAAAAAAATAAAAATGTTTGAAAATGCTGATCTATGGTCATCTTTTTCACAGGAGAGCAGGCAAGTCCTAACTATATGTGCCCAGTTCCTGAAGTGGAAGCTGCCCCAAGAAGTGTACTCCAAAGATCCCTGGCACATCAAACCTACTGAAGCAGGAACAATCTGCAGATTCTTTGTATGTGAGCAATAATGGCTTTGTTAACTCTTCAACATACTGAGAGACCTATTTTCTTCTGACACACTATTTAATGACAGAACATGGCATGCAAGAAACATTTCCCATTTCTTTTCACATCAGCAGTTGATATCTATGACCTGTTTTTTATTGTGGATTTATGTTTCTATAGTTCCCTCCCAACTGAGTCACAAAGTTAGTTTCGATTGCCACTCTTAGTCATGAAAAGACTGGTGGACTCTTAGGAGCCCTTCTAACATGGGTCAGAGGCTACAAGGTCAGGTTGATGCTGAAAAAGTTACTTATGGACTGAATTGAAATGGAGTTATATATTGCTTTTATAACTATCTTGAATCCTTTCCTTGACTAGAACGGATTGTTTTACTGTCCATCAGAGCATGTCCAGGGAGTCCCAAGCAAGGGCTGCCATGCTGTGTGGCCATGCAGCATGATGGCAGCATGCCACTGGTTCTGCCAGGACCCAGGTGGTATCATTTCTCTTCACGAACTCCACAGAGGCTACTGTGTCTGATCTCAGGGTCAAGCTTGAGCCTGGGCTGCCTCAGGAAGCCCATCCATGGTTTTCTAGAAGCTGACCCTAGAACCACCTAGCAGACCCTAGGACTGACTATTCCCAGGAGTCTTCCATATGTATCACCTCTTTAGGACCCACAGAAGCTTTCTGTGATCGGACTTGCAGTGCCCTTGTGTCGGGGTTTCCATTAGGGATTATCTGTCTGATCTGCACCCAAACCTATAGCTGATACACTGATGACAGTATTTACAGAAGGAAATTTGGTGCTGTCAACTACAAGTTGTCCATGTTAATTAAGCCATAAGTTCTATCAAAATAAATTCCTATTTTCCCCCTCCTTTTTTTTTTTTTTTTGAGACAGAGTCTCAGTTGCCCAGGCCTCAGCCTCCCAAGTAGCTGGGATTACAGGCTTACACCACCATGTCTGGCTAAGTTTTGTATTTTTTAGCAGAGCTGGGGTTTTGCCATGTTGGCCAGGCTGTTCTGGAACTCCTGACCTCAGGTGATCCACTCAGCTCAACCTCCCAAAGTGTTGGGATTACAAGCATGAGCCACCATGCCCAGCCTCCCCCTCCTATTCTTGAGGTGCCTATCCTTATAAAAGATCCACTGAGAGGTGCCTTCCTTCACCCAAAAGCCATAACAGGCCATAGAGAACCCAAGGATTAAAACTTCCTGAGGGGGCTGGGCGTGGTGGCTCACGCCTGTAATCCTAGCACTTTGGGAGGCCGAGGCGGGTGGATCACAAGGTCAGGAGTTCGAGACCAGCCTGGCCAATATGGTGAAACCCCGTCTCTACCAAAAATACAAAAAAAAAATTAGCTGGGCTTGGGGGCAGGAACCTATAGTCCCAGCTACTTGGGAGGCTGAGGCAGGAGAATTGCTTGAACCCAGGAGGTGAGGGTTGCAGTGAGCCAAGACCGCGCCACTGCACTCCAGCCTGGGCGACAGAGCAAGGCTCCTTCTGAAAAAACAAAAACAAAAACAAACTTCCTGAGGGGAGCCTGCAAGCTAGCAAAGGAGATAAAACCTCGATGTAAAAAAGTGCGTGCCGGGAGAGGAGTACCTGCAAAATGCTCAGAGCAGGGTTAGGTCAGGCAGGCAAGCAGTCAAGGACAAGCTCATAGGGAGGCAGAACTCAAGGTGGAACTTAAAGAACAAAGACTTAGATACAGAGAAGCCAAGATGGCTTTAGAAACATTACAGGCACAATATATGGCATGAGTGGGTACAAGCAAGGGGCATTCACAGGATTTAGAATAACTTGGTCTAGGGGCTTGTTATTCTGGTATAATACTCATTCAGCAACTGTAGTTATTTCAAACACTACTGTACTCTCTCTGATAGAGTCTCTGACCCCAGAAACTGTGGTAAGGCTGATCAATAGAGTGCTGCTGCTTCACTGCTTTATACTTACTTTTTTCCACACTTAGGAAAAAAAGTGCAAGGGGAAAATTAACATCCTAGAACAAACACTGATGTACTCCAAGAACCCAAAACTTCCCATCAGAAGATCAGCAGTCTTGTTTGTAGGTACAAAGAAAGTCCTTTCATTCCTACAGTCACTTTTGTCCTGTACTTTCCCAAATTATGTTGTCAAGCATCCCTTCTTTTTTTCTTTTTTGAGACGGAGTCTCGCTGTGTCACCCAGGCTGGAGTACAGTGGCGCCATCTCGGCTCACTGCAAGCTCCACCTCCCGGGTTCATGCCATTTTCCTGCCTCAGCCTCCCGAGTAGCTGGGACTACAGGCGCTCACCATCACGCCCGGCTAAATTTTTTTGTATTTTTAGTAGAGACAGGGTTTCACCGTGTTAGCCAGGATGGTCTCGATTTCCTGACCTCGTGATCTGCCCGCCTCGGCCTCCCAAAGTGCTGGGATTACAGGCGTGAGCCACGGTGCCTGGCCCTCTGTCTTTGTTTTGTTTTGTTTTGTTTTGTTTTGTTTTTGAAACTGAGTTTCACTCTTGCTGCCCAGGCTGGAGTGCAGTGGCACGATCTCAGCTCACTGCCACCTCCACCTTCTGGGTTCAAGTGATTGTCCTGCCTCAGCCTCCTGAGTAGCTGGGATTACAGGTGCCTGCCACCACACCTGGCTAATTTTTCTTTTTTTTTTTTTTTTTGAGAGAAGTCTCGCTCTTGTCCCCCAGATTTGAATGCAATGGCTTGATCTCAGCTCACTGCAACCTCTGCCTCCCGGGTTGAGATTCTCCTGCCTCTGCCTCCCAAGTGGCTGGGATTAAGTCGCCTGCCACCACACCCTGCTAATTTTTATATTTTTTAGTAGAGATGGGGTTTCACCATGTTGGCCAGGCTGGTCTTGAACTCCTGACCTCAGGTGATCCGCCCGCCTCGGCCTCCCAAAGTGCTGGGATTACAGGCGTGAGCCATCGCGCCTGGCCTAATTTTTGTATTTTTAGTAATGATGGGGTTTCACCATGTCGGCCAGGCTAGTCTTGAACTCCTGACCTCAGGTGATCCACCCACCTCAGCCACCAAAATTGCTGGGATTACAAGCGTAAGCCACCGCGCCCAGTCAGTATCCCCATTTTTATGTATGTATGGTGTGGGGGTTTTATGTGTGTAGGCGGGGGTGGTGATTTGAGACAAGGTCTCACTTCGTTGCCCAAGTTGAAGCACAGTGGCACCACCATGGCTTGCTGCAGCCTCAACATCCTGGGCTCAAGCAATCCTCCTACCTCCCTCAGCCTCTTGAGTATCTGGGACTATAGGCATGTGCCACCATGCCCAGCCAATTTTTTTTTTTTTAAGAGACAAGGTCTTGCTATATTGCCCAGGGTGGTCTTAAACTCCTGGGCTCAAGCAGTCTTCCTGCCTCAGCCTCCCAAAGTGCTGGGATTACAGGCATTAGTCACTGTACCCGGCTGTGAGTCACTGCACCCGGCCAAGTATCCCCATTCTTTATGAAGATGACCTTGGAAGAAGGGGCCCTGTTACCTATAGGTAACTACCAGGCACCTGGAAGCCCAGTTTTTGGAATCTGCCTAATTATCAGAAGGCCGATTCTGCCGGCTGCTTAGATGTCTTAATGATAAAAACTTTTAGATATTCATTTCCAAGAGCAAAAGCCAGATCACAGACTCACTGACTTTATCCTGCCTTTAGGCCTTTTATCGAAGTACATGGATCACAATGAGCTCAGGAGGATGGGTACTGACTGGATAGAGGACGGTAAGTGATAACAGTCCTTGAATTTGGGGTGTACCCATATTTTGGAAGGTATCCGAGGCAGCCAGTGTGGGAAGGCTTTATAGCAGAGCTGAGACCCTGAGCTCTAGAAAACCTGGTTTTTGTAGCAGGAATCCTGTTGGTGATTTCAGCTGAATGACAGTCCCATCCCAGTCCAGTTTCCCCTTTAGGAAAGGACATCACCCTATTTGTCTGGAAGCTAGCTTTGATGAGTCTCAGAGACAGTTCCTGAGCCTTGTCTGTCAGCAAATAAGACATTACCTAGAAATACTATCTTAGTAAATTATGATGATTCCTCATAAGTACCACAGAGATGACTGCAGTACTATTTTCTATAAGCCGTTGTCCTGTAACTTAGGTAGGACTTGGTAATAGAGATGTTTTATAGTCACATTTTTCTTTAATTTTTTTTCTTTAATGTTTTTCTTTCAAATCTCCTATTCTGAGAAACAGGCATTCTTTTTTTTTTTTTTTTTTTCTTTCGAGATGGAGTCTTGCACTGTCGCACAGTCTGGAGTGCAGTGGCCTGATAATGGGTCACTGCAACCTCCACCTCCCGGGTTCAAGTGATTCTCCTGCCTCAGCCTCCCGAGTAGCTGGGATTACAGGCACGCACCACCACGCCCTGCTAATTTTTGTATTTTTAGTAGAGACGGGGTTTCACCATGTTGGTCAGGCTGGTCTCAAACTCTTGGCCTCAGGTGATCCACCCACCTCGGCCTCCCAAAGGGCTGGGATTACAGGCATGAGTCACCACGCCCAGCCAAAACAGGCATTCTTTATTCCCACTAAGAAGTAGTCCTACCATTAGAAAATGCCATATGATGCTGTCTTACAATCCAAAATTATTACTTGCAGAATCTAATCAAAATCCTAGTAATTCATTACTTATAAAATAAAAACATAACTGGTGAAACAGCTAGGAGCTAAAGCTTATTTAAGAAAGATCATGCCACTTTTCTCTAAGGTCTCCCACTTCCTCACAGATATCAGAAGCCAAAGAAAGGAGGCTGGGTGCAATGGCTCACACCTGTAATTCCAGCACTTAGGGAGGCCGAGGTGGGAGGATTACTTGAGCCCAGGAGTTCAAGACCAGCCTGGGCAACACAGTGAGACCTCATCTCTCCATATGTTTGTATGTGTGTGTGTGTGTGTATATATATATATATATTTTGAGATGGAGTCTTGCTCGGTCGCCCAGGGTGGAATGCAGTGGTGTGATCTCAGCTCACTGCAGCCTCCGCCTCCTGGTTTCAAGCGATTCTCGTGCCTCGGTCTCCCAAGTAGCTGGGATTACAGGTGCCCGCCACCACGCCTGGCTAATTTTTGTATTTTTAGTAGAGACGGGTTTCACCATGCTGGCCAGGCTGTTCTCGAACTCCATACCTCAGGTGATCCACCCACCTCAGCCTCCCAAAGTGCCAGGATTACAGGCATGAGCCACCGCACCTGGCCTCTATTTAAAAAAAAAAAAAAAAAAAAAAATTAGTGGGTATGGTGGTGTGCGCCTGTGGTTCTAGCTACTCAGGAGGCCGAGGTGGGAACATCGTTTGAGCCCAGGAGGTCAAGGCTTCAGTGAGCCGAGATTGCACCACTGCACTCCAGCCTGGGTGACAGAGTAAGACTCCATCAAAAAACAAAAAAAAAAAGAAAGAAAAGGAAGGAAGGAAGGAAAGAAAGAAGAAAAGAAAAGAAAGTAAGAAAGAAGCCATGTGGATTATTCCAAGGGATAGGATTCTATATGGCTGATTCTGTTCAAATAAAAAGAAATTATTTTCTAATCTAAATGGGGGATGAAACTTCCTTTTCCATTCAAAAGTTATCTATATGAAAAATCTAGAAAATATATATAATTATGTGCATATAGATTAGAATGAACCATATGTGATTGACATTTCATGTTCTGTGGACCATGGCCGGGTGCGTGGCTCACGCTTGTAATCCCAGCACTTTGGGAGGCCGAGGCAGGTGGATCACCTTAGGTCAGAAGTTCAAGACCAGCCTGGCTAACATGGTGAAATCCCGTCTCTACTAAAAATACAAAATTAGCCAGGTGTGATGGCGCATGCCTGTAGTCCCAGCTACTCGGGAGGCAGAAGCAGGAGAATCACATGAACCTGGGAGGCGGAGGTTGCAGTGAGCCGAGATGCGACAGGGCGAGCCTTCATCTCAAAAAGTAATAACTAACTAACTAAATAAATAAATAAATAAATAAATGTTCTGTGAAACATGTAGACAGACCTCAATGCAGGAAGTGAAGGAAACTACAAACTAGTGAAATGTTACATTTTGCAAGCAAACAAGATGAATTTAAAGGCAAAACACTGCTTAATAAATATAAAGCTCCAAATTATGAAGAGGTCTTGAGCGTTTTTGAGACCTTGGAGAATTATACATAAAAAAGAGAACCTGGCCCGGCACAGTGGCTCATGCCTGTACTCCCAGCACTTTGGAAGGCTGAGAGGGTAGATCACCTGAGGCCAGGAGTTCAAGACCAGCCTGGCCAACATGGCGAAACCCCGTCTCTACTAAAAATACAAAAATTAGCTGGGCATATTGGCACACACCTGTAATCCCAGCTACTCAGGAGGCTGAGACACGAGAATTGCTTGAACCTGGGAGGCAGAGGTTGCAGTGAGCCAAGAACGTGACATTGCACTCCAGCCTGAGCAACAGAGCAAGACTCTGTCTCAAAAAAATAAATTAATTAATAAAATAAAATAAAAAAGAGAACCTTTTCTAAGTATGATACTAAAGGCATATCCATAAAATAAAAGAATGGTAGATTTGTCTACATAAAAATTTAAAAACCAACTTTGAAAAAGAGAGAAATAGTTAAAAGTGAAATGCAAACAATAATATGAAGGGAAATATTTGCAACATGATAAAGGGTTAACACCCTTAAATCAAATTAGAAACCCTCAAAAGAAAACTGGCAAACAATATGAATAAGAGGTTCATAGAATAATTACAAATCGCCAATAAATAGATGAAAGATATTTGATATTACTAGTAATCAGAGGTTTACAAAATAAATCATGATGAGATGACAGTATGCGTTTTTCTGTCGAAATGGCAAAGATTACCAATTAATAAACTTTGGGCCGGGCACAATGGCTCATGCCTGTAATCCCAGCAGTTTGGGAGGCCCAGGTGGGTGGATTACCTGAGGTCAGGAGTTTGAGACCAACCTGACCAATACGGTGCAACCCCGTCTCTATTAAAAATACAAAAATTAGCCAGGTGTGATTCAAGGAGAATTGCTTGAACCCGGGAGGCAGAGGTTGCAGTGAGCCGAGATTGCGCCACTGTACTCCAGCCTGGCTGAGTGACAGAGTGAGACTTCGTCTCAAAAAAAAAAAAAAGAAAAAGAAAAAGAAATTCTCCTGCCTCCGCCTCCTGAGTAGCTGGGATTACAGGCACCATGTCCGGCTATTTTTTGTATTTTTAGTAGAGGCGGGGTTTCACCATGTTGGTCAGGCTGGTCTCGAACTCCTGACCTTGTGATCTGCCCGCCTCAGCCTCCCAAAGTCCTGGGATTACAGGCGTAAGCCACCGTGCCCAGCCTGACTTATCAATTCTTGTTTAGGAATTTAATCTATGAAAATAAGCAGAAATAGTTACAGGAATGTCCATTTATTGTTATTTAGAATAACAAAAGTGGGAAATAATCTAGATTGGAAACAATAGATAATTAAAGAAATTATAGCATATTCATATTGTAGAATTATATACAGGTTGAGCATCCCTAATCAAAAAAATCCAAAATCTGAAATGTTCTCCAACCCGAAACTTCTTGAGTGTTAACGTGACACCACAATGGGAAAATTCCATACCTGACCTACCTCATAAGACAAAACACAATCAAGCCAGTTGTGGTGGCTCACGCCTGTAATCCTAGCACTTTGGGAGGCCAAGGCAGGCGGATCACCTGAGGTCAGGAATTCAAGACCAGCCTGGCCAACATGGTGAAGCCCTGTCTCTACTAAAAATACAAAAATTAGCCAGGCGTAGTGGCGCGCACCTGTAATCCCAGCTACTCAGGAGCCTGAGGCAGGAGAATCGCTTGAACCCGGGAGACGGAGGTTGCAGTGAGCCAAGATCTGTCACTCTGGGTGACAGAGTGAGACTCTGTTTAAAACACGCACACGCGCACACACGTGCACACACACACACACACACACACACACAGTCAAAAAACTTTGTTTCATGCACAAAACTATTTAAAATATTGTATAAAATTACCTTCAGGCTATATGTATAAGGTGTATATGAAACATAAATGAATTTTGTGTTTAGACTTCAGTCCCATCCCCAAAATATCTCATTATGTATATGCAAGTCTTCCAAAATCCAAAATGGTCTAATTTCCAAAACACTTCTGCTCCCAAACATTTTGGATACGGGATCCTCAACCTGAATAGCCAAGAAACATATTATAGAATAATTTTTATTTTATTTATTTATTTATTTATTTAGAAACAGGATCTCACTCTGTTGCCCAGGCTGGAATGCAGTGGCATGATCTCAGTTCATTGCAACCTCCACCTCCTAGGCTGAAGGGATCCTCCCACCTCAGTCTCCCAAGTAGCTGGGACTACAGGCATAAGCCACCACGCCTGGCTAATGTTTTATTTTTTGATATTTTGTAGGCATAGGGTTTTGCCATGTTGCCCAGGCTGGTTTTGAACTCCTAGGCTCAAATGATCCACCTCCCTCGTCTTCCCAAAGTGCTGCAACTACAGGCATGAGCTAGTGCGCCTGGCCTAGAATAATTTTTAAGTGACTCAGATAAATGATGATGTGGTATCATTAAATAAAACCAGCATTTGCAATTCCTCGGTCATATGGTTCCATTTGGACAAAAAATAAAAGCATATATATGTAAATATAAATGTATGGAAAGAAGACCAGAAAGATATATATTGAAAATAACAATAGTTATCGCTAGATGTTAGGATTATGGGTGACTTTTCTTCTTGTGCTTACATGTAATGTCTAAATGTTCTGCACAATGAACATGTATTTCTTTTGCAATAAGAAAACATAAAAACTGCTAGGCACAGTGACTCACACCTGTAATCCCAGCACTTTGGGAGGCCAAGGTGGGTGGATCACTTGAGGTCAGGAGTTGGAGACCAGCCTGGCCAACATGGTGACACTCCATTTCTATTAAAAATACAAAAATTAGCTGTGCGTGGTGGTGGGCACCTTTAATCCCAGCTACTCCGAAGGCTGAGGCAGGACAATCACTTGAACCTGGGACGCGGAGGTTGCAGTGAGTCAAGATCGCATCACTGCACTCCAGCCTGGGCGACAGAAGGAGACTTCATCTCAAAAAAAAAAAAAAAAGAAAGAAAAAGAAAAAGAAAAGAAAGAAAATATTAAAAACTAAAAGTTTTTTTTTTTTAATTAAAAGAAGATAATGATGTAAGAGTTACTTCTAGGACCAACACGGGAACTTAGATGTTAACATTAGACATGGCTTGGGAGGTCCAGATCATTCGACTTTAGAAAGACTACTTGGAATGTGATTATTGCAGAGGAGTGACATGTTTGGCAACTCAGAAACCGGTAGGTTTTGTAGATCAAAATTGGAAACAATTCACTGATATATAAACTTTTAGACAGTTGGACCGTAATCTAAGCTGCTATGGGCATGTAAGCTTTTTGCTATCTAGACCTTCATTCATTTCCACAGATCTCAGGGGCTTTTACCTCCAACCTGTGTTTGCCTACCGCTAGATCTGAGAGACCTGCTGTGTGACCCTGAGCCCTCGCTGTGCATCATCGCTTCCCAGACTCTGTTACTAGTCCAGATGGCGAGGGCCGAACCAAAACCTAAGCAGAGAGTGAACTGGTTGCAGAAGCTCATGGGCAGGTCCTCTGCCTAGAAACACAAGGCAAGCAACATCAGGTAAAAACCAATCCTTTCAGAAGCCACAGAGGCCACTGATGCCAGCCCCACTTTTTTCAGACTTAAAACAATGCCAGCATGAAGCCACCTCTACCCATTTAATTACCTCCAACATGTCTTTTGCTTTCAAAACCTTAAGATATAGAGGAGGGCAGTTCTTAGTTTAAAATTGCAGATATAATTTAAAAATCTATAGAGTTTTTGGCCGGGCATGGTGCCTCATGCCTATAATCCCAGCACTTTGGCGCCAAGGCAGGCAGATCACTTGAGGTCAGGAGTTCGAGACCAGCCTGGCCAACATGATGAAACCCCGTCTCTACTTGAAATACAAAAATTAGCCGGGCATGGTGTCAGGCACCTGTAATCCCAGGTACTTGGGAGGCTGAGGCAGGAGAATCGCTTGAACCCAGGAGGCAGAGGTTGCAATGAGCCAAGGTCGCACCACTGCATTCCAGCCTGGGCGACAGAGTAAGACTCTGTCTCAAAAAAAAAAAAAAAAAGTTCACATCTTTTTTTTTGTTTGTTTTATTTCTTTTAGAGTTAGGGTCTCCCTCTGTCACCCAGGTTCGAGTGCAGTGGCATGATCATAACTCACTAACCTTAAAGTCCTGGCTTCCTGCCTCAGCCTACTAAGTAGCTGGAACTACAGGTACACACAACCGTACCTACTAATGGTATGCCCTTCATGCTGTTCTCTCCATCTCAGAAAATAAAATAGCCCTTAACTGCTACAAACAGTTCTTTGTCAAATGGGAAAGGCAAAACAGAAACAAGAGCTAACATAGGTGATGTTACGATTTGCCTATATCTACATCTTCTGCCTCCATTTAAATAATAAACTGGATTTTCTATTGCACATGCTATCTCACCAAATATCAGCACAATTATTCGCTCTGCAAATAGAGCTATATTTGGAATAGGCAAAATAATACAGTGGAAATATTATGAAGTTTGGAGTGTGCACATCTGGGATCAAATGCCAGCATTATAGCTGACTTTCTGGAAACATTAAAAAAAAATTAATTTCTCATCTGCAGGTTCATGTAAAAAATGGAGATAGCGTTTTCTAACTAAAGGCTTGTTGGAAGGAGTAAATGAAAGAGTGTATGTAAGAGGTATTACACAGATTGAGCACAGAGTACATATTTAGTGATTGTTAATTCCTCTTCCTCCCCCTTGTACTGGACTCACACCAGGGACTGACAGCTAGAGATGAATAAGCTAATTTTTTTTTTATTTTTGTAGAGACAGAATCTTGCTATGTTGTGCGGCAAGCTAGTCTTGAACTCATGGCCTCAAGTCATCCTCCTGTGTCAGCCTCCCAAAGTGCTGGGATTACAAGCATGCACCACGGCACCCAGCAGAATTCCAGTCTTGAGAAACAGGTCAAGGACAGCTTCAAAAGAGATTCTAAATAAATGTTAATGTTACAATGTTAGTATGTCTGCTTAATTGCCAACAATATTAAGAATAAAGTAACTTTTTTTTTTTTTTTGAGATAGTGTCTCACTCATTCACCCAGGCTGGAGTGCAGTGGCACGATGATGGCTCACTGCAACCTCGGCCTCCTGGGCTTAAGTGATCCTCCCCACTGAGCCTCCCAAGTAGCTGGGACTACAGGTGTGCGCCACCATGCCCAGCTAATTTTTTGTATTTTTGGTAAAGATGGAGTTTTGCCATGTTGCCGAGGATAGTCTCAAACTCCTGAGTTTAAGTAATCTGCCCACCTTGGCCTCCCAAGTGCTGGGATTACAGACGTGAGCTACCATGCCTGGCCAACAATCCATTCTTATAGTTTCATATTTAATGATGTATTTTTGTGAAATCCTTTTTGGCCCTGTCTTCTTCCTTTTCCTTTCCCTTAAAAACCTCCAAGCGGCCGGGTGCGGTGGCTCATGCCTATAATCCCAGCACTTTGAGAGGCTGAGGCAGGCAGATCATGAGGTCAGGAGTTTGAGACCAACCTGACCAACATAGTGAAACCCTGTCTCTACTAAAAATGCAAATACCCGGGCATGGTGTCATGTGCCTGTAGTCTCACCTACTCAGGAGGCTGAGGCAGAAGAATCACTTGAACCCAGGAGGTGGAGGTTGCAGTGAGCCGAGATCACACCACTACACTCCAGCCCGGGCAACAGTGCGAGACTCCGTCTGAAAAAAAAGAAAAAGAAAAAACCTCCAAGCAAGAAAAAAACTTCTGAATTGGTGTAATGGTAAATTTATCCCAATATATCCAAGTTTTCCACTCCTTCTCCCTTTTTTCCATTTTCATAATTCCCTCTCCTATAACCGATGTCAGATCCTCAAATGGCTCTAGGATAGGAACTATTATTTGTTGAGTACCCACTGTCTGCTTTAAGCATAAATGGAGAAAAATTTCTTACAAGCAGAAATTTTCTGGGAAAAGAGATTAGTTTGTGTTGGGCAACCACTTTTATAAGCTGCATGTGGAATTGTGGGAGGCCCCCAAGAGGCACACTGGACTAATTTGGACTAATTAGAAATAGTCACCATCAATCTGATTCTCAGGCTCTTGTTTGGTTGAAGAATATACACAGAGAGCCAGAGCTGAGCTATCTAGGGCAATGGAGGGACATCTTGGAGGTGATATGGGAAAGAAGAAAGGAAATGGAAAAACTGGCAGGTGAAGAATGGAAGTATCTAATGGTTAATTGCATTTTTTTTTTTTTTTTTGAGACAGAGTCTCGCTCTGTTGCCCAGGCTAGAGTGCAGTGGCGCAATCTCGGCTTACTGCAGCCTCTGCCTCCCCGGTTCAAGTGATTCTCCTCCTGCCTCAGCCTCCCAAGTAGCTGGGACTACAGGCGAGCATCATCACGCCCAGCTAATTTTTGTATTTTTAGTAGAGACGGGGTTTTGCCATTTTGGCCAGGCTGGCCTCGAACTCCTGGCCTCAAGTGATCTGTCCACCTCAGCCTCCCAAAGTGCTGGGATTACAGGCATGAGCCACCATGCCCGGCCCCCATTACCCCCAATTCTTTGATATCTGGTTCAGGTATTCTTAGCTATTATCTTTTAGTTAGTAATTTGGATGAAATGCTTTACTTTTTTTAAACATTGGGGTTAACAACTACATAAAAAATTGAGTTTGCATTTTTCAAAATTAAAGGAAAAAAAGGTAGCCAAAAGGAATCACAAGTATGACTACGGTAGGGTGAGAAAGGAGAGAGTAGCAAATGAAGGCAGAGTTAGACAGGGGACCACCAGACCCTTAGTGCCTTGTAGGCCAGGACAAGGAGCTTGGCTTAACCCTGAAAGAAATGGGGAGTCACTAGAACATTTTCAAACTTTTGGATTTTTGACAATTGAATAGATTAAAATATGGTTTTATACCGGTTTAAACTTGTATATATATTTTTCCTATTAGAAAGGTTGGGGCCGGGCACAGTGGTTCACGCCTGTAATCCCAGCACTTTGGGAGGCCGAGGCGGGTGGGATCACGAGGTCAAGAGATTGAGACCATTGTGCCAACATGGTGAAACCCCGTCTCTACTAAAAAGTACAAAAATTACCCTGGCGTTGTGGCACACGCCTATAGTCCCAGCTACTCGGGAGGCTGAGGCAGGAGAATTGCTTGATCCCAGGAGGCAGAGGTTGCAGTGAGCCGAGATCTCTCCATTGCACTCTAGCCTGGGCAACAAGAGTGAGACTCCGTCTCAATAAATAAATAAATAAATAAATAGAAAGAAAGAAAGTTGGGCATCTTTTCACATCTAAAAGCCATTTACATTTGCTTTTCTAAGATTGTATGCAAATCCTTTCCCCCTTCTGTGGGTAGAGAGGCTTTATTAATCTTTGTAATGCACTACTTCCACAGTGCAGAACCAGCTTAAAGATCACCACTTTAGTTTTTCCTCCAAGGAAAAAGAACATTAAGAATGGTGAGGTCCAGCTGGGCATGGTGGCTCACGCCTATAATCCCAGCATTTTGGGAGGCTGAGGCGGGTGCATCACCTGAGGTCAGGAGTTCAAGACCAGCCTGGCCATCATGGCGAAACCCCGTCTCTACTAAAAATGCAAAAAAAAAAGTTAGCCGGGCATGGTGGCGTGTGCCTGTAGTCCCAGGTACTTGGGGGGCTGAGGAAGGAGAATTGCTTGAACCTAGGAGGGAGAGGTTGCAGTGAGCTGAGATCTTGCCACTGCACTCCAGCCTGGGTGACAGAGTGAGACTCTGTCTCAAAAAAAAAAAAAAAGAATGGTGAGGTCAGGTCTTGCCCCTCCCCCACAAATATCAACTGCTTTTTTTTTTTTTTTTTTTTTTTTTAATAGAAGGTTAGACAAGCAGTTTGTCCTGAGAGGGGCAAGTGCAGACTGATTTTCTGCTTAGGGCATAGCAAAGCTGGAGGACAAAAAAAGAAAAAAAAATTTAAGAATTTCAAAATGAGACATCTTGGGAAAATTAGTTAGAACTTTCTTGTACTTTCTTACACTTATTTTGTGATTTAGAATTGCATATATTTTGAATTACATTTGGAAGGGTACACACTATAATCTTTTTAGTCTTGGAATCCCTAAAGGTCATAATCAGGTTCCAACCACATGCTTTGGGAGAACTCTGAAATATTAAACCACAACAGGGAGGCTAATCATAGAGGCTATCACACAATGGGATCAAAATAGAAACAACCTTCATGTGTATCTGGCTCAAAACTGAAGGGCAGAGTAAATCTATTTCACTACCCATACTTCATTTTCTTTTTTCTTTTTTTTTTTTTTTTTTTTGAGACGGAGTCTCGCTCTGTCACCAGGCTGGAGTGCAGTGGCACGATCTTGGCTTACTGCAACCTCCGCCTCCCAGGTTCCAGCGATTCTTCTACCTCAGCCTGCCAAGTAGCTGGGATTACAAGCGCCCGCCACCATGCCCAGCTAATTTTTGTATTTTTAGTAGAGACGGGGTTTCACCATGTTGGCCAGGATGATCTCGATCTCCTGATCTGGTGACCCGCCTGCCTCAGCCTCCCAAAGTGCTGGGATTACAGGTGTGAGCCACTGCAACCGGCCTTCCATACTTCATTTTCTATTCAGAAAAGCTCAATTTTGGGTTAAATGGGCATGTCCTGGGATAATAAGAAAAAATAAAACCAATATAAGGAAGGGCATATTGATTTTTGGTTTTTTTAAATGCATGCAGGTGAGGCTGGGTTTGACAGATGTGTCCTCAGTTGTTTGTTTTTGAGACAGAGTCTCACTCTGTTACCCAGACTGGAGTGCAGTGGTGCAATCTTGGCTTACTACAGCCTCTGCCTCCTCGGTTCAAGCGATTCTTTATTCTCATGTCTCAGTTGCCCAGGTTGTTAGGATTACACAAGTGCACCCACACGCCCAGCTAATTTTTATATTTTTAGTAGTGACGGGGTTTTGCCTTGTTGGCCTGACTGGTCTCAAACTCCTGGACTCAAGTGATCCACCTGCCTCGGCCTCCCAAAGTACTGGGATTACAGGCAAAGCAAATAATGGAACAACAAAAGAACGAAGACAGGGATTTATTGAAAACAAAAGTACACTCCATAGTGGGGAAGCGAACCCACGCAGCAGCTCAAGGGCCCAGACACAGAATCTTCTGGGGTCCAAATACCCTCTAGAAGTTTCCCATTGGCCACTTTATGCTCTCTTGATGTAACTGAAGTGGTAGCCCACAATCAGTCTGAGTGGTTGCAGAAAGCAACCAATCAGAGGCCAGGGTGAAGTTAACAAAATTATACTTCTATGCAAAGGAAGACTCTCCCGCCATCAGTCTGATTGGTTGTGGACAGCAACCGTTCAGAGGCTGGAGTGAAGTTACAAAGTTGCAAACAAAGACTGGAAGGCGCTCAGTGTGATTTGTTGCAGACAGCCAATTTCCCATCTGCCATGCAGAAAAGGTCCAAGGGAACAGCCTCTGGTTCTTTTGTTACTTAGGCGTGGAAAGTTGGGGTTTTCCTTTCAATTTAGTTCTAAGAAGTCACGTGAAACAGCCATAGGTTCCCTGCCTCCAGACCCTATTCTCCTGCCTCATTTACTGCAGTCTTCTCTGCCTGCCTCTTTTAGCGACTAGCATGAGATGAGGATTCGTCTTCTAATATCCGTCACCAATCCTTCCCCTCTGTCATTTAGCGAACCACTCACTGGGCACTAGGACTTTGGGGAGAGTCCCAAGAGGCCCCTCTTCGTCCAGGGGCTACTTTTTTCTCTTCCAGCCTCCATCTCCTAACTCAAGGGGTACAGCTCAGATTATGTTTGGCGCCCAGGGACAGTGACAAACCCAGGGCCCGTGGATAGAGGAGGCATCTCACTACGCTGCACGAGGCCACCTCGCAGTAGGCAGCCCAGCCCTGCCCCAAAACCCAAGAGCCTAACCAGGAAGACAGGGGGAGGCCGCGGGCTTCATCTCCCAAGAGATGGACTACACCTCCCAGCAGGCTCTGCGCGCGGGCTGAGGATCCCTCCGCTCTTTTTCTGTCCCGCCGGCTGGGCCCCCCGCGACCAGCCAAGGGCCAAGGACAGGTCTTTCAGAATCTGAGGTACATCTTCTTATCACATTTCCGGGGAGGGACTGCTAGGAGCTCCGGAGGAAAAACGGACTTTTTTTGAGGAGAAAAGCGGAGGCAGACGGTGGATGACAACACGTCCCGCAGCTGCAGATTTTCGCGCGCTTTGGCGCAGGTGGTTGTGGGTAGCGCGCCTGGGAGGGAGAAAGAAGTCGGGGGCCGTGGCGCGCAGCCCGCGGGGCCTGAAGGGATGTTCGAGGACAAGCCCCACGCTGAGGGGGCGGCGGTGGTCGCCGCAGCCGGGGAGGCGCTACAGGCCCTGTGCCAGGAGCTGAACCTGGACGAGGGGAGCGCGGCCGAAGCCCTGGACGACTTTACTGCCATCCGAGGCAACTACAGCCTAGAGGTGAGCGGCAGCAGGTGGGGCGGCCGGACCCTACCCTCGCCAGGCCCCACCCCTGCCCCGCCCCTTCCTCGGCCTATGGGGTGGTGGGAGTTTCCCCACCTAGGAGGGTCGCTGCGCAGCCAAGCGCCGAGGGGCGGGAAAGGTGGGTGTAGCTCAGCCAATCCACCCATCATTTTGAGGCGGGAAACTGAAGCTCAGGAAAGGAGCGGCCTAGGTCCCGCGCCGCTCAGACCCCAGGCTTCCTGACCACACTTCCCTCTACCCCGCCAAGCGCCACAAAAGTCATGGTGCTGCCCTTAAATCAGTAAGAACAAATATAATGGTAAAGTGAAAATGAACTGCATGCCAAGACATCACTGCCCAGAGCTTTAAATGGACCCTCAGTTCCGTCTGAACCCCTTCTGTGATCCCCATTTCACGCAAGAGGAAGCGGAGCCCTAGACGGGTTAAGCTACAGGCCCAAGGTCACACGGTTAGAGATGGAGCCAGACCCAGGGTCTGAGCCGTTTAACCTCCACCCTCTGCTTCACCAGGGTGGAGCTGCCGGTCGCTGTGCAGCAGTTTGATCAAAGCCAATGTGCACACGAAGCTGATCTCAGCCCTACGTTTCCTCCTCCGTCAGAGCATCGTCCTGATGCTTTGCATCAGTGTCTGGCTCTGAATAAAACAAATGTCAGTTATAATTACTTGATTTTTTTCCCCATCATTCTTGCATTTTATCCTCGCAACAGCCCTGTGAACATGGCATGGCAATGAGTATTAGACTGCTTTCCAGGTGATAATGGCAAGGCTCAGAAGGTTGTCTTGCCTAGGATTATTCTAATATAGAAACCCAGGCTGGGCGTGGCGGCTCACGCCTATAATCCCAGCACTTTGGGAGGCCAAGGCGGGCGGATCACTTGAGGCCAGGAGTTCGAGACTAACCTGGGCAACACGGCGAAACCCCATCTCTACTAAAAAAATACAAAAACTAGCTGGGTGTGGTGGCGCCTGCCTGTAATCTAGCTACTCGGGAGGCTGAGGCAGGAGAATTGCTTAAACCCAGGAGGCATAGGCCGCAGTGAGTGGAGATCACACCACTGCACTCCAGCCTGGGTGACAGCAAGACTCTATCTAAAAACAGAGAAAGAAACCCAGACGAGCATAAGCCCAGTGTAGACAGAATTGTGATGGAGTGTATTTCATGTAGCACCACTGGCCTCATGTTCAAAGGCTTTCATGTGCCAAGGGCGCTGGACCCACTCCCAGGGTGCACCACTGACTCACCACCCAGTGAAATAATTGCTGGGTTCAAAGGCATAGAGTTGGAAAAGTGTCGATTGTATGTGTGCCTATATATGAAGGAGTAGTACCTGAAAAAAGTGTCTTCAGAACTGGATAGACTGGGTAAAGGACAATGGTCCACATCCGTGGGTGGCATGACTGGAGAGCTGTGGGAAGAATAAGAAAGTAAGGGAGATTAGAATGAATGGCGTCTCAATTGAAAACAGATTGATTTTTGAAAGCCTGAGAAAGCATTTCTGACATCCTAGGTCTGATTTGGTCTCTCTTGCCCAAGGTCACACCATCTGTCATTGAATAAGCATTTACTGTGTCAAACTATGGTCAAGGCATGCACCTGTTTCAGATTCTTGAATATGACAAGTTTGTTCCCAGTTTTGTGGTATATCCATGCCATTCCCTCTGCCTGGAATATTTCCCCTCACCCCCAACACCAGGAAAAGTTGAGAGCTAAATCTCTAGTTAGGCAGAGTTGAATAGGACATCTTCAATGTTTGCTCTACTTATTTATTTTTTCTTTCTTTTTTTCTTCCTTAGAAACAGGGTCTTGGCCGGGCGCACGGTGGCTCACACCTGTAATCCCACCACTTTGGGAGGCTGAGGTGGGCAGATCACCTTAGGTCAGGGGTCCAAGACCAGCCTGGCCAGCATGGTGAAACCCCGTCTCTACTAAAAATATAAAATTAGCTGAGCATGGTGACGTGCACTTGTAATCCCAGCTACTCAGGAGGCTGAGGCAGGAGAATCTCTTGAAACCAGGAGGTAGAGGTTGCAGTGAGCCAAGATCACGCCATTGCACTCCACCCTGCACAAGAGTGTAACTCCATCTCAAAAAAAAAAAAAAAATGGAAAGAAACAGGGTCTTGCTCTTTTGACCAGGCCTGGAATGCAGTGGTGCAATTATAGCTCACTGTAAACTCAAACTTCTGTGCTCAAGTGATGTTCCTGCTTCAGCCTCCCCAGTAGCTGGGACTATAGGCATGCACCACGGTGCTCAGCTAATTTTTCAATTTTTTGTGGAGATAGTATCTGACTATGTTGCCCAAGCTGGTCTTGAACTGGCCTCAAGTGATTTTTCTGCCGCAGCCTCCCAGAGCATTGGGATTACAAGCATGAGCCACCGAGCCCAGCCCAATGCTTGCTTTAGAAAGCACAAATGTATGAACTGAAATTTTGTGTTTATTCTATCCAGTGTTTATTTTCCTCTTTTTTTAAAATCAATTTTTTAAAGGTATTTGGAGTAGTCATTTTCATATATCTCATGCTTCCTAAGAAGTCTTTCTCCAATCCCTACCCCTCTCTAGTCTACCTGACAAACTCCTGCTTACATTTTTATTGATTTACAAATTTTGTCTCCTTTTGTGAGGCCTTCCCTAAACTGTAGTCAAAATCAGTTATTCACTGCACTATATTCTCCTACAACACTTTATCTTCAGTTCTTCTTATAGCTTGTATATCTCACCAATTATAAATGATAGTATCTGTTCCTCTTCTTAGCTCCAGATGTGAAGTTCTGTGAGATCAGAAAACATTTTTTGTATTTCTAAGGCCTGGCAAGTAGGCCTTAGAAATGCAAAAAATGGTTTCTGATATCATAGAATTCATAGAATTTTTATGAAATAGGATTTTATCAAATAGAATTGTATTCTATTTTATTCTCATGGAATAAAATAGTTGACTTTTTTAAGGAAAGAAAGTCAGGCCAGGCACAGTGGCTCACACCTATAATCCCAGCACTTTGGGAGGCTGAGGCAGGAGGATCACTTGAGCCCAGAAGTTCAAGACCAGCCTGGGCAACATAGTGAGACCCTATCTCTACACAAAATAAAATAGGCTGGGCATGGTGGCTCACACCTGTTATCCCGACATTTTGGGAGGCTGAGGCAGGTGGATCACTTGAGCCCAGGAGTTTGAGACCAGCTTGGGCAATATGGTGAAACCCCATCTCTACAAAAATTAGCTGGGTGTGGTGGCATGTGCCTTTAGTCCCAGCTACTCCAGAGGCTAAGGTGGGGGGATTGCTTGAGCCTGGGAGGTCGAGGCTGCAGTGGCCCTCATTCCTGGGAAGTCAAGACTGCAGTGGCCCTGATTGTACCACTGCACTCCAGCCTGGGGCAACAGAGTGAGACCCTGTTTTAAAAAGTAAAATAAAAATCAGTGTATTCTTTAATGTCTTTAAAAAAATCGAAACAATAATTTTAGGACTTATATTTTCACCATCTTGCTAGAATTTTCATTTAGTAGCCTGTATCCAAAGGCTCTATAATACTTGGATGCTAATCCCAAACAACTCTTTCTCTTTTTCTTTTTTGAGACAAAAAAAGGGCCTCAGGCACTTCTCCCATCTCAGCCTCCAGAGTAGCTGGGACTACAGGCGCATACCACCACGTCCTGCTAATTTTTTTGTATTTTGTAGAGATAGGGTTTTGCTGTGTTACCCAAGCTAGTCTCGAACCCCTGAACTCAAGCAGTCCACCCACATCAGCTTCCCAAAGTGCTGGAATTACATGCGTAAGCCACCATGACCAGACCCTATTCCCAAGCAATTCATTAATCAAAGCTTGTAAAAATATTCATCTTTAAGCTTACCTGCCTCATTTAGTGCTTTGAGAAAAGACTTCTCATTCCTTCAGGGTAGGAACATTGGGTTTATTGATGGCCACCCATTTCTACCCACCCCTTTTAGATTATTGCAAGAAATCTTTTTATCAATCTTTTTATCCTTCTAGGGTTTGGTCTTAAAGACAGTCTGTGGAACAGTGTATAAGAACACTATTGTGTTGTGCTATCAGATTTACATCTGTAATTCTTTTTTTTTTTTTTTTTGAGATAGAGTCTCGTTCTTTCACCCTTGCTGGAGTCCAGTGGGTCAGTCACAGCTCACTGCAGCCTTAACCTTCTGGACTCAAATGATCCTCCCATCTCAGTTCCCCAGGTAGCTCTAACTACAGACGTGCCACATACCCGGCTAATTTTTTCCTTTTTTGTACAGACGGGGGTCTCACTATGTTTCCTAGGCTGATCTTGAACTCCTGAGCTCAAGCAATCCTCTGCCTCAGCCTCCCAAAGTGCTGGGGTTACGAGCATGAGCCACTGTGCCTGGCCTTTATCTGTAATTCTTGTTTTTTTTTTTGAGATGGAGTCTCACTCCCGTTGCGCAGGCTGGAGTGCAGTGGCGTGATCTCGGCTCACTGCAACCCCCACCTCCTAGGTTCAAGTGATTCTCCTTCCTCAGCCTCCCAAGTAGCTGGGATTACAGGCGTGCGCCACCACACCTGGCTAATTTTTGTATTTTTTAGTAGAGACGGGGTTTCGCCACATTGGCCAGGCTGCTCTCAAACTCCTGACCTCAGGTGATCCACCCATCTCGGCCTCCCAAAGTGCTAGGATTACAGACGTGAGCCACCGCACCGGCCTATCCGTAATTCTTAATCCTTAAACTTCAGCTATTGTATTTCAGCAGTGAAGTCATGAAGTGATTCTAGCTTGGAGATGTCTGAAGTCTAATGCAGAAAATTGTTGAATTCCCAAATGTCACCTTTTTGTGGCATTGTAAATTGAGATATCTACTAATATAAAGAGCCGTGCTTACTACAGTCGTGTGCTGCAGAATGTTTCAGTCAGTGATGGACCACACATACTTTATTTTTACTATATGTTTTCTGTGTTTAGATACACAAATAATTACTATTGTGTTACATTTACCAACAGTATTTAGTATAGTAACATGCTCCACAGGTTTGTAGCCTAGAAACAATAAGCATACCATATAGCCTAGGTTTAGTAGGCTATGCTATGTTTGCACAACAAAATTGCCTAATGTTGCATTTCTCAGAATATATCCCTGTCATTAAGCAATGCATATGACTGTATTTTAAAGATGACATGTTTTGGGGTAAATCCCCAAATGTTTACCTTACAAAAATGACAGTCTCCTTCATGTTGCGTAAGATTAATATTAATTTTTTATGTGTGACTCCCTTGCCAACTTTTTACTCTGTTCTTGCCTTTCCCTGCCACACTAAAGAGAAACATAAAGCAAAAACGATAGAAACTTCAGGATCATCAAGGCCATTTCTTAAAATCAAGAAAGTCATGCTGACAAATTTTAATAAAACTCTTCTGGTAATTCAGACATGCTTCACTTAATGACAGGGACATGGTCTAAGAAATGCAACATTAGGTGATTTTGTTGTGTGAACTTCACAGAGTATACTTATGCAAACCTAGATAGTGTAGTCTACTATACACCTAGGCTGTTTAATATAGCCTGTTGCTCCTGGGCTGCAAACTTGTTCAGCATGTTTCTGTACTGAACACTATAGGCAACTATAATGGTGAGTATGTGTGTATCTAAACATAAAAGGGGTACAGTAAATTATAATTTTTTAAATATATAGAACAGTTAGAACATACAGTATTACAATCTTTTTTGTGTGTGTGACAGAGTGTCCCTGTGTTGCCCAGGCTAGACTGTAGTGGCACGATCTCTACTCACTGCAACCTCTGCCTCCCGAGTTTAAGCTATTCTCCTGCCTCAGCCTCCCAAGTAGGTGGGACTACAGGTGCATGCCACCACACCCAGCTAATTTTTTGCATTTTTAGTAGAGACGGAGTTTTGCCATGTTGGCCAGGCTGGTCTTGAACCCCTGGCCTCAAGTGATTCACCCGCTCCAGCCTCCCAGGCATGAGCCACCGCGCCTGGCAAGTATTATAATCTTAAGTGACCACCATTGTATATGTGGTCCAGTGTTGACCAAGATGTTATGTGGCATATGCCTGTATTAGATTTGGAGTGTAGGTGAAAGAGTTTTTTTCTTTTTTTTTTTTTTAAGAGACAGGATTTAAGAGACAGGATCTCGCTCAGCTGCCTATGTTGGAATGTAGTGGCACAAACATAGCTCACTGCAGTCTTGAACTCCTGAGCTTAAGCGATACTCTTGCCTCAGCCACCCAAGTAGCTGGGACTGCAGGCAAGCACCACCATGCCTGGCTAATTTTTTTATTTTCATTTTTAGAGTCTACGTTGCCCTGGCTAGTCTTAAACTCCTGGCATCAAGTGATACTCGCACCTCAGCCTCCCGAGTTACTGGGATTACAAACATGAGCCACCAAGCCAGGCTTTTATCTTTAGATTAATATTAATTTAGCATGTTATAGTTGTAAAAACACAGAACTAAGAGTAAGGAGTTTTATACCCATTACTGCAACTAACAGCTTTGTGACCTTGGGCAAATATCTTCACTTCTCTGGCCCTTTATCTACATAAGGAAAATTGAGACCAGATAATTCTACATCTCTTGTTTCTAGAATTAAAGCATTTTAACATAATATTATACCTGTTTTGCTGTTTGTCTTTTGCTTGCCAGGGAGAAGTTACACACTGGTTGGCATGTTCATTATATGTTGCATGCCGCAAAAGCATTATTCCCACGGTTGGAAAGGGTATCATGGAAGGCAACTGTGTTTCACTTACCAGAATACTACGTTCAGCTAAATTAAGGTAAACCTCTTTGATGTTTTTAAATGTTATATAAGCTCTAAATTTTGGAATCAGTTTTCTCTTGTTTTGAGATCATTTGACTTCATTTAATTTTTATTTTATTTATTTATTTATTTATTTATTTTTGAGACGCAGTCTCACTGTGCCAGCCAGGCTGGAGTGCAGTGGCACAGTCTTGGCTTACTGCAATCTCTGCCTCCTGGGTTCAAGTGATTCTCATGCCTCAGCCTCCTGAGTATCTGGGATTACAGACACACACCACCAAGCCCGGCTAATTTTTTGTATTTTTTTTTTTTAGTAGAGATGGGGTTTCATCATGTTGGTCAGGCTGTTCTCGAACTCCTGACCTCAAATGATCTACCCACCTCAACCTCCCAAAGTGCTATGGGATTATAGACGTGAGCCACTGTGTGACTTCATTTAATTCTAAGTTATAACATAGATAATCCTTTCCCAATTTTCATATTCTTTCTCTGCCTTTCTCAAATTCTGCTAGAAACCTCTGTGTTGAATCTTTAGCTATACTTTTTAAAATTAATTTTTTAAAATTTGGAAATAATTTTAGGCTTACAGAGAAGTTACAAAAATAAGAAAAGGACAATACCCATATACCCTTGACTCAGAGTCACCTGTTATTGACATTTTATCCCATTTGCTTTCTCATTTGATTTTTCTTTCTTCAATATATAGATCTTTCTCTCTCTCTCTTTTTTTTTTTTTTTTGAGATGGAGTTTTGCTCTTGTTGCCCAGGCTAGAGTGCAGTGGTGCAATCTCAGCTCACCACAACCTCTGCCTCCTGGGTTCAAGCGATTCTCCTGCCTCAGCCTCCCGAGTAGCTGGGATTACAGGCATGTGCCACCACGCCTGGCTAATTTTGTATTTTTAGTAGAGACGGAGTTACTCCATGTTTGGTCAGGCTGGTCTCGAACTCCCGACCTCAGGTGATCCACCCGCCTCAGCCTCCCTAAATGCTGGGATTACAGGCGTGAGCCAGCACTCCCAGCCAGATCTTTCTCTTTTTATCCTCAACCATTTCAGTCTAAGTAGCATACATTTGTAGCCTTTTACCCCAAAATACTTCACTGTGTATTTCTTTAAATAACTACAGTACAGCTACCAACTTCAGCAAAATTAACACTGATAAAATAATTTTATTTAACCTGCTAACTCTGTTCTAGTTTTGTTAGTTGATTCAATAATGTTCTTTATGGCATTTTTTTTCCTGGAAGTACAATTTCTAATTAAGGATCAGGTATTGCATTTGCTTATCATGTCTATTTATTCTTCTGTAATTAGGAACATTTCCACAGCCTTTCTTTTTCTTTTATGACATTACCATTTTTGAAGAATATAATCCACAATCACTTTGTCCCTTTCTTTAATTAAAAAAAATTTTTTTAGAGGCCGAGTCTTGCTGTATTGCCCAGGCCTCGAGTGCAGTGGCACCTTTTTAGCTCACTGCAGCCTCAAACTCCTCAGCTCAAATGATCCTCCTGCTTCAGCCTCCCAAGTAGCTGAGACTACAATCATGTGCCACCATGCCTGACTGATATTTTTAAATCTTTTTATAGAGACAGGGTCTTACTATGTTGCTCAAGCTTGTCTCAAAGTCCTGACCTTAAGTGGTCCTCTTGCCTCAGCCTTTTTTTTTTTTGGGACAGAGTCTCACTCTGTTGCCCAGGTGGAGTGCAGTGGTGCAATCTGGACTCGTTGCAACCTCCGCCTCCCGGGTTCAAGCGATTCTCCTGCCTCAGCCTCCTGAGTAGCTGGGACTACAGGCATGTGCCACCACGCCCAGCTAATTTTTGTATTTTTCGTAGAGATGTGGATTCACCATATTAGCCAGGCTGGTCTCAAACTCCTGACCTTGTGATCCGCCTGCCTCAGCCTCCCAAAGTGCTGGGATTACAGGCGTGAGCCACTGTGCCCACCCTCATCCCCTCTTTTAATAGATGGTTCCCAATTTTGGATTTGTCTCCTATTAACTTTTGATTAGATGCAGGTTAGTCATTCCCTGATGGAAAACTGTATAAGTGATTTTGTCTCCTGAGGATATCACATCTGATGATGGCATGTGTTATCCATCTGCATCTCATTGGTGATGTTAATTTTTGTCATCTGGTCAAGATGTTGTCCTATTTCTCTACTGTATATTAATTTTTTTCACCTTGCAGCTACTCTATGGGTCTCAGATACATCTTTTACTTACTCTAGTATCAAGCATATAGAATTATTTGGCTGGATAGGAAACAAAACAAATTTAGCTATCCAGTTTGGATTCATGCTAATATTCTTTGTTTCTGGGACAAAACTATTTGTGGTCATTGTCTATTTGCTATTCCTGTGTTTCCAGAATAGAAGAGGAGCAAAGTTTAAAGCCCTATTCAGAAATGGCAAATAGGTTTTAGTTGATGCTAAATTTAAATTTTTTTTTATTTTTATTTTTTGAGACGGAGTTTTGCTCTTGTTGCCCCGGCTGGAGTGCAATGGCCTGATCTCAGCCTCCCCAGTAGCTGGGATTACAGGCGCCCGCCACCACGCCTGGCTAATTTTTTATATTTTTAATAGGGAGAGGGTTTCACCATGTTGGCCAGGATGGTTTCAAACTCCTGACCTCAGGTGATCCACCCGCCTCGGCCTCCCTAAGTGCTGGGACTATAGACGTAAGCCACCGTGTCCAGCCTAAAAAAAATGTTTTTAAACAACTTTGGTTCTAAAAATAAAATAAGATGATAAAAATTAAATGAAGATCAATGGGGTTAATTTTTTAATTGAGCAAGACATTATCATTGTTAGTATAAAACAATCTGATCTTTTTCTGTCAATGTTTGTCATTGTTCATATAATTTCAAAAATCTTTGTAATGACAGATTCTGGGGGAACTAAACAAAAAAGAATTATAACAAAACAAATGTAGAGCAGTACATGGCAGGAGAATCACTTGAACCTTGGAGGTGGAGGTTGCAGTGAGCTGAGATAGCGCCACTGCACTCCAGCCTGGGCGACAGAGCAAGACTCCATTTCAAATTAAAAAAACAAGGCTGGGCGCGGTGGCTCACGCCTGTAGTCCCAGCACTTTGGGAGACCAAGCCGGGTGGATCACAAGGTCAGGAGATCGAGACCATCCTGGCTAACACAGTGAAACCTCATCTCTACTAAAAATACAAAAACAAAATTAGCCAGGTGGGCGCCTGTAGTCCCAGCTACTCGAGAGGCTGAGGTGGGAGTATGGCGTGAACCCAGGAGGCGGCGCTTATAGCGAGCCGAGATTGCGCCATTGCACTCCAGCCTAGGTGACACAGTGAGACTCCGTCTCAAAAAAAAAAAAAAAAAAAAAAAATCAAATTTCAAATAATGAAACAAACTCTGGAGATGGACAGTGGTGATGGTTGCACAGTGTGAATGTACTTAATGCTACTGAACTATAGACTTAACAGTGGTTACAACGGTAAAGGTTATGTATGTTTTACCACGCACACACACGTACACACAAATGTATTTTCAAAAATTTTAAATAATACAGAAGGCTTATAAGTAGAAAGCAGTATCCTTGGCCACGCACAGTGGCTCACACCTGTAATCCCAGCACTTTGGGAGGCTGAGGCGGGTGGATCACCTGAGGTCAGGAGTTCAAGACCAGCCTGGCCAACATGATGAAACACCGTCTTTACTAAAAAATACAAAAAAATTAGCTGGGCGTGGTTGCGGGTGCCTGTAATCCTAGCTACTGGGGAGGCTGAGGCAGGAAAATTGCTTGAACCCAGGGAGGCGAAGGTTGCAGCTAGCAGAGATCGTGCCATTGTATTCCAGTGTGGGTGACAAGAGTGAAACTCCATCTCAAAAAAAAAAAAAAAAGAAAAGAAAAGAAAAACGTCTCCTTTTGGCACTCTCCGTAATTAACCATTATTAATAATTTCTTCTGGCCAGGCGCAGTAGCTCATGCCTGGACTCCCCAGCACTTTGGAAGGCTTAGACGGGCGGATCACCTGGGGTCAGGAGTTCAAGATCAGCCTGGCTAACATGGTGAAACCTCATTTCTATAAAAATACAAAAAATTAGTCGGGCATGGTGGGGCACACCTGTAATCCCAGCTACTCGGGAGGCTAAGGCAAGAGAATTTCTTGAACCCAGGAGGTGGAGGTTGCAGTGAGCCGAGATTGTGCTATTGCACTCTAGCTTGGGCAACAAGAGCAAAACTCTGTCTCAAAAAAAAAGGTCTTCCTATGTACAAATATATAAACTTGTTTTTTGGTATTTTTTCTTTTTATTTTCTTTTCTCTTTATTTGTTTGAGACAGAGTCTTGCTCTGTCACTCAGGATGGAGTGTAGTGGTGTGATCACAGCTCACTACAGCCTAGACATCACAGGCTCAAGCGATCCCTCACTTCAGCCTCCCGAGTAGCTGGGACCACAGGTATACACCACCATGCTTGGCAAATTTTATATTTTTTGTAGAGACGGGTCTCACCATGTTGCCCAGGCTGGTGTTTTTTCTTTTTAAAACATAAATTATACTATATGTGTTGCTCTACAGTTATTTTTCTTTATATTTTGGAAATTCTTCCATATCAGCATATGTAGTTCTACCTCATTAATTTTTTTAATGATACTAGGATATTTTAGGGTATAAGGATCTTTCATCTATTTAGCCATGCCTTATGGCCATTTCGATTGTATCCAGTCCTTTGTAGTTGCGGACAAATAAACATCATTGTAAAGATGATATTTCTGATAAATTCCAAAAATATGTATGATTCCTAAAAATGGGTCAAAAGATGTATCTTTTTTGGTCAGGCCCAGTGGCACACACCTGTAATCCCAGCACTTTGGGAGGCCAAGGCGGGCAGATCTCTTGAACCCAAGAGTTCAAGACCAGCCTGGGCAACAGGGTGATACCCTGTTTCTACAAAGATTAGCCAGGCATGGTGGTGCATGCCTGTAATCCCAGCTACTCGGGAGGCTGAGGTGGGAGAATCACTTGAACCCAGGAGGTGGAGGCTGCAGTGAGTTATGATGATGCAACTCTACTCCAGCCAGGCTGGTAAAGCAAGACCCACTCTCAAAAAAAAAAAAAAATCCATTAAAAATAATTACAAACTTATGAAAAAAAAGAAAACTAAGTCTTTTTAAAATGTAGATTGATATTCTCAAAGTCCCTTTCCCCCAAAATGTTTATTTTTTTTTGAGCTAGAATCTTGCTCTGTTGCCCAGGCTGGAGTGCAATGCACGGTCTCTGCTCACTGCAGCCTCCTCCTCCTGGGTTCAAGTGATTCTCCTGCCTCAGCCTCCCCAGTAGCTGGGGCTACAGGTGCATGCCACCACACCCACCTGTATTTTTTTTTTTTTTTTTTTTTTTTGTATTTTTAGTAGAGACGGGGTTTCGCTATTTTGGCCAGGCTGATCTTGAACTCCTAACCTTGTGATCCATCCACCTCGGCCTCCCAAAGTGCTAGGATTACAGGTGTGAGCCACCGCGCCCAGCCTGTTTTTATCTTTTTTATTTTTTGTTTGTGTTTTTTGAGACAGGGTCTCACCTTGTCACCCAGGCTGGAGTGCATTGTCGCGATCTCTGCTCACTTGCAACCTCCGCCTTCTGGGCTCAAGTGATCCTCCCACCACGCCCTCCTGAGTAGCTGGGACTACAGGTGCATTTCATCACGCTCAGGTAATTTTTGTATTTTTAGTTGAGACAGGATTTCACCATGTTGGCCAGGCTGGTCTCAAACTCTTGGCCTCAAGTGATCCACCCGCCTCAGCCTCCCAAAGTGCTAAGATTACAGGCATGAGCCACCGCGCCCAGCCTTCCGCAAAACGTTTTTAAGTGTCAAATTTTTAATGCTAAAAGAGCAGTTACCCAGCATCAATGTGTTCATTCAGAGAAATAAACAAAAATTTCAAATGATTTTGTTTGCTTTGACTTATAATAATTTGGGCTGTTTTCAAAATTTCAACTTAAATATAATTTTTTTAACTTTTATTATTATTTGAGTCAGGGTCTTACTCTGTTGCCCAGGCTAGAGTACAGTAACATGATCTCAGCTCACTGCAACCTCTGCCTCCCAGATTCAAGCAATCCTCCCACCTCATCCTCCCAAGTAGCTGGGACTACGGGTGTGTGCCACTATGCCCAGATAATTTTTGTAGCTCTTTTTTTTTAGAGATGGGGTTTCACCATGTTCCCCAAGCTGGTCTTGAAGTCCTGAGCTCAAGTGATCCACCCATCTTCGCCTCCCAAAGTGCAGGGATTACAGGGGTGAGCCACCACACCTGGTCCCATCTCTAGATTATTTATACCTAATACAATGTAAATACTATGTCAGTAGTTGTTACACTGTATACTTTAGGGAATAATCACAAGAAATGAAGTTGGTACATGTTCAATACGGACACAACCATCCTTTTTTTCCAATTATTTTTGATGTGTGGTTGGTTGAATCCATGGATGTGGAACTCACAGATATGGAGGGTAAACTCTAGAGAGAGAGAGAGTGTGTGTGTGTGTGTGTTTGTATGTGTATGGTGTTGGTGGTGGAGTAAAATATATATAACATAAAATTCATAAAGTTGACAATTTTTAAGTTCAGCATACCTTCACCTTCACATTGTTCAACCAACACCACCACCATTTCCCGAACTTTCTTATCTTCCCAAACTATACACATTAAATGGTAACTCAGCTGTTTAGCTGTTAGTCCAGCCCAGCTCTGCCTCAGTGAACTATGCTGTGCTCTGCTCCACTGAGGTGCAGGGCTGACTGTATCATCACCAGCAGGGGGGATGGCTGGCCCCAACCTGAGGAGGAGAAAAAGAAGGAGGTACGCAGGTCCCTGGGGTTTCTGGTTGTATTCTTGTCCCTAGGCCCCTGCGTTGTCCCTTAGTGAGGGAGAAACCTTATGATCCTGGCCCAGCCTTGCAGGCTCCCCCGGCATAGAGACACATGCTCTGTGCTGTCTTCTAGGGGCTGCTGCTGCCCTATGTCTCCTGGCCAGTTGACATTTTGGCAACCATGAAGTGACCTGAAGCGAGCCTCCATTTACTGATATTATAATTGGAGCCTTGGTACCATTCACCCAATCTCGCTGAGCCAGCAGGGGTCTCTGGTGAGTCTCCTCTCAGATTTCAAATCTTCCTAATTTTGGTTTGAGATTCATACTTTGTTCAAGCAACCAATTCCACACTTGATGGAGCTGGAATTAAAGTTCTGCTTCTAAGGACACAATCATAGACACTGGTTATTTTACCTAGGCTTTGATTGGAATGGCAAATTTTCAGATATGACCAGACTGCTTTAAAACATTGAGGTTGTTTTTGTTTTGTTTTTGTTTTTTAGAGACAGGCTTTTACTCTGTTGCTCAGGCTGGAGTGCAATGGCATGATCATAGCTCACTGCAGCCTCAAACTTGGGGGGGTCAAGCTGTCCTCTTGCCTCAGTGACCTAAGTAGCTGGGGCTATAGGTGCATTCCACCATGCCTGGCTAAGTTTTTGTTTTGTTTTGTTTTTTGTCTTTTCTTAGAGACTGGGTCTGGCTTTGTTGCCCAGGTTGGTCTTGAACTTCTGGCTTGAGGAGATCCTCCTGCCTTTGCCTCCCAAAGCACTAAAGCACTGGGATTACAGGTGTGAGCCACCGCACCAGCCAAGGTTTACTTTATAGAGCTGATAAAAAAGATTTGGGAAGATTGACTCGCCATTGCAGAACAATCATGTATTTGGGTCATGTTTAAGTCAATATCTCACACCATTAGGAAGGTTCATTCCTAAGAAGTTGAGTCTCATGGAGGGGGGAATATTACAAAGGACCAAAGCTGAATTTTAAACAAGAGAGAAGTGGTCCTGGAAACTGTTTCAGACTACATGACTGTCCCTTTGATCAAAGCAATTCCTTGAGCAATCATTATTGTTCAAAGGTTCCCTAACAAGGTCCCTGACCTTGCAGTAAGTAAAAGATGTCACTTTCTGACAAGCCCAGGAACCTCAAGATATTTTTGGGGACTTCAGGAAGAGAGGATTTCACCCAATGCATACAGGTATTATGGGAACAGTCTGATGATGGATCCTTGGCTTGACTTCTTAGCCTCAAGGCTTTTAAAAGTCTAATCCAAAATTCCTTATGAATGTTCCAACAAAACCAACTTAAAAGAGCCTAGGTGGCCACTCACTATTCTTATTGCCCCCTATGCAAAGAATCAGGCCAAATATATTACTAAACCTTATTTTGAAAGTAGATTGCGAGCCAGGCGTGGTGGCTCACACCTATAATCCCAGCACTTTGGGAGGCCTAGGCGGGTGGATCTATTGAGGTCAGGAGTTCGAGACCAGCCTGGCCAACATGGTGAAGCCCTGTCTCTACTAAAATTATAAAAATTTGCTGGGCGCAATGGTGGGTGTCTGTAATCCCAGCTACTTGGGAGGCTTAGAAACGAGAATCACCTGAACCCAGGAGGTGGAGGTTGTAGTGAGCCGAGATCGCACCACTGCACTCCAGCCTGGGCCACAAAGTGAGATTCCATCTCAAAAAAAAAAAAAAGAGAGAGAGAGTAAATTGCGGCGGGACCAGGCACAGGCAGCATTTTGGGAGGCCAAGATGGGCAGATCACTTGAGGCCAGGAGTTAGAGACCAGCCTGGCCAACACAGTAAAGCCCCATCTTTACCAAAAATACAAAAAACAGCCGAACATGGTGGTGCTTGCCTGTAATCCCAGCTACTTGGGAGGCCAAGGCAGGAAAATTGCTTGAACCCAGTGGACAGAGGTGGCAGTGAGCCAAGATTGCCACTGCACTCCAGCCTAGGCAACAGAGCGAGACTCTTGTCTCAAAAAATAAAATCAAATAAATAAATAAAATAAATATTTTTAAAAAGAAAGTAAATTGGTCCCACTAAGATTAATCTTTGGTAAAAATGGGGAATTGAAGAGGAAAAAAAAAAGTACATTCTATCAAAATTATAGCATACCTATTATTAAATTCCAGCCTTGACTATTTTTTTAAATTTATTATTTGCATAGAATTTGGACTAAGTCCTGAATTCTTTCCTGTCTGCAAGTCTTGAAATTGATGTTTCTAAATTTTTCTCCCACTTTTCTGACTTGAAATCACTAAAATTAAAACTGCTTTTTCCTGAAGCCTGGCAAACTGAAACTGGACAATTTTACGTAAACTTCAGAAAAGTCACCATAGTAGCTTACATATAGAAACCTTTGTGGGCTGGGCGTGGTGGCTCATGCCTGTAATCTCAACGCTTTGGGAAGCCGAGGTGGGAGGATCGCTTGGGAGGGAGCCCAGGAGTTCAGGACCAGCCTGGGCAACATAGTAAGAGACTACTTTTTAGTCTCTACAAAAAAATTTTACAAAGAATGTTAGTGAAGTGTGGTGATATGCACCTGTAGTCCCAGCTATCTTGGGAGGCTGAGGTAGAGGATCACTTGAGCCCAGGAGTTCCAGACTATAGTGAGCTATGATCATGCCACTGCACTCCAGCCTAGGTGACAGAGCAAGACCCTTCTCAAAAAAAAAAAAAAAAAAAATGCTTTAAGCCCAGCATCTAAAAATCTCAACTGGCTGCCCCCTGTTCTCAAAAACTAAGTATCTATATCCCAGATAAATCAGATAACATCACTAAGTTAATGGCCGATATAAAGACCCAAATAAAAGATTGGCTAAACAGCTGGTTTAGATCTTGGGAAACTTGATAACAAAAAAAGTTTCTTTTTCTAAAAATTATAATCATTTGTTATTTTTTGTCTACACTGCTGTTATGGCATTTGAGGGTTTTTTTTTTTTTTTTTTGGCTGAGACAGGGTCTTACTCTGTGGCATCAGCTGGAGTGCAGTGGTGCCACCTCAGCTCACTGCAGTCTCTACCTCCTGGGCTCAGTCCTCCCACCTCACCCTCCCAAGTAGCTGGGACTTAACAGGTACACACCATCATGCCAGGCTAATTTTTGTAGTTTTTGTTTTATAGAGATGGGGTTTGCCATGTTACCAAGGCTGGTCTTGAACTCCTGAGCTCCAAGGGTCTGCCTGCCTCGGCCTCCTAAAGTGCTAGGAACCCATGACAGTTACATCTTCAGTGTGAAATGTTAAATATACCTTCCCCCTGCCCGCCCCCCAAAAAAAGACCATCTTGACTAATCAGATCATTGTAACTATACATTAAGCCTTACATAGGAAAATATTAGTGTTAAACTTCAAATAAAACCAAAATGAAAACTGCCCATTTCACCCTTACCCCCAGCCTCAGCAACCACCATTCTACTTTTTCTTCCTCTATGAATTTGATTACTCTGAGCATCTCTTAGAAGTGTCATCCTACAATATTTGTTCTTTTGTGACATGCTTATTTCACTTATCGTAATGTCCTCAAGGAAATGGCTGATTCCAATGCTTAGCAGACGTGTTTTCTCTGATGCATCTGGAACAGCTTCTTATGCCAGAAAGTAAGGAGTGCTCAACAAAATGGTGGAGGTGTGTCAAGGAACTTAGAAGCTAGGTTGAAAAGACTCCCATTGGTAGACTCCCGTTATTAGAAAGGAATGCTGCTTACATTAGAATGCCAGCTAATAAATGTAGAAAAAGTGGTAGAATTAGAAAATAGTCACCATTTTGCAACCTCATAGTAATAATTGATACAGTCAAAGATCATCAATGGATATTAAAACTAGTGAATAAAAGTTTGATGAAGAACAGAATATTCACGTAATTGCAAAGTGTCTCCTATGAATCACTAATTACAAAGGAAAAAATAGAAACTTTGAAATGGAAAACATGGCACATACCACCTAAATCAAGTACAAAGTTATCAGTAATGGGACTAATGGATATGATCCTCTGACAAGGATATGACATCACTTAGGTAATACTCTTGTCAAAAATACATAGCCTAAATCTAATAATGAGGGAAGCATGAGACAAACCCAAATTAGGGACATACTACAAATAACTGACCAATTGTCTTCTAAAATGTTCGTGTTACAAAGAAGTCTGAGGAACTGGTTCCAGGCTGAAAGAAACAGAAAGGAAATGACACCTAAATGCAATACATGCTACTGGATTAGGATGTTTAAAATTGCTCCGAAAGAACATTTGGACAATTGGTAAATTTTAAATTTAAGTTGAAATATGGACTAATATTTTATCAATGTAAAATTTTCTGATTTTGATAATTGTACTTTGGTTATGTAAGAGAATTTTTTTTTTTTTTTTTCAGAAAATAGAAACTGAAGTATTTTTGGGTAAAGGGCATGAAAGCTAAACGTGACTCTCAAATGGTTCAGAAAAAAATTATATGTATATTGCAATAACTAGGATTATCCAGAGAAAAAGAGCCAACAAGCTATATATAGAGAAAAATTTATTTTAAGGAATTGGCTCACACGATGGAGGCTTGGAGAGTTGAAAGTCTGATGGGGTAGGCCCCATGTTGGAGACTGCACTTTGAGTCTTCATCTTGAGGGAAGAGCTGCAGTTTGAGTCTTGAGGCAGTCTTGTGGTAGAATTTCTTCTTACTCAAGGGAGGTCAGTCTTTTTTCTATTAAGACCTTCAGCTGATTGGATGAGTTCCACCTACATTATGAAGAGTAATCTGCTTTACTAAAAGTCCACCAATCTAAATGTTGATTTCATCTAATAAACACCTTCACAAAAAGATCCAGAATATTTGAGAAAATATCTGGGCATCGTGGCCCAGCCAAGCTGACACATAAAATTTACTACCATATATGCATATGTATATACAGTATACATGTATATATAGATGGCTGGGCAAGGTGGCCCACACCTGTAATCCCAGCACTTTGGGAGGCCAAGGTGGGGCAGATCATCGAGGTCAGGCGTTTGAGACCAGCCTGACCAATGTGGTGAAACCCAGTCTCTCTAAAACTACAAAAAATTAGCCGAGCTTGGTGGCAGGCGCCTGTAGTCCCAGCTATTCGGGAGGCTGAGACAGGAAAATTGCTTGAACCCGGAAGGCGGAGATTGCAGTGAGCCGCGATTGTGCCACTGCACTCCAGCCTGGGCGACAGAGCAAGACTCTGCCTCAAAAAAAAAAAAAAAAAATGATAAAGCAAATATGCAAAATGTTAATATTTGGTAAAGGGTATAAAGGACTTCTTATGCTCTCCTTGCAAGTGTAGGTTTGATGGTATTTCAAAGTGAAAAGTTTAAGAGATAAAAGGAATGGTATACAATGGAATAAACTCCAGCTGTTAAAGTGATAGAAGGGGTTTTACTGATGTAAAAACATGTCCAAGATAAATTAGAGGAAAAAGCAAGGTGCAGAATATTGTAGGTACATTAATCCTTCTTTATCCTTGGTTTCACTTTCCATGGTTTCAGTAGCCCATCAGCCATGGTTTGAAAATATTAAATGGAAAATTCGAGAAATAAACAATTTTAAGTTTTAAATTGTGTATGGTTTTGAGTAGCATAATGAAATCTTGTGCTATCCACTCCATCCTGCTTGGGACGTGAATCATCTCTTTGTTTACTGTATCCATGCTGTGTATGCTACCTGCCTGTTGGCCACTTAGTGGCCCTCTCAGTTATCAGAGATTGACAGATCACAAGAAGGGTGAGTACAGTACAATAAGATATTTTGAGAAAGAGAGAGAGACCACATTCACATAACTTTTATTATAGTAAATTGTTATAATTGTTCTATTTTATTATTGTTAAACTCTTACTGTGCCTAATTTGTAAATGAAACTTTATCATAGGTATATGCGTATAGGAAAATATATACTCTATATATGGTTCTGTACTATTTGCAGTTTCAGGCATCTCTTGAGTCTTGCAATATATTCCCTGAGGATAAATGGGGGGACTACTGTTGTAGTATGACATCATTTGAGTGGAAAAAATTATGTATGCTGGTATATGTTTATAAATTCCCAAAATACCTCTGCAAAGATAAACAAAACCTGGTGACAGTCTATTAGTCCCTAAGGCAACCATGATTGCCTTAGTGGAGAAAAACTGGGAGGCAGGTGATGAGAAAGAGAATTTTCATTATACATGCTTTAGTAACTTTTAGAATTTTGTGCTTGTGCATATTACTTATTAAAAAACAACACCTTCACACAAAGTATCATGATATGCATCTTTGTATTTTTGCCTGTATTTTTTACTTTCTTCTTAGGTTAGAGTCTTTAAAAAGTAATTTCTGGATGAAAGGACTTGAGCATTTTTAAGGCTTTTTATTCATGTTGCCAAATTGCCTCTAGAAAAGTGAACAAATTAGGCCGGTGCAGTGGCTCACACCTGTAATCCCAGCACTTTGGGAGGCCGAGGTGGGTGGATCACCTGAGGTCAGGAGTTTGAGACCACCCTGGCCAACATGGCAAAACCCCATCTCTACCAAAAATACAAAAATTAGTCAGGTGTGGTGGCATGTGCCTATAATCCCAGCTACTCAGGAGGCTGAGGGAGGAGAATCACTTGAACCCAGGAGGTGGAGGTTGCAGTGAGCCAAGATCGCGCCACTGCACTCTAGCCTGGGAGACAGACTGAGACTCCATCTCAACAAAAAAAAAAGTGAACAAATTAATATTTCTAACATATTTACATGTATTTACTGTAACCTCTTTGGAGTAGTGTTGTGGGGAGGTATTTTTTAATAGCCTATTGAGATATTATGACATACCATATAATTCATCCTTTAAACTGTACAGTTCCATGGTTTTTTGTATTTTCACAGAGTTGTGTACCACCACCACAATCCATTTTAGGACATTTCCATCACCCCAAAAAGAAACCCCTGTTAGCATTCACTTCGTATTCCAACCCCCACACCCAGCTCTTGGCAGCCACTGATCCAACTTCTGTCTCTATAGAGTTTTCTATTCTGGACATTTCATATAAATGGAATCGTATAATATGTGGTCTTCTGTGTTGGCTTCTTTAGGATAATGGTGTCAAGGTTCATCCATGATGTAGCATGTATCAGCAGTTCTTTTTATGGTTGAATAATATTCCATTGCATAGATATACCACATTTTGTTTATCCATTTATCAGTTAATGAGTTATTTCTACCTTTTGGCTATTGATTAGTGTTGCTATGAACATTTGTATACAACTTTTTATGTGGACATATATTTTTTCTTTTGGATATATATGGAGAGGAGTGGAATTGCTGAGTCATATGGTGATTCTATGTTTAACTTTTCTTTGAGACAGAGTCTCACTCTGTCACCCAGGCTGGAGTGCAGTGGCATGATCTCGGCTCACTGCAACCTGCGCCTCCCAGGTTTCAACGATTCTTGTGCCTCAGCCTCCTGAGTGGCTGGGATTACAGGCGTGAACCACCGCTCCCAGCCCTGTGTTTAACCTTTTTAGGAACTGTCAGGCTTTTTTCCAAGGTGACTGTACCAGTTTACGTCCCCACCAGGAGTTTACAAGGGTTCCAGTTTCTCCACATTCTTGCCAATTCTTCTTGTTATCCATCTTTTTTATTGTAGCCATCCCAGTTTTGATTTGCATTTCCCTGATGGCTAATGATGTTGAGCACCTTTTCATGTACTTGCTTGGATAGTGTATTCTCTTCTCTCTCTCTCTCTTAAATTTTTTTTTTTTTTTTTTCTGAGACAGGGTCTTGCTCTGTCACCCAGGCTGGAGTGCAATGGCGCAATCATGGCTCACTGCACTCTCAACCTCCCAGGCTCAAGCGATCTGCCTACCTCAGCCCCTCGAGTAGCTAAGATCACAGGTGCATGCCACCATGCCAAGCTAATTTTTAAACTTTATATAGAGACAGGTTCTCTCTATGTTGCCCAGGCTGGTCTCGAACTCCTGGACTCAAAGCTATCTTCCTGCCTCAGCCTCCCAAAGTGCTGGCATTACAGGTGTAAGCTACCATGCCAGCTTAAAATTTGTTTGTTTATTTTGAGACAGTGTCTCGCTCTGTTGCCCAGGCTGGAGTGCAGTGGCGCGATCTCAGCTCACTGCAAGCTCCGCCTCCTGGGTTCACGCCATTCTCCTGCCTCAGCCTCCCATGTAGCTGGGACTACAGGTGCCCGCCACCACACCTGGCTAATTTTTTTTTTTGTATTTTTAGTAGAGACGGGGTTTCACTGTGTTAGCCAGGATGGTCTCGATCTCCTGACCTTGTGATCCACCCGCTTCGGCCTTTTAATTTTTTTTATAAGATGAGATCACACTATGTTGCCCAGACTCATCTCGAATTCCTCAGCTCAAGCAGTCCTCCCACCTAAGACTCCTGAGTAGCTGGGACTACAGGTACATGCTGCCACACCCAACTTGAGTAGTGTATTCTTTTTTTTTTTTTTTTTCTTTTTTTGAGACAGGATCTCACTCTGTCACCCAGACTGGAGTTCAGTGATGTGGTCACAGCTCACTGCAGCCTTGACCTCCTGGGCTCAAGCAATCTTCCCACCTCAGCCTCTTGAGTAGCTGGGACTATAGGTGCACACTACCAAGTCTAGCTAATTTTTAAGTTTTTTGTAGACATGAGGTCCCACTATGTTGCCCAGGCTGGTCTCAAACTCCTGGGCTCAAGCAATCCTCCCACCTCAGTCACCCAAAGTGCTGGGATTACAGATATGAGCCACCACACCCAGCAGTAGCATATTCTTTGTAACAGAATCCCAATGAATTGAAAGCTGTGAAGTTTACTTTGCTTCTTATTTTAGTTTTAAAAACTGTAATTATGATTTAAGTTATAACAGTGCTATAAGGTTTTTTTGTTTTCAAACACCCTGATGCATTTTGTTCCAGGTTAGGAAAGCCATTCTTGGGAGAGTAGTATGTACAATGGATTATATGATGATGTAGTCAAGGCTCTTGTTTATAAAAAGCAAGTATCAGTCTAGGCAACAAAAAGTGATACCCCTGTCTCTAAAAAACATTTTAAAATTAGCTGGGTGTGGGGGCACATACCTGTGGTCCCAGCTACTTGGGAGGCTGGAGCGGGAGGATCGATTGCTTGAGCCCAGGAAGTCAAGCCCGCAGTGAGCCACAATCATGCCACTGTACTGCAGCCTGAGTGACAGAGCGGGACCCTATCTCAAAAAAATAAGAGATATCACTTACCAACTTTGCCTGACCTAAAAGAAGTATTGGATAGGTGATAAAATCTTTAGGATGACTTAAGAAAACTACGCTTAGAAAAGGCCAGGAACAAAAGGATGCTGGCCACACAGCCAAAGAGCATATCACAGAATCCATCTAGCAGGGACATAGTTTGCATGGCTAGCAATGCTGTCCCTGGACATTGCCACTTTATTTGCCCCAGGAGATTGATCCTGCTCTAAGAATTCACCACTTCTTCACTTCTCTGCACCAGCAGCTTCAGATTCAAAATCTCAAGCAGATGTATCTGATAAAGGATATCAGATTATATGCCTTCATCCTAGCTTCCAGTAAAGCTGATCTGTTTAGTGGTAGACAAGGCTCAAAAGTGGAAATGTCCTCAAAGCAGAGGGTTTCACATGCAAAATGTGATCATCCAAAAATAAAAACAGTCTTTTTTTTTTAAGACGGAGTTTCGCTCTCGTTGCCCAGGCTGGAGTGCAATGGTGCGATCTCAGCTCACCGCAACTTCCGCCTCCCCGCAACTTCCACCTCCCCGCAACTTCCACCTCCCGGGTTCAAGCAATTCTCCTGCCTCAGCCTCCGGAGTAGCTGGGACTACAGGCATGTGCCACCACGCCCGGCTAATTTTGTATTTTTAGTAGAGACAGGGTTTCTCCATGTTGGTCAGGCTGGTCTCGAGCTCCTGACCTCAGGTTGTCCACCTGCCTCGGACTCCCAAAGTGCTGGGATTACAGGCGTGAGCCACTGCACCCGGCCAAAAAACAAAATTTTTAAAGTCCTCTGTAAGGGAGCATAATTTTTTGTAAGCCAAAAAATATTTAGTAATCTGACAAATTTTTTGCTGCTGTTGGTAAGAATCTTTTAATGAGGTCCTTAAGAGTCTCAGATTATATCAGCATGTCCAGAGTTTGAATGCTGTATTAGGACGTTTTACGTTGCTATGAAGGAATACCTGAGGTTGGGTGACTTATTTAAAAAAAGAGATTTATTTGGCCCAGGGTTCTGCAGGCCGTATAGGAAGCATGGGGCTGGCATCTGCTCCTGGTGAGGGCCTCAGGAAGTTTACAGTCACGGTAGGTGAAGGGGGAGGAGGCACATCACATGATGAGAGCAGGAGCAATTGAGGGTGGGAAGTGCCACACTTTTAAACAGCCAGATCTCAGGTGAGTGACAACTAAACTCACTACCATGAGGAGAGCACCAAGCCATTCATGAGGGATCTGCTCCCATGACCCAAACACCTCCCACTAGGCCCACCTCCAACATTGGAGGTCACGTTTCTTTTTTATTTTTTTGAGACGGGCTTTCACTCTCTTGCCCAGGCAGTAGCATGTTCATGACTCACTGCAGCTTCAACCCCTCAGGCTCAAGTGATCCTCCTGCCTCAGCTTCCTGAGTAGCTGGGCCCACAGTCACACACCACCATGCTTTGCTAACTTTTAAATTTTTTGTAGAGACGAGATCTCACTGTGTTGCCCAAGCTGGTCTCAAACTGGTGGGCTCAGGTGATCCTCCAGCCTCACCCTCCCAAAGTGTTGGGATTACAGGCATGAGCTACCATGCCCAGCCAAGGAAATTACATTGCAACATGAGATTTGGAGGGGACAAAACATCCAAACCACATTAAATAGCTTTGGATGATTTGCTATTAATGTCTTCTGTCACCTTAAAAAGAAATTATAAGTATTGGCCAGGCGAAATGGACTCAAGTAAGCCTTTCCAATCTACATGAAATAATCAGAACATAGGGCCGAGTGCAGTGGTTCATGCCTGTAATCCCAGCACTTTGGGAGGCCGAGGCAGGTGGATCATCTGAGGTCAGGAGTTCAAGACCATCCTGGCAAACATGGTGAAACCTTGTCTCTACTAAAAATACAAAAATTAGCTAGGCATGGTGGTGTGCACCTGTAGTCCCAGCTGTCAGGAGGTAGAGGCAGGAAAATTGCTTGAAGCTGGGATGCAGAGGTTGCAGTGAGCCAAGATCATGCCACTGCACTCCAGCCTGGGTGACAGACTGAGACTCCATCTCAAAAAAAAAAAATTACAAGTATTATTCTGTATATATTGCTAGACCTTTAATTAAGTGAGCTTTGACATGACAAGTTTTCTATCTAAGACCACGTTAACATAGGGACATAAAAAAATGTACCCAGAATTGGCCTGGGCACGGTGGCTTGCTTGAACACAGGAGGTGGAAGTTGCAGTAAACCAAGGTGGTGCCACTGCACTCCAACCTGGGCACCAGAACTATTAAGTTTTTTTCTGAGTATGTGCTACCTTCTTTACTTTTGGTTGTGGAACCACACATTGGAACTCAAACTCTTGAATTTTACTCCTAACCTGTAACAATCTGGTGCTTTGTAATCAAATTCCCATTTGGAAAATGGAATTGTCTTTCCATTTGGGAGACTTCTGTTTTCCCTCAAACTAATTTTATTTTATTTTATGTTTTTTTTTTTAAATTTATTTATTTTTTATTGATAATTCTCGGGTGTTTCTCACAGAGGGGGATTTGGCAGGGTCATAGGACAATAGTGGAGGGAAGGTCAGCAGATAAACAAGTGAACAAAGGTCTCTGGTTTTCCTAGGCAGAGGACCCTGCGGCCTTCCGCGGTGTTTGTGTCCCTGGGAACTTGCGATTAGGGAGTGGTGATGACTCTTAAGGAGCATGCTGCCTTCAAGCATCTGTTTAACAAAGCACATCTTGCACCGCCCTTAATCCATTTAACCCTGAGTGGACACAGCACTTGTTTCAGAGAGCACAGGGTTGGGGGTAAGGTCACAGATCAACAGGATCCCACGGCAGAAGAAGTTTTCTTAGTACAGAACAAAATGAAAAGTCTCCCATGTCTACTTCTTTCTACACAGACACGGCAACCATTCGATTTCTCAATCTTTTCCCCACCTTTCCCGCCCTTCTATTCCACAAAGCCGCCATTGTCATCCTGGCCCGTTCTCAATGAGCTGTTGGGCACACCTCCCAGACGGGGTGGTGGCCGGGCAGAGGGGCTCCTCACTTCCCAGTAGGGGCAGCTGGGCAGAGGCGCCCCTCACCTCCTGGACGGGGCGGCTGGCCGGGCGGGGGGCTGACCCCCCCACCTCCCTCCCGGACAGGGCGGCTGGCCTGGCAGGGGGCTGACCCCCCCACCTCCCTCCCGGATGGGGGTGCTGGCCTGGCGGGGGGCTGACCCCCCCCACCTCCCTCCCGGACTGGGTGGCTGCCAGGCGGAGACGCTCCTCACTTCCCAGACTGGGTGGCTGTCGGGCGGAGAGGCTCCTCACTTCTCAGACGGGGCGGCTGCCGGGCGGAGGGGCTCCTCACTTCTCAGACGGGGCGGTTGCCGGGCAGAGGGTCTCCTCACTTCTCAGACGGGGCGGCCGGGCAGAGATGCTCCTCACCTCCCAGACGGGGTCGCAGCCGGGCAGAGGTGCTCCTCACATCCCAGACGGGGTGGCGGGGCAGAGGCGCTCCCCACATCTCAGACGATGGGCGGCTGGGCAGAGACGCTCCTCACTTCCTAGATGGGATGGCGGCGAGGAAGAGGTGCTCCTCACTTCCTAGGTGGGATGGCGGCCGGGCGGAGACGCTCCTCACTTTCCAGACTGGGCAGCCAGGCAGAGGGGCTCCTCACATCCCAGACGATGGGCGGCCAGGCAGAGACGCTCCTCACTTCCCAGACGGGGTGGCAGCTGGGCAGAGGCTGCAATCTTGGCACTTTGGGAGGCCAAGGCAGGCGGCTGGGAGGTGGAGGTTGTAGCGAGCCGAGATCACGCCACTGCACTCCAGCCTGGGCACCATTGAGCACTGAGTGAACCAGACTCCGTCTGCAATCCCGGCACCTCGGGAGGCCGAGGCTGGCGGATCACTTGCGGTTAGGGGCTGGAGACCGGCCTGGCCAACACAGCGAAACCCCGTCTCCACCAAAACCAGTCAGGCGTGGCGGCCCGAGCCTGCAATCGCAGGCACTCGGCAGGCTGAGTCAGGAGAATCAGGCAGGGAGGTTGCAGTGAGCCGAGATGGCAGCAGTACAGTCCAGCTTCGGCTCAGCATGAGAGGGAGACCGTGGAAAGAGAGGGAGAGGGAGACCGTGGGGAGAGGGAGAGGGAGAGCTCCTAATTTTGTATTTGTAGTAGAGACGGGGTTTCTTCATGTTGCTCAGGCTGTGTCTTGAACTCCCGATCTCAGGTGATCTCAAACTAATTTTATAACCTGTCAATCTGTTAACTAACATTAACTTTGTAAATTTTATGCAAAATATTGTCTAGGTAATATAGAGAATAAAGGAAGTAGATAGGTGCTCTCGCTCCCTCCATAGCAGTAAACTCTATGTGATGACCACTAATTAATAACCTGTATTCCCCTGGTGATCCTGGGAACGAAAGTGATTTCATAGTGAGGACTTTTTTTTTTTAATTAAATTTAGGCTTGAGGGATGGTGTTTGTTCTTTGTTCATGTAAGACAGTGTCTTGCTTTGTCACCCGGGCTGGAGTACATGATTGAGGCTAACTGCAGTCTCGACATCCTGGGCTCAAGCAATTCTCCCACCTCAGCCTCCCAAGTACCTGGGGCTACAGGCACATGCCACCACACCCAGCTAATTTTTTAAATTTTTGTAGAGATGGGGTCTTAACTATGTTGCCTGGGAAATCTGGCTTTTTAATAAAGAGTCTTAGTCATGAATAGAATATTTCCTTTCAATCCATTATTTAAATGAATTTTAAAGGTGCCTTTTTTCTCCTCCTTTTTTTTTTTAGTTTAATACAATTTTTTAGTAAAATGAAGAAATGGATGGACATGTCAAATCTACCACAAGAATTTCGTGAACGTATAGAAAGGCTAGAGAGAAATTTTGAGGTGTCTACTGTAATATTCAAAAAATATGAGCCAATTTTTTTAGATATATTTCAAAATCCATATGAAGAACCACCAAAGTTACCACGAAGCCGGAAGCAGAGGTGAGCCCTTAATCCTTATATAATTGACATAAAGATTATGATACAAACTAAGAGAATATACTTTTTTGAAAGTCTGTTTTTTATGAAAAGTATTCCTGCAAAGAACTTAATTATTTTCTTTTTAAATCCATGTACAATTATCCATATTTGGAAATTCAGGATAATACTTTTACTTATTTTTCTTTCTGTTGTTGTTTTTTTTTTTTTTTTTTTTTTTTTGAGGAGTCTCATTCTGTTGCCCAGGCTGGAGTGCAGTGTCCTGATCTCGGCTCACTGCAACCTCTGTCTCCCAGGTTCAAGCAATTCTCCTACCTTAGCCTCCTGAGTAGCTGGGATCACAGGTGTGCACCACCCCGTCTGGCTCATTTTTTGTATTTTTAGTAGAGACCAGGTCTCACCGTGTTGGCCAAGGTGGTCTCGAACTCCTAACCTCAGGTGATCTACCCACCTCGGCCTCCCAGAGTGCTGGGATTACAGGCATGAGCCACCACACCCAGCCCTATGTTCTGATTATTTTATGCAGGTTGGAAAGGCTTACTTAAGTCCATTTCATAAATAATAGATTACTTTTCTTCATGAATGGAATTTCATGTGTAATTTGATCTATTTGATATTTACATTTACTATTTCAGTTTACATGATATTTAGCGAGCTAGTCAGACAAAAAGTAATTTTTTTCCCTTTTTAGGAGGATTCCTTGCAGTGTTAAGGATCTGTTTAATTTCTGTTGGACACTTTTTGTTTATACTAAGGGTAAGATGACACTTTCAGTGGTCTTACATTTCTACTCTGGGAACTTGGTGCTATTTGACATGAGAGGTTTCTGGTTTTTGTGTCTTTTTTTTTTTTTTTTCCCTTATAAAGGTAATTTTCGGATGATTGGGGATGACTTAGTAAACTCTTATCATTTACTTCTATGCTGCTTGGATCTGATTTTTGCCAATGCGATTATGTGCCCAAATAGACAAGACTTGCTAAATCCATCATTTAAAGGTAAGACCTTTTATTTATTTTTGAAAACTGATTATCAGTTTTTGGAAAAAGATTTTTAAAAGTTGACTATTTTTTTTTCCCTCTGCCCTTCCTACACTGTCAAACTAGGTTTACCATCTGATTTTCATACTGCTGACTTTACGGCTTCTGAAGAGCCACCCTGCATCATTGCTGTACTGTGTGAACTGCATGATGGACTTCTCGTAGAAGCAAAAGGAATAAAGGAGCACTACTTTAAGCCATATATTTCAAAACTCTTTGACAGGAAGGTACTGTACTTATAATTAGATGACTGAGATGTTTACAGATCACCAGTAATGTGAAAAGAAAAAAATGTTTTAAGCAAGTTCTCAGCATTATAGAACTTAGGGTCAGGATTCCCAGGCTTTAGCCTCTACTGTGATTCAGAATTTCCTTATGATCTTGTGTGATGTGAGAAACAGAGCTGTTGAAAAATGTGACCAACTATATGTACTGTTGGGTAAATGTACTGTCAGAGGCAACCGTAGGAGGTACTGATAAAGAATTGTAAAGAATAGAACATCAGAGTAGGGCTGACAAATAATTAGGAAAAACAGGAGGTCAGAATAAGCTGACTAATTTACTGCCACAATTTGAATAACTGCTGACTGTTGACTAAAAGTAGGATGATGTATAACAACCACAGTTTTAATTCCATGTAAATCGAGCAGAAAATCCATGATAGTTTTGTAGCCACTTGTAGGCTATCTGTGTGCATTCTGGACATTGTCTCCTTGGTAATTAACTTAGCTATTTCTACATTTATGAATTGGCTTGTTCCTTTGGGTTTCAATTTCTTATTTCCCCAACGTCGAGCCATTAAATGTAGTTAAGCCTCAAGATTTCTCTTTGGTAAAAGGAGGGGTTTGGATTATGGATCCCACTTTTCAAATATTATGAGATTTTTCTTTAAGCATAAATTCTTCCCTTACTGGTTTCTTCTTCTTTTATACAAATTTTTGTATTCAGTCTTGTGTTCCTCAGATATCTATATTATGGCCCATTGTCTGTATGCTAAACATCTCTAGCAAAGTAAACTTTTTTTAAAGGATCCCAGGGACTGGGCGCGGTGGCTCACGCCTGTAATCCCAACACTTTGGGAGGCCAAGGCAGGTGGATTGCTTGAGCCCAAGAGTTCCAGACGAACCTGAGCAACATGGCAAAACCTTGTCTCTACAAACAATACAAAAATTAGTTGGGCATGGTGGTGCACAACTGTAGTCCCAGCTACTTGGCACGCTGAGGCTGCAGTGAGCCATGATTGTACCACTGCACTGCAGCCCTGGTGACAGAACAAAACCCTGTCTCAAAAAAAAAAAAAAGTTAAAAAAAAAAGTTATTTGCATGCTAAATAGTTTATCCTAGTCTGAAAGAAATATTTAATAATTCTGTTTTGTGTGTGTGTTATAACAATATGGAAATTTAGATAAATTTCACGTTTGTGTGTGTATTAATATGCTTAATTATATGGTGTCCCAAAATAATTTTTTGTTCACAGATATTAAAAGGAGAATGCCTCCTGGACCTTTCAAGTTTTACTGATAATAGGTAAATATCTAGTACTAATGGTGCCTGGCTTATCACAAGCTGTCATATTTGTTGATTTGTTGAAATTTGTTAAGCATAACAGTATATCAAAGTAAGACCTCCAAATTCAAGTTCTCTCTGCTTTAGTGGCATTGAATGTTTATTATCACTAAGACTTGTTGGCTTTAAATACATTTATTTTAAGAAATCAAGGCCAGGCACGGTGGCCCACACCTGTAAACCCATCACTTTGGAAGGCCAAGGCAGGCAGATTGCTTGAGCTCAGAAGGTTGGAGACCAGCCTGGGCAACATGGTGAAACCCTGTCTCTACAAAAAATACAAAAATCAGCCAGACGTAGTGGTGTGAGCCTGTGGTCCCAGCTACTTGGGAGGTTGAGGTTGGAGGATCGTTTGAATCTGGGAGGTTGTGGTTGCAGTGAGCCGTGATTGCACCACTGCACTTCAGTCTAGGTGACAGAGTGAGACCCTATTTCCAAAAAAAAAAAAAAAAAGAAAGAGGCCGGGCATGGTGGCTCACGCCTGTAATCCCAACACTTTGGGAGGCCAAGGCGGGCCGATCACTTGAGGTCAGGAGTTTGAGATCAGCCTGGCCAGAGATCAGCCTGGCCAACATGGTGAAACCGCATCTCTACTAAAAATTCAAAAATTATCTGGGTGTGGTGGTGCACACCTGTAATCCCAGCTGCTTGGGAGACTGAGGCAGGAGAATCACTTGAACCCAGGAGGCAGAGGCTGCAGTGAGCTGAGATCATGCCACTGCACTCCAGCCTAGGCGACAGAGCGAGATTCCATCTCAATTAAAAAAAAAAATTATTGATACTTACGTATTTATTTTTATTTTTTTAGAGATGGGATCTCACTGTGTTGCCCAGGCTGGTCTCTAATTCCTGGCCTCAAGCAATCCTCTCACCATAGCCTCCCAAAGTGCTAGGATTACAGGTATGACCCACCACACCCGGCCAATTGGCATTTAAAACAGCTACTCAGCCAGGCGTGCAATGGCTTATGCCTATAATCCCAGCACTTTCGGAGGCCAAGGCAGGCAGATCACGAGGTCAGGAGATTGAGACCATCCTGGCCAAAATGGTGAAACCCGGTCTCTACTAAAAATACAAAAATTAGCTCGGTGTGGTGGCACACGCCTGTAGTCCCAGCTACTTGGGAGGCTGAGGCAGGCGGATCGCTTGAACCCAGGAGGTGGAGGTTGCAGTAAGTTGAGATCGCACCACTGCACTCCAGCCTGGGCAGCAGAGCAAGACTCATCTCAAAAAAAAAAAAAAAAAGAAAGAAAAGAAATTAAGGCCGGGCACAGTGGCTCACACCTGTAATCCCAGCACTTTGGAAGGCCAAGGCAGCCAGATCGCTTGAGCTCAGAAGGTTGGAGACCAGCCTGGGCAACATGGTGAAACCTTGTCTCTACAAAAAATACAAAATCAGCCAGACGTAGTGGCGTGAGCCTGTAGTCCCAGCTACTTGGGAGGCTGAGGTGGGAGGATCATTTGAATCTGGGAGGTTGAGGTTGCAGTGAGCCATGATTGCACCACTGCACTTCAGCCTGCTTGACGGAGTGAGACCCTATTTCCAAAAAAAAAAACAAGAAAAAAAGAAAGAGGCCGGGCATGGTGGCTCACTCCTGTAATCCCAACACTTTGGGGGGCCGAGGTGGGCTGATCACTTGAGGTCAGGAGTTTGAGACCAGCCTGGCCAACATGGTGAAACCCCATCTCTACTAAAAATACAAAAATTATCTGGGTGTGATGGCGTGCACCTATAATCCCAGCTGCTTGGAAGACTGAGGCAGGAGAATCACTTGAACCCAGGAGGCGGAGGTTGCAGTGAGCCCAGATCACACCATTGCACTCCAGCCTAGGCAACAGAGCGAGATTCCATCTCAATTAAAGAAAAAAAATCATTGACACGTATTTATTTTTATTTTTTTAGAGATGGGATCTCACTGTGTTGCCCAGGCTGGTCTCTAATTCCTGGCCTCAAGCAATCCTCTCACCATAGCCTCCCAAAGTGCTAGGATTACAGGCATGACCCACCACACCCAGCCAAATGGCATTTAAAAGAGCTACTCAGCCAAGCTCGAAGTGACTCACACCTATAATCCTAGCACTTTGGGAGGCCAAGGTGGGCCAACATGGTGAAACCCCGTCTCTACTGAAAGTACAAAAACTATCCGGGCATGGTGGCACAAGCCTGTAGTCCCGGCTACTCAGGAGGCTAAGGCAGGAGAATTGCTTAAACCTGGGAGGTAGAGGCTGCAGTGTGCCAAGACTGGGCCACTGCATTCCAGCTTGGGTGACGGAGTGAGACTCTGTCTTAAAAACAAAAAACAGCCACTCTCTTGAGAAACTCATAAACAGACCCAATGACTCTGTATTTGATTTTACATTCTTTCATTAATCACATGTTGGCAGTGCCCATATTTTTTTTTGGAGACGGAGTCTCGCTCTGTCGCCCAGGCTGGAGTGCAGTGGCGCGATCTCAGCTCACTGCAAGCTCCGCCTCCCAGGTTCATGCCATTCTTCTGCCTCAGCCTCCCAAGTAGCTGGGACTACAGGCACCTCCCAAGTAGCTGGGACTACAGGCGCCCGCCACCACGCCCGGCTAATTTTTTGTATTTTTAGTAGAGATGGGGTTTCACCGTGTTAGCCAGGATAGTCTTGATCTCCTGACCTCGTGATCTGCCCGCCTCGGCCTCCCAAAGTGCTGGGATTACAGGCGTGAGCCACCGCGCCTGGCCCATTTTTTTTTTTTTTTTTTTTTTTTTTGAGACAGAGTCTTGTTCTGTTGCCAGGCTGGAGTGCAGTGGTGTAATCTTGGCTCACTGCAACCTCCACCTGCCATATTTCAAAGCCACTAGTGTTTCCTTAGTGATCAGAAACCATTTTCATAATTAGATTCAACTAGTTTTCAGATTAAGTATATGTAGTCTCTCACTTTTGAAAGTAATTTATTGGTTGTATATATGAATTTGAAGAATGTCCATAATCAGGTAGGACCCTCTGATATTGTTAGATGGTCAGAGTTAATAAAAATTAGAAAGTTGTCAAGTTTTCTAAGCTGTAAACACTAAATCTATCTTCAAGTCAAAATAAATCCATTGTGTAACTTAGTATTACAGCTTATAATAATTCTCTTTGCAGCAAAGCAGTGAATAAGGAGTATGAAGAGTATGTTCTAACTGTTGGTGATTTTGATGAGAGGATCTTTTTGGGAGCAGACGCAGAAGAGGAAATTGGAACACCTCGAAAGTTCACTCGTGACACCCCATTAGGGAAACTGACAGCACAGGCTAATGTGGAGTATAACCTTCAACAGCACTTTGAAAAAGTAATATAACCTAGCCTGGCCTCAATCTTGAATGATCTTTTTCTCTCTGTGTGTGATTCTACTAACAGCAGAAGCATCTTTCAAGTTAAATCTTGAGCTTCTTCTACTAATTCATATTTCTCATGAAAGCCTTAAAAGGTAATTTTTAAAACTGGCATTTAGTATTTTTACCTCATTTCTTACTATTCATATTTTATATCCATTTTCCCAGCATGACTGGGTTTATTAGTAGAGTATATGTCTTTTGACATGAAGAGGAAGTTTTGCTTTCTTACAGTTCTTTCTTTGCTTCAACTTAGGCTCCGTTACGTTGCTTTAAATTTTAGTTTGCTTTCCTACCCGTGACACAAACTATGTGTTTTTCTGTAACTTCAGCCATAAAACTCTGGACTTGATTGTTAATGGCCAAGGCTTAACTCTGTATTTATGTGTAAAATGGGTTGGAGGAAGAGATCTAATGGAAAATTCACTTGTCTAGAACATAGTAAAACCTAAGTTTTAGTCCAAGCTTTACCATTAACTTTGTCAACTGAAATAAGTTTTTAAATTTCTCTGTTCCTATTTCCTCATATATAAAATTAAATTATGTATACATTATCTTTCAAATCAGTGGTGTGAAGATTAAATGAAATTATATGTAGAAAGTGCTTTTAAAAAGTGTTATTCAAATATAAGGATGTTATTAGCATAGTATTGCTAAAAATTTCATGGATATTACAAATATGAATAGAGAAGATGGTATATGCACTGAATTAAACACATAATAAGGAAGATGGTAACTTTTAAAAACTCACGGATTTTTCTTTTCTGACAGAAAAGGTCATTTGCACCTTCTACCCCACTGACCGGACGGAGATATTTACGAGAAAAAGAAGCAGTCATTACTCCTGTTGCATCAGCCACCCAAAGTGTGAGCCGGTTACAGAGTATTGTGGCTGGTCTGAAAAATGCACCAAGTGACCAACTTATAAATATTTTTGAGTATGTACAATACTGTTATTTTTCCAAATGTCTTTTTAAAATTAGATTTCTTGTTCCATTCTATTTTTAGTATATTCAGAATTCTCAAGATAGTGGATGTTCATCTGGCAAGTTTTACTATACCATTTCAATCACAAAATATATTGACCTAAAACCATATTGAAGTACCTATTAAAAATTATGTATAACAGTCAGGCACAGTGGCACACACCTGTAGTCCCAGCTACTTGGGAAGCTAGTTTGGCCAACATAGTGAGACTAATTCCAGCTTGGCCAAGATAGGGAGACCTTATCTCTCCCTTTTTTTTTGTTTTTTTTTTGAGACAGGGTCTCGCTATGTCTCCCAGGCTGGAGTGCAGTGCCGCAATCACAGCTCACTGCAGCCTCCACCTCCTGGGCTCAAGCAACTCTCCCACCTCAGTCCCCCAAGTTAGCTGGAACTACAGGTGCAAGCCACCATGCCTAATTTTTTATATTTTTTGTAGAGACAGGGTTTTGCCATGTTGCTCAGGCTGGTCTTGAACTTCTGAGCTCAAGTGATCCAACTGCCTCGGCCTTCCAAACTGCTGGGATTACAGGCATGAGCGACCATGCCAGGCCAACTTTGTCTCTTAAAAAAAATTATATATAATGTTATTTCATGGGAGTATAGACTTTTAGAGATAAGTGTACCTTAAAGATTATTTAGCACTGATATTTCACTCTTATAACTACCCCTGAGTTATGCATGTTTTGATTTTACATTGACTTTATTTTTAATTTATTTTTATTTTTGTTTGTTTCTAAAGATCACCTGTATAAGGACATACATTAACTTTAAATGGGGCCATTCTAAATGTCCATTAGATAGGGGACTAATTGCATATTGGTGGTACAGCCATAAAAATGGATTTATTTATTTATTTATTTATTTATTTATTTATTTATTTTGAGACAGAGTTTCACTCTTGTTGCCCAGGCTGGAGTGCAATGGCATGATCTCGGCTCACTGCAACCTCCACCTCCCAGGTCCAAGTGATTCTCCTGCCTCAGCCTCCCGAGTAGCTGGGATTACAGGCGTGCGCCACCACGCCCAGCTAATTTTGTATTTTTAGTAGAGACAGGGTTTCTCCATGTTGGTCAAGCTGGTCTCAAACTCCCGACCTCAGATGATTCGCCTGCCTCGGCCTCCCAAAGTGCTGGGATTACAGACGTGAGCCACCGCGCCCAGCCCATAAAATGGAATTTTATACAGTTTTTTTTTTTGTTTTTTAAGGAAGCATGATTCCTGGTAAAGATGGTAGAATGAAGCCAGATCAGAGAACCTTCTTTCCTAATACCTAATAAAATAAGAGAATAGTCAAAACCAGCAAAATATTTATCAATGGCAACCAAATGAGGAGAGAGATATGATTTCATGACAAATTTCCAAAGTAGAGATCAAAAAGAAAATTCATGATTCTGGTATTCCCATCCCTAAGCAGTGTTGGGGAAAGAGGGTATAGTGATAGATCTTGAGAATTCTCATCAATACTTCAGATTTGGAGGGAAACAAATGGGGGAGTAGGCAGACAGATAAAAAGTCATACAAACCTTCCCAATTGAAAGTCCGTATGTACCACCAGCAGGATCCCAGCAGAACAACTGCCAAGGGCTGCCATTTTCCAACATTCCATGATGATTTGGGGAGAGATCCTCATATACCTAGACGTCCCTGACTAGGAATAGTGAACCCTAGAATAGGAATATTTAACTAAATCTCAGAAGACAAAGCGAAGCCCTGGTCCTCCAAGAAAAGCTGAACATAGCTGAGCTCTCCCCCATTCCTCAAACCTTCAGGATACAAGAAAGTAGACAGAACAATCTCCAGCCTCAGAAATAGCTCAGAAGAAAAGCATACTGCCAGTAAGATAGGAAGACTGTCACGGATCTACCTTCCATATCATTTGAGTAAATAGATCTGGATTGAACTACTGTTCAAACATGAATAAGTTGAAAAGCAGTGACAAAGCAAATATACAAATATGTCAATAAGAAAAAGGAAGTATAGAATGCAAAAGAAAAAAAATCTAGACACAAATAAATGGAAACGCTGGGTGTTGTGGCCCATGCCTGTAATTGCAGCACTTTGGGAGGCTGAGGCGAGAGGATCAGTTGAGCCCAGGAGTTTAAGACCAGCCTGAGCAACATGATGAGACCCTGTCTCTACAGAAAAAATTTAAAAATTAGTCATGGTGATATGCATTCCAGCTACTTGGGAGGCTGAGATGGGAGAATCACTTGAGCTCAGCCATGATCACACCATTGTACTCTAGCCTGGGCAACAGAGCGAGACCCTATCTCAACAAAAAAAAAAAAAGGAAAGACATCTGTGTTTGTGGACTGGAAGACTTAATATTGTTAAGATATCCATATTAGAGGCCAGGTGCAATGGCACATATCTGTAATCCCAGGACTTTGAGAGGCCAGGGTGGGTGTATTGCTTGAGCTCAGGAGTTTGAGACTAGCCCGGGCAACATAGCGACACCTCATCTCTACAAAAACAAAAAAACAAAACAAATAAAACCTGGTCATTGTTTCTTTCTTTCCTTTTTTTTTTTTTTTTCTTTTGAGGCGGAGTCTTGCTCTATTGCCAGGCTGGAGTGCAATGACATGATCTTGGCTCACTGCAACCTCCACCTCCCAGGTTCAAGCAGTTCTCCTGCCTCAGCCTCCAAGTAGCTGGGACTACAGGCGCCTGCCACCATGCCCAGCTAATTTTTATATTTTTAGTAGAGATGGGGTTTCACCATGTTGGCCAGGATGGTCTCGATCTCCTGACCTCATGAGCTGCCTGCTTCAGCCTCGCAAAGTGCTGGGATTACAGGCATGAGCCAAGGGCTGCCATTTTCCAACATTCCATGAAGATTTGGGGAGAGATCCTCATATAACTAGACGTCCCTGACTAGGAATAGTGAACCCTGGAATAGGCTTTTTTTTTTTTGTTTTGTTTTGTTTTTTTTTTTTTTAGACAGAGTTTCGCCCTTGTTGCCCAGGCTGGAGTACAATGGCCCGATCTGCAGCCTTCGCCTCCCAGGTTCAATCGATTCTCCTGCCTCAGCCTCCTGAGTAGCTGGGATGACAGGCATGCACCACCACGCCCGGCTAATTTTTTGTATTTAGTAGAGACGGGGTTTTACCATATTGGTCAGGCTGGTCTCGAACTCCTGACCTCAGGTGATCCACCCACCCTGGCCTCCCAAAGTGCTGGGATTACAACAGGTGTTAGCCAACAGGCCTGGCCAATTTTTGTATTTTTAGTAGAGACATGTTTCACCATGTTGGCCAGGCCGATCTCCAACTCCTGGCCTCAAGTGATCCACCTACCTTGGCCTCCCGAAGTGCTGGGAATATAGATGTGAGCCACCATGCCCGGTGTCAAACCTAAAAGCTTTAACATAGCAAAGAAAACAATCAACAGAGTAAAAAAAACAACCTATAGAATGGGAAAAGTAATTGTAAACCATATATTAGTTAAGGGGTTCATACTCAGAATATGTAAAGAACTCCTGAAACTCAAGAACAACAAATAACTCAATTTAAAAACGTATAAAGGATTCAGCAGATATTTCTCCAAAGAGTATATGCAACTGGCCAAAAGCATATGAAAAAATATTTGATATCACTAATCAGGGAGTTACAAATCAAAATCACAATGAGATAATACCTCACATATCAGCATAGCCACTTCCCACTCATCACCCCAAAAAAACCAAAATAGCAGGTGTTGGTAAGAATGTGTAAAAATTGGGACCCTTACACACTGTTGGTAGAATTGTAAAGTGGTGCAGCCACTATGGAAAACAGTACGGACGTTCCTCAAAAAATTAAAAATAGAACTACCATATAACTCAGCAATACCACTTCTGGGTATACATCCAAAAGAATTAAAAACAGCATCTCAAAGGGATATTTGCACATCATGTTAACTGCAGCATTATTCCCAATAGCCAAGTTGTGGAAACACCTTAAGTGTCCATTGATAGAGAAAGAAAATGCTGTGGGTGTATGTGTGTGTGTGTAGATAGGTAGATAGGTAGGTAGGTAGGTAGGTAGGTAGGTAGGTAGGTAGGTAGGTAGATAGATAGATAGAAAGAAATAGAGATATGAGATGGAATATTATTCAGCCTTATAAAAGAAGGAAATACTGCCATTTGCTACAACATGGATGAACCTTTAGTACATTATGTTAAGTGAAGTTAGTCAATCACAAAAAGACAAAATACTGCATGATTCCACTCATATAAGGTACATAGTATAGTCAAACTTACAGCAGCAAAGTTTTATTACATGTGTATACAATCTGTATTTTTATTATATAATTTTACGTGTTAAAATATTTTATCATATAAAGCTTTGCTTACATATGTAGATTTCCAACTGAGAATACAACTTTGGCTGCTAAAAACTAATTCTTGAAAGAAGGCATGTTGGCCGGGCATGGTGGCTCATGCCTGTAATCCCAGCATTTTGGGAGGCTGAGGTGGGTGGATCACAAGGTTAGGAGATCTAGACCAGCCTAGGCAACATGGTGAAACCCCATCTCTACTAAAACTACAAAAATTAGCCAGGTGTGGTAGTGCGCGCCTATAATCCCAGCTACTTGGGAGGTTGAGACAGGAGAATCGCTTGAACCCTGGAGGAAGAGGTTGCAGTGAACTGAGATCGCACCACTGCACTCCAGCCTGGGTTACAGAGCGAGACTCCGTCTCAAAAAAAAAAAAAAAAAAAAAGAAGAAGAAGGCATGTTAGTATTCTGGTGTGGAGTCTTTTTTGTTTGTTTGTTTTTGTTTGGTTTGGTAATTGGTTCCTCTTGTATTTTGTAGATCTTGTGTGCGTAATCCTGTGGAAAACATTATGAAAATACTAAAAGGAATAGGAGAGACTTTCTGTCAACACTATACTCAATCAACAGATGAACAGCCAGGATCTCACATAGGTAAGAAAAGAAAACTACAGTTGGCATAGCATTGAAAATAAGTAATCCCCCCAAAATTAGAAATTCACGGTTTTTCCTCTCCCGTTATTCTTATTTCTTTTTTTTTTTTGAGACCGAGTTGCCCAGGCTGGAGTGCAATGGCATGATCTCGACTCACTGCAACCTCCTCCTCCCAGGTTCAAACGATTCTCCTGCCTCAGCCTCCCAAGTAGCTGCTATTACAGGGACCCACCACCACACCGGCTAATTTTGTATGTTTAGTAGAGATGGAGTTTCACCATGTTGGTTAGGCTGGTCTCAGACTCCGGACCTCAGGTGATCTGCTTGCCTAGGCCTCCCAAAGTGCTAGGATTACAGGCGTGAGCCACCATTCCCGGCCTGCCCTGCTATTCTTAATGTATCAGATTTAAGTTTATATATAATTTTTGCTTTTCAGTCCTTAACAACTAAAATTCATTAACACATGTTTTCTCTGTATTTCCCTGATAGACTTTGCTGTAAACAGACTAAAGCTGGCAGAAATTTTGTATTATAAAATACTAGAGACTGTAATGGTTCAGGAAACACGAAGACTTCATGGAATGGACATGTCAGTAAGTAAATCCACTCTCTGAGCTACTGGCAAGGTCCAAAAGTCAGCCTGGAAGCAGTGTTTTGAGAGGCTCTGTAAGGCGTTGTGGGAGTCACCAATCTATGACACACTTGGCCAGGATGGCATTTAGTTGACTTTAGCACATGCAAGGCTAATCAATCTAGGCAGAAATGTGAAATAACGTAAAGTTCATCTTTGGTACACATCAGTGTTTTTTAAGTGTTTTTTTTTTTTTTTTTTTTTTCTGTCCTTCATTCCCAGCTAGTGATCCCTCCACCTGTTAAAGCAACTGTTAATTAAGACATTTGTCCATACCTTCCAAGGATTTTGGATTATAAAATGGTATGGGTTTTTCTTGTTTTGTTTTGTTTCTTTAACTATGACCAAGTCAGACCACTGTCTCCAATAAGATGTGTAAAAGAATTTTTCTACAAATTCAGACCTATCATATGATCTTTGTTTCCTCCTCCTTCATTATTTCCCTCTGCAGTCACTCTTGGAGTCTTCTAACTTTTCTATCCCAATAGGAACAGGTTGATGTCTTAAGGATGCTGCGTAACTATTGTAATAGAGTTTCTCTTTGTGTTTACCTGGAAATTTTTTTCATGTCTTTTCTGTGTTGGTTTCTCTTTTCTGTGTCTTTCTTTTTCATAGTTTACGCTAATATCTTGATGGTGCATACACTTCCATGGCTTCCTGAGAAAGAAGTAAATTTTTTTTTTTTTAGACTGAGTCTTGCTCTGTTGCCCAGGCTGGAGTGCAGTGGCACGATCTCGGCTCACTGCAACCTCCATCTCCTGGGTTCAGGTGATTCTTATGCCTCAGCCTCTTGAGTAGCTGGGGTTACAGGCGCCCGCCACCACGCCTGGCTAATTTTTGTATTTTTAGTAAAGACAGGGTTTCACCATGTTAGCCAGGCTGGTCTCGAGCTCCTGACCTCAAGTGATCTGCCCACCTCAGCCTCACAAAGTGCTAGGATTACAGCCATGAGCCACCTCACCCAGCTGAAAGAAGTAAATTTTTTAACTTTTATTTATTTTAATTTTTTTAATTTTATTTATTTATTTTTTTAGATGTAGTCTCGCTCTGTCACCCAGGCTGGAGTGCAGTGGCGCGATCTTGGCTCACTGCAACCTCCGCCTCGCGAGTTCAAGCAGTTCTCTGCCTCAGCCTCCCGACTAGCTGGGATTACAGGCGCCTGCCACCACACCCAGCTAATTTTTTCGTATTTTTAGTAGAGACGGGGCTTCACTGTCTTGGCCAGGCTGGTCTTGAACTCCTGACCATGTGATCCACCTGCCTTAGCCTCCAAAAGTGCTGGGATTACAGGTGTGAGCCACTGCACCTGGCCAACTTTTTATTTTGAAATAATTATAGATTCACAGAAAGTTGCAAAAGTAGTACAGAGAAGTCCCACACATCCTTTATCCAGTTTCCCTAATGGTTACAATTTTATATACTGCAGTATCAGAACTGGGGAATTGACATTAAAACAGTGTGTGTGTGTGTGTGTGTGTGTGTGTGTATAAAATTGTATCATATGCATAGATTAACCATAACCAAAATAAAAATACTGAACTGTTAAAGATCTCCTTCCTGCTACCCCTTTATAGTTAGTTACACTTACTCCTCTCAGCCATTATTGTTTTCCACTTCTACATACTCTGTATGAATTTAGTTCTTTTCAATTTGTTTTAGTTATATTGTAGCCCAGGATATGTTTTATCATGGTGAATGTTCTGTGGCCACTTGAAAAGAATGTATACAGTAAATCCTCACATTTAACCTTGTCAGTAGGTTCTTGGAAACAGTGACTTTAAGCAAAAACAACATACAATGAAACCAATTTTACCATAGGCTAACTGATATAAACAGGAGTTTAAGTTCTTTTGGCATATGTCTAGTCACAAAAACCTCACCAAACTTCTAAATAAAGACAAAACACTTATAATGTTAAACATTGAAATAAATAAGAGAAAGTAATAAAAATAAGGAAGATTATTACTTATCCAGTTATTCCTGTTCAGGGTCATGAGAGCCTACCTCAGCAGCTCACGATGAAAGGCGGGCCCCAACCCTAGTCAGGACACCATTTCATCATAGGACACACACACACCCACACTTACACTGTCACAATTTAGATATGCCAGTTAAGCTAATGTACATATCTTTGGAATGTAAGAAGAAACCAGAGTACCCAGAGAGAACTCATGCAGACGTAGGAGAATGTGTAAATTTCATACAGTGGCCCCAGCTGGGAATCCATTATTTTTCATTGTTACAACAAACTGGTGTTGAGCGAAATGGTGTTATTCAAGGATCTGCTGTATTCTGCTATTGTTGGATGGAGTGTTCTGTAAATGTCAGTTTTATCTTGTTGGTTGATGTTGTTATTTTATATTCTTGCTGATTTCCAGTCTAGTTGTTATATCAGTTGTTGACAGAGGATGTTGAAGTGTCCATGTATGATTGTAGATTTGTCTATTTCTTTCAAGTCTGTCAGCTTTTCTCCACGTATTTTGAAGCTCTGCTGTTTGATGCTTACACATTTAGGATTGCTGTCTGCCTTCTTGATGAATTGACTCTGTAATCATTATAAAATGTTCCTCCCTGGCCAGGCGCAGTGGCTCATGCCTGTAATCCCAGCACTTTGGGAGACTGAGGCAGGTGGATCACCTGAGGTCAGGAGTTCAAGACCAGCCTGGCCAACATGGTGAAACACTGTCTCTACTGAAAATATAAAAGGCTGGGCATGGTAGCTCACATCTCTAATCCTAGCACTTTAGGAGACTGAGGCAAGTGGATCACCTGAGGTCAGGAGTTCGAGACCAGCCTGACCAACATGGCAAAATCCCGTCTCAACTAAAAATACAAAAATTAGCCAGGCGTGGTGGCGCATGCCCGTAGTCCCAGCTACTCAGGAGTCTGAGACAGGAGAATCGCTTGAACCCAGGAGGTGGCAGTTGCAGTGAGCCAAGATCGCACCACTGCACTCCACCCTGTGCAACAGAGTGAGACTCCATCTCAAAAAAATAAATATATGAAAATACAAAAATTAGCCGGGTATGGTGGCAGGCGCCTGCAATCCCAGCTACTCGGGAGGCTGAAGCAGGAGAATCGCTTGAGCCCGGGAGGAAGAGGTTGCAGTGAGCCGAGATCACACCACTGCACTCCCACGTGGAAGACAGAGAGAGACTGCATCTCAAAATAAATAAATAAATAAGGCTGGGCACGGCGGCTCACGCCTGTAATCCCAGCACTTTGGGAGGCCAAGCCGGGTGGATCACAAGGTCAGGAGTTTGAGACCAGCCTGGCCAACATAGTGAAACCCCATCTCTACTAAAAATACAACAATTGGCCAGGCATAGTGGTGTGCACCTGTAATCCCAGCTACTCGGGAGGCTGAGACAGGAGAATCTCTTGAACCTGGGAGGTGGAGGTTGTTGTGAGCCAAGATTGCACCACTGCACTCCAGCCTGGGCAACAGAGCGAGACTCTATCTAAAAAAAAAAAAACTTAAAAATAAAATAAATAAATAAAATGTTCCTCTCTGTCCCTGGTAATTTTCTTTGCATCTACCTGATGTTTATGAATAACCACTCCTGCCTTCTTTTCATTAATGTTTGCATGGCATATCTTTTTCCATCCTTTTTCAAGTGACCTTTGAAGTGAATTTCTTATAGTCAGTGTGTAGTTGGGTCATTTTTTTTTTTCTAATCTGTGCTAATCTCTGTCATTTAATTAGTAAATTTAGATGACTTAAAATTAGTAATTGTTATGTTAGCACTTAAGTCTGCCATTTTATTTTTGTTTTCTGTTTGTTCTCACTCTTTTTTTTTTAATTTTGTTTTCTTTTTCCTCCCTCTCTGTTGGTTACTTGAACATTTTTTAGAGCCTTGTAAAGATTTTTTTTTGTATAGATGTTTTGTATAGCCATATAACCAATTTAAGTAAAGTATAGAAATCTTACCTCACTTAAAGTCCCTTTTTAAAGATTTTGCATAAGTAACTTTATTTTAGACTCATAATTGATTGATAGTTGTCTATGTACAGAATTCAAGATTGGTGGGAGAGGCCAGGTGCTGTGGCTTACCCCTGTAATCCCAACACTTTGGGAGGCCAACGCAGGTGGATCACCTAAGGTCAGGAGTTCTAGACCAGCCTGACCAACATGGTGAAACCCTGTCTCTACTAAAAAATACCAAATTATCCAGGTGTAGTGGCACATGCCTATAATCCCGGCTACTTGGGAGAGGCTGAGGCAGGATTGTGTTAACCCAGGAGGCAGAGGTTGCAAGGAGCTGAGATCACGCCATTGCACTCCAGCCTGGGCAACAAGAGCGAACTCCATCTCAGAAAAAAAAAAGAAAAAAAGATCTGTGGGAGGCTGAGGCATGAGGATTGCTTGAGCCCAGGAGTTTGAGGTTGTAGTATACTGTGTATTGTATGTATGCTGTGTAGTATGATTGCACTGTGAATAGCTACTGTCCTCCAACCTAGGCAACATAGCAAGACCCCATCCCTAAAAACAAAAAAAAACTTAAAAAAAGAAAAGAATTCTAGATTGACAATCATTTTCCTTTATGAGTTTGAAGGTACTGTTGCATTATTTTCTATTATAGATTCCACTGTTACTAATGAGAAGTCCAGTGACATTCTCATTCCCACTTAGTAGTATGTGACCTGTTTTTTTTTTCTGAAATCTTTGAGTATCTTTTATCACTGATGTTCTTAAATTTATAAAAATGTATCTTACTGTGTTTTTTTTCATTCATGTGTCTGTCATTCCCACAGACTTGCCCGTTTAGTCTAGAAATTCATGCCCTGCAGTTCTTGGTCGTTTTATTTTGTTATTTCTTAGATGGTACATTGCCCACTGATTTATCTTTCTGGAACTTTCATTTTTCAGATGATGGACCTTCTGAATTGACCTTCTTAATTTCTTCTCTTGTTTTCCATTTCTTTATCTCTTTTATTGTACCTTTTTTTTTTTTTTTTTTTTTTTTTTTGAGACAGAGTCTTGCTCTGCCACCCAGACTGGAGTGCAGTGGTGCAATCTCAGCTCACTGCAAGCTCCGCCTCCCAGGTTCACGCCATTCTCCTGCCTCAGCCTCCCAAGTAGCTGGTACTACAGGTGCCAGCCACCACACCTGGCTAATTTTTTTGTATTTTTAGTAGAGATGGGGTTTCACCCATGTTAGCCAGGATGGTCTCGATCTCCTGACCTTGTGATCTGCCCGTCTCGGCCTCCCAAAGTGCTGGGATTACAGGCGTGAGCCACTGCGCCCGGCCTTATTCTACTTTTAAAGATATTTACTCAACTTTTCATCTAGTCCCAATGAACTTTTAATTTCAGCTATATTTTCATTTCTCTTTCATGTTCTCTAAAGTTACTAATTTAGATTTATTCGAAATTTTCTTGACTGCTTCGTCTCTGTTTCTCCTGAATTTTTCTCCATTTTTTTTCTCTCTCTCTCTTTTTTTTTTTTTTGAGATGGAGTTTCGCTCTTGTTGCCCAGGCTGGAGTGCAATGGCACGATCTTGGCTCACCGCAACCTCCGCCTCCCAGGTTCCAGCTATTCTCCTGCCTCAGCCTCCCGAGTAGCTAGGATTACAGGGATGCGCCACCACACCTGGCTACTTTTGTATTTTTTGTAGAGACGGGGTTTCTCCATGTTAGTCAGGCTGGTCTCCAACTCCTGACCTCAGGTGATCCACCCACCTCAGCCTCCCAAAGTGCCGGGATTACAGGTGTGAGCCACCATGTCTGGCCTTTTTTCTCTCTCTAAAAAATATTTTAAATTTTTTTAAATGTTAGTTTATATCTTTTATTAACTCATACACAGTTAGTTATCTTCTGGTTTGTTGAAGCAGTAAGTCAGACATTTGCCACAATAATGTCTGTCAAAGTGGCTTGCCATAAACACTCCAGCACCACATTCATCAGAAGGGCACTCTCGACGAAAGCAACTAATTTTGCCGTTCTCATCTACCTTATAATATTTCAGGATAGCCAGCTTAACCTTCTTTCTCTTGTGCTTACTCTTCTTGGGAGTGGTGTAAGACTTCTTCCTTTTCTTAGCACCACCATGAAGTCTCAACACAAGATGAAGAGTAGACTCCTTTTGAATGTTGTAGTCAGACATCTTCCAGTTGCTTGCCAGCAAATATTAGTCTTTGCCGATCAGGAGGAATTCCTTCCTTATCCTGGATCTTGGTCTTTACATTTTCTGTCGTATCCGAGGGTTCAACCTTGAGGGTGATGGTTTTCCCTGTAAGGGTTTTCACGAAAATCTGCATTTGCAGATGGCGGATCTTTAAATTTTTTTTTGTTTTTTGTTTTTTGTTTTTTGGGACAGAGTCTCGCCCTGTCACCCTGGCTGGAGTGCAGTAGCATGACCTCGGCCCACTGCACCTCCATCTCCCGGGTTCAAATGATTCTCCTGCCTCAGCCTCTTGAGTAGCTGGGACTATAGGCATATGCCACCACGCCCAGCTAATTTTTGTGTTTTTTGGTAGAGATGGGGTTTCACCATGTTGGCCAAGCTGGTCTCGAACTCCTGACCTCAGGTAATCCACCCCCCTCGGCCTCCCAAAGTGCTGGGATTACAGGCTTGAGCCACCGCACCTGGCTTTTTTTTTTTTTTTTTTTAATACGATGGTGTCTCGCTATGTTGCTCAGGCTAGTGTCAAAACTCCTAGGTTCAAGTGATCCTCCTGCCCCAGTTTCCCAAGTACCTGGGACTACAGGTGCATGCTGCTGCACCTCGCTTTTCTGTTTGTTTTGACCTATGTTTTTCAGGTAAGAGGTTTTCCTCAAATGTCAGATAATTCTTAGTGGTCCACTTAAATTTGAATGAGACACTAAAAACGTGTTCAAAGCTCTGTGAATGAGGCAGTAAAAGTTTGTTTTAAAGCTCTTTTATTTCAAGAGTGGAAGTAAAAAATCCATTGACCTCAGGTGATCACATAGTATTAGAGACTTATCTGCTGGTATCCGTAAGACTTTTCTGGAATATCTCAGTTTCTCCAGAGACATATCTGTAAATCTCTTGCCTGGCTGTTGGTGTTGTGGATCAGAAGAAGGAAGGGAAACTTGGTCTTATGGTTCAGTCTGCAGAGTTTCACCTAAAACCCTAGTCTTTTCTGTGCCTAATGTTCTCTACCTCTGAGTCTCCAGTTCAATTTCTCTAGAGAATAATCCTGTAGATTCCTGTGGAGACAGAATAGAGGTCTGTCATCTGATCCCATAGAGTGGGGGTTGTGTGGGGACCTGAGGATCCTAAGACTTTCAGATCACCCACCCAATGCTTCACCCCCACTTCCCATTCTGCCTGTGTCCTCAGTTGCTATGTATTTTAGATCAGATTCTTTTGTTTTAAGTGTCTCACTGCAGGTCCTTATGCTTGATCATCGTCCCTTCTGCTGAGTAATTTGTCATCCTTCATATATTGTGGTTTACAGTTACAAATGACTGCTAGTTTTACTGATGATGGAGTTTCTGTTTTTTATCCTCCCTTGATTTGGGGCGATACTTGTTTTTTGTTTGTTTGTTTTAGTTTTTTGTTTTTTCTGAGACTGAGTCTCGCTGTGTCGCCCAGTATGGAGTGTGGTGGCGTGATCTTGGCTCATTGCAACCTCTGCCTCACAGGTTTAAGTGATTCCACTGCCTCAGCCTCCGGAGTAACTGGGATCACAGGCACGCGCCACCACACCCAGCTAATTTTTGTATTTTTAGTAGAGACGGGGTTTCACCATCATGGCCAAGCTGGTCTTGAACTCCTGACCTCAAGCAATCCACCTGCCTCGGCCTCCCAAAGTGCCGAGATTACAGGGGTGAGCCACCACACTCAGCCAATCTAGGGTGATATTTGAAAGAAAGAAGGCAACAAATACCATTTTTAAAACTGAAAACTTATATTAAACTTAATGGTAAAGTAGGACTTTTACTTTCTCAGTGAAGTATTTCTTTTTCTGAACAGTTTTGTCTAAACTGTGACATATTACCTTTCATTTCTGTGTTTTGATAAATAAACCCTTATGTTGACAAAACAATTAACTGTCATTAAGAAAAATAACCAATTCTAATGCTTTTCTGTTGATGGGAATACTGACTTTTATTATTTGTTCAGATTTCAAAGCAGATTGTTATGTACACCTTATTTAAATTTATTCCCTACCCACTGAGCAAGAATAGGTATTATAGGAAAACTACCAATTTGAGAACTCAAATTTTTATCTCCAGTAATCTAGTGTAATATAATTTGCACGTTATTTTTTCTTGTTTTTATAGGTTTCTTTATGGAATGGCAAAGACTGAAATTGCTGAAAAATATTAAACTGTGGTCTTTCTCTTCCCCCAGGTTCTTTTAGAGCAAGATATATTTCATCGTTCCTTGATGGCTTGTTGTTTGGAAATTGTGCTCTTTGCCTATAGCTCACCTCGTACTTTTCCTTGGATTATTGAAGTTCTCAACTTGCAACCATTTTACTTTTATAAGGTGAGATGAAAACAAAGTTCTGTTATGAGATGAAAACAGTGTTTCTCACAGAAACATTGTATTTATCTTAGTGCTGAAGAAAAACACTGTTGTGATATCTGGAAAGTGTTTCCAGATGTGTTCTGAAAATATATATTCCTGGCTAGGCATGGTGGCTCACGCCTGTAATCCCAGCACTTTGAAAGGCCAAGGTGGGAGGATTATCTGAGGTCAGGAGTTCGAGACCAGCCTGGCCAAAATGGTGAAACTCCGTCTCTACTAAAAATACCAAAAAAAATTAGCCAGGCATTGTGGCGAGCACCTGTAATCTCAGCTGCTTGAGAGGCTGAGGCAGGAGAATTGCTTTAACCTGGGAGGTGGAGGTTTGCAGTGAGCGGAGATCATACAATTACACTCCAGCCTAGACGACAGGAGCAAAATTCTGTCTCAAAAAAAAAAAAAAAGATAATATATATTCCTCTTGGGTGAAACCAAGAACACAAGAGAGAGTTGAGCATACAGTGGCTCACACCTATAATCCCAGCACTTTGGAAAACTGAGGCTGGAGGATGGCTTGAGTCCAGGAGTTTGAGGTTACAGTGAGGTATGATTATGCCACCACACTCCAGCCTGGGCACCTAAGCAAGACCCTGTTTCAAAGAAAAAAAAAGAGAGAGAGAAGGTGAGAGTATCAGTAAATTAAGTCAATCTTACAGCTTCAGTTCCTTTGTTAACACGGACTTGAAAATGTGACCTGGAACTAGTACTTAACTTCAAATTTTCCATATTTATGAATGAAAATTATAATCCTATTAAACAAATGCATGATGAAGAACAAAAAACGCTTTCTACCAAGAGGAAGGAAGACCTAAAATTGATTTTGGTGGTGGTCTAACTAATAAAGCCGTAATAATAGATTATGCTTCTTCCCCAAGTTTGAGCTAATTCAGTGTGAATGAATCTTACTTACCTTACCTTTATTTTTCTTGCTAGAACTATTTTTGTTAATCTTTTCAAAATAAAACAGAGGTCATAGCTATTGAACTACATCATCACCCTCAATAACGTTTAGTCATCACAGTCAATAACGTTTAATGTTACATAGTATCGAACTTTAAGACTAATGCTACTGTTACGCTTCTTGGCATGATTTAGTTAATATTTAGTCATCTAGGTACTTTTCTACTGGTGATAGAAAAATTGGTTTGAAGAGTTAAATTTTTATACCTAAAGTATGCCTGAATTAAAGTTGTAGAAAATGCAGGTCATTGGAAAGCTTATCTGTGTGAATTACTGAGTGTGATTAAAGTATTTTTAGGTTTCTTAGGGAGAAGTGATTCTACTATACACTCACTTTAATGTTAATGTGTGTATTCAACTTTTGCCATTAGGAAAAAGTTTAGTTTTGTCAACAACCTCATAGTAATTGGTTTTTATTTATAACATCCTTATTTTATTCAAGCAGCTAAATGCCTTTTTTTTCAATAGAGACTCGGTTTCACTATGTTGCCCAGGCTGGTCTCGAACTCCTGGTCTCAAGCAATCCTCTCACTGTGGCCTCCTAAAGTGCTGGGATTACAGGCATGAGCCACTGTGTCGGCCTCCTTTGTTTTTTTAAATGACATAAATGATATGTGCTCATTGAAGAAAATCATAAACATAAATGTGGGCCAGGCACGGTGGCTCATGCCTATAATCCCAGCACTTTGGGAGGCCAAGGCGGGCGGATCATGAGGTCAGGAGATTGAGACCATCCTGGCTAATATAGTAAAACCCCATCTCTACTAAAAATACAAAAAATTAGCCAGGCATGGGGGCACGTGCCTGTAGTCCCAGCTACCCGGGAGGCTGAGGCAGGAGAATCGCTTGAACCTGGGAGGCAGAGATTGCAGTGAGCCGAGATGGCGCCGCTGCACTCCAGCCTGGGTGACAGAGTGAGACTCCGTCTCAAAATAAATAAATAAATAAATAAATAAATAAATAAATAAATAAGTAAATAAATGTGAATATTAAAGTCATACATCATAATCTATTAACAATCATATTATTAATATTTTGTGTATATAAACTTTATTCTAGATACTTCCCTTATAAAATGGAATTATAGTGTATATACGCAAAGTCACTTTAAATAGTTCATTCATTCTGTTATTTTGAGTTAGTGGAAAAAATAGTCTGGAAAGGAGCAATACATTCAAAATAGAACTAGACTTGGAACCCAAGACCTGACTTCTCCCACTGTTGGTCTGTTGACCAGTTTTCACCTATCGTTGCCTCAAGTTGTCATTTATAATATAAAACGTGAAAAACAGAAATATATGTGAACATATTTTAAAGAACTTAAAAACTCCTTTATAAATTAGAAGATGTTAGTAAGCCACAGAATTATGGTTCAAAGATGACTTTGGTTCTGTGCCACAGAATAAGGCCACAGTGGCCGGGCGCAGTGGCTCACAACTGTAGTCCCAGCACTTTGGGAGGCCTAGGCGGGCAGATCACCTGAGGTCAGGAGTTCTAGACCAGCCTAGCCAACATGGTGAAACCTCGGCTCTACTAAAAACTACAAAAATTAGCCAGGTGTGGTGGCAGGTGCCTGTAATCCCAGCTACTCGGGAGGCTGAGGCAGGAGAATCACTTGAACCTGGGAGGCAGAGGTTGCAGTGAGCCAAGATCACACCACTGTACTCCAGCCTGGGCAACAGAGGGAAACTCCGTCTCAAAAAAAAGAAGAAGAAGAAGAAAGCCACAGCTAGTCCTACATGCAAGTCCAGACTAGAACTAACTGCTTGAAACCACATTGCCTTCTCACTTTCTCCTCTGCAGGTTATTGAGGTGGTGATCCGCTCAGAAGAGGGGCTCTCAAGGGACATGGTGAAACACCTAAACAGCATTGAAGAACAGATTTTGGAGAGTTTAGCATGGAGTCACGATTCTGCACTGTGGGAGGCTCTCCAGGTTTCTGCAAACAAAGTTCCTACCTGTGAAGAAGTGAGTCTGGGCAAGGCTGATAATCGTATCATTAAAAAAAAAAAAAAAAAAACCAGCTTTATTGAGAGATAATTCCTATACCATAGAGTTCACCCATTTTAAGTGTACAATTCAGTGGTTTTAGTATATAAATAGATATGTGCAGCCATAACCACAATTTTAGAATATAGTCATCACTTCAAAAAGAAACCTACATCCTTTAGCTATCACTTCCCTACCCCCGAATCTTCTCCCTAGCTGTAAGTAACCACTAATCTACTTTCTGTCTCCATAAATTTGCCTATTCTAGACATTTCATATAAATGGAATCATAAAAATGTAGTCCCTTTTGACTGGGCATCTGTCACTTAGCATAATGTTTTTAAGGTTCATCCATGTTGTAGAATGTATCGGTATTTCATTTCCTCTCTTTTTTTAAGGCGGGGTTTCACTCTTGCCCGGGCTGGTGTGCAGTGGACAAAGATGGTGCACTGACTACACCCTCAACTTCCTCGGCCCAAACTGTCCTTCTGCCTCTCAAGTAGCTGAGACCACAGGCACATACCACCACACCCACACCCGGCTAATTTTTTTTTCTTTCTGTTTTTCTTTTTTTGAGATGGAGTCTTGCTCTGTCACCCAGGCTGGAGAGCAGTGGCACAGTCTCGGCTCACTGCAACGTCTGCCTCCCAGTTCAAGCAATTCTCTGTCTCAGCCTCCCGTGTAGCTGGGATTATAGGCACCCACCACCACACCCGGCTAATTTTTTTTGTACTTTTTTTAGTAGAGACGGGGTTTCACCATCTTGTCCAGGCTGTTCTTGAACTCCTGACCTCATGCTCCACCTGCCTCAGCCTCCCAAAGTGCTGGGATTAGAGGCTAGAGGCTTGAGCCACCGCGCCTGGCCACACCCGGCTAATTGTGTGTGTGTGTGTGTGTGTGTGCACGCGCGCATGTGTGTGTAGAGACAGGATCTTGCCATGTTGCACAGGCTGATCTCAAACTCCTGAGCTCAAGCAGTCCTCCCATCTCAGCCTCCCAAAGTGCTAGAATTGCAAGTGTGAGCCACCACATCTGGCTCATTTCCTTTTGTTGCTAAGTAATATTCCATTGTATGGATGCTACATTTTATTTATCCATTCATCGGTTGATAAATATTTGAGTTGTTTCCACCTTTTGACTTTTTTTTTTTTTTTTTTGGAGGGGGGGGGACAAGATCTCACTCTGTCACCCAGGCTGGAGTGCAGTGGCGCCATCACGGCTCACTGCAGCCTCAACCTCCCAGGCACAAATGATCTCCCCACAGCCTTCTGAGTAGCTGGGACTACAGGCACACACACCACACCTGGCTAATTTTTGTAGTTTTTGTAGAGATGGGATCTCCCTATGTTGCCCAGGCTAGTCTTGAATTCCTGGGCTCAAGCGATCCTCCCACCTCAGTTTCCCAAAGTGCTGGGATTACAGGCATGAGCCACCACAACTAACCCCTTTTGGCTATTATGATTGATGCTGCTATGAACATTCAGGCACAAGTTTTTGTGTGAACATATGTACATATGTTTTCATTTTTCTTGGAGTGGAATTGCAGGTTCATATGGTAACTCTGTTTAAGCTTTTGGGAAACTGTCAGACTGCTTTCTAAAATGGCTGCACCATTTTATTGTTCCTACGGTCAATGTAGAAAGATTCCAGTTTCTTCATATCCTTGCTAATGCTTGTTATTATCTGCCTTTTTAATCCTGCCATTCTAGTAGGAGTGAAGTAATATCTCATTGTGGTTTTATTTGCATTTCCCTGGTGGCTAATGATGATCAACATCTTTTTATGTGCTTGTAAGCTGTTTGCATATCTTCTTTGGAGAAATGTCTATTCAGATCTTTTGCCCATTTTGTAATTGGGTTGTCTTTTTATTATTGAATTATAGGAGTTCTTCATCTATTCTAGATACAAATCCCTTATCAGATAAATGATTTGCAAAATGTTTCTCCCATTTTCTAGGTTGTCTTTTCACTTTCTTTTTTTTTTTTTTTTTTTGAGACAAAGTCTTGCTCTGTTGCCCAGGCTGGAGTGCGGTGGCGTGATCTCGGCTCACTGCAAGCTCCACCTCCCGGGTTCACGCCATTCTCCAGCCTCAGCCTCCTGAGTAGCTGGGACTACAAGCACCCACCACCACGCCCAGCTAATTTCTTTATATTTGTGGTAGAGGCAGGGTTTCACCGTGTTAGCCAGGATGGTCTTCCAAAGTGCTGGGATTACAGGCATGAGCCACTGCACCTGGCCTGTCTTTTCACTTTCTTGATGGTGTCTTTGAAATGCAAAAATTTTTAATTTTGATGGTGTCCAATTCAGATATTTTTTCTTTTGCTTCTGCTTTTTGATATCATGTCTAGGAAACCATTAAACTTACTTAAAAATTTTCAAATGTCTGTATAAAGATTGAACACTTTTCATTGGTGGTATTCAGAATTAAAAAATAAAAAACAGAGGCTGGTGCAGTGGCTCATGACTATAATCCCAGCACTTTGGGAGGCCAAGGCAAGTGGATTGCCTGAGGTCAAGCGTTCGAGACCAGGCTGGCCAATATGGTGAAACCCCGTCTCTACTAAAAATACAAAAAATTAGCTGGGCATGGTGGCACACACCCATAATCCCAGCTACTTGGGAGGCTGAGGCAGGAGAATTGCTTGAACCCAGGAGGCGGAGGTTGCAGTGAGCTGAGATCGTGCCATTGCACTCCAGCCTGGACAACAGAGCGAGACTGTGTCTCAAAAAAAAATTAAATGAATAAATAAATAAAAATTAAAAATGTGTGCCCAGAGTTGTGCACAAATTACATTTTTAATAGTAGTATCGTGAGAAATTGTGGGGTTTTTTTTGTCTACTTCTGTTATTCTTTTGTAACTCGTGTCTTTTGATTCTTTGTTTTGTCTCCTTATGTACTTCATTAATCTTCTTGAATTTTTCCCTAATCCCAAACTACTAGAACTGTCCAAGGCCAGGAGGAATTGGAAAGAAGATGGTTTCTTGAAATCTCTCTTCCATACTTCTTTGGTCTTTTGCAGCAGACAGTAACTTATTGGGCCACTCTTCAGTATTCATCAGTTTATTTCCATTGAAGAACTTCAGACTCCTTCAAGTTCAAAAAAGCTGTGAACTTGAAGAAGGATTAGTATTGAAGCCGTTGCTCTTATAACTTACTAGTTGTGTGACCTTGGGCAAATTTCACATTCAGATCCTCAATTTTCTCATCCCTAAATGGAGAATGATACTGCCTACCTCAGAGGTTTAGTTCTTGTGGTTGGTAACTTACCTATATAAATTATAAGGTTAAATGAAATGAACTCTTTCCATACGTTCGTTAACATTAAGAATTGAGCACTTTATCCAAGTTGTATTTTGTGAAGAAGTGAGAAAGAAATAAAATAGTAAAAAAAAGTTAAGAAAACACTTTTTCGGCCAGGCACAGTGGCTCACACCTGTAATCCTAGCACTTTGGGAGGCTGAGGTGGGTGAATCATCTGAGGTCAGGAATTCGAGATCAGCCTGGCCAACATGGTGAAACCTCGTCTCTCCTAAAAATACAAAAATTAGCCGGGCATGATGGCACACACCTGTAGTCCCAGCTACTCAGGAGGCTGAGGAAGGAGAATTACTTGAACCCCGGGCGTTGGAGGTTGCTGTGAGCTGAAATCGTGCCACTGCATTCCAGCCTGGGCAACAGAATGAGACTTTATCTCAAAAAAAGAAAAGAAAACATTTTTAATAAGTTTTAATCAGCAAGTTTATCTATATGTAAATCAAAGGGTTTTTGTTTTCTACAGGTTATATTCCCAAATAACTTTGAAACAGGAAATGGAGGAAATGTGCAGGGACATCTTCCCCTGATGCCAATGTCTCCTCTAATGCACCCAAGAGTCAAGGAAGTTCGAACTGACAGTGGGAGTCTTCGAAGAGGTAGGTTCAACATTGGTAAAGGAATGAAAAAGTAACAAAGGGCATTTGGCTTTTTTTCAGGGAAAATTTTAAGTCTTGTGAGTATGTTATTAAGAAATCTAATTTATTCAGCAGGGTTCGAAAAGGAGCTTGATGCTTGTGCCAGCACCCCTGTGTAGCTCATTGTACACTATATTATATACTATAGTGTATTCTATATTAATAGAATTTTAAATGTAATTTATTTAATAAATATATGTAATCTTTCCTGAATGCTAATGGAGAACTGTTTAAATAAGCTAAAGTCAGGCACGATGGCATCTTTCTGTAGTCCTAGCTACTCAGAAGGCTGAGGCAGGAGTATTGAGGATTGTGTTTGAACCCAGCCTGGGCGAAATAGTGAGACCCCCCTCATGTCCCAGAAAAAAAGAAAAAGAAGAAAGGAAAAAACAAGATAAGTGTATTAGCCTGTTCTCACACTGCTAATAAAGACATACCCAAAATTGGGTAATTTATAAAGGAAAGAGGTTTGATTTACTCACAGTTCCACATGGCTGGGGAGGCCTCACGATCATGGTGGAAGGCAAAGGGAAGAGCAAAGGCACATCTTACATGGCAGCAGGCAAGAGAGCTTGTGCAGGGGAACTCCTCTTGATAAAACCATCAGATCTCATGAGACTTATTCACTATCAGGAGAACAGCATGGGAAAGACCCACCCCCATGATTCAGTGACCTCCCACCTGGTCCCTCCCATGACACGTGGGAATTATGGGAACTACAGTCAAGATGAGATTTGGGTGGGGACACAGCCAAACCATATCACTAAGCTAAATACCTACTTTTCCAAATTTCCCAAATTTATATTCTTCCTTTGCCTGTGTATGTCTCTGTAGAAAAACATTTAAAGCAAAATAAAATTTGTATTCTCTTTGGAATGCTTAAGTTCATCTAATAAACTAGTTATTTTTATTCTTAAAATAGTTCATTTTGAGACTTACCAATGGAAAGATTTTAGTTCATTCTTCCTTATTTTCTCTTGTGATGTAGCGAGCTGATGTGTGTATCTTGTGGATTATATAGCGCTTGGATTTTTAAAAATCAGTTAAAATCTCCTGACCACATAGTATCCCTTAACAAATCTTAGATGAACAAGTATTCAGGTTACATAGTACGGTACATCCATTTTTGGACTCTGTGTGATTGTGTATGTGTGTTTGTCTGTCTGCAATCTTTGCTTTACATGCAATGCAGGATCATAAAAATGACTGCAGGCCAGGTGCGGTGGCTCACACCTGTAATCCCAGCACTTTGGGAGGCCAAGGCAGGCGGATCACCTGAGGTCAGGAGTTTGAGACCAGCCTGGCCAACATGGTGAAACCCCATCTCTACCAAAAACACAAAAATTAGCTGGGTGTGGTGGCGGGTGCCTGTAATCCCAGCTACTCAGGAGGTTGAGGCAGGAGAATCACTTGAACCCGGGAGGCAGAGGTTGCAGTGAGCCAAGATCACACCACTGGACCCCAGCCTGGCGGACAGAGCGAGACTCTGTTTCAGAAAAAAAAAAAAAAAAAAAAGGCCAGGCACAGTGGCTCATTCCTGTAATCCCAGCACTTTGGGAGGCTGAGGCAGGTCAATCATGAGGTCAGGAGTTCAAGACCAGCCTGGCCAAGATGGAGAAACCCTATCTCTACTAAAAATACAAAAATTAGCCAGGCATGGTGGCAGGTGCCTGTAATCCCAGCTACTCGGGAGGCTGAGGCAGGGAATCACTTGAACCTGGGAGGCAGAGGTTGCAGTGAGCAAAGATCGTGCCATTGCCCTCCAGCCTGGGCGAAAGAGCGAGTCTCCGACCCAAAAAAAAAAAAAAAAAAGATTGCATAAGGTCAGGCACAGTGGCTCACGCCTGTAATCCCAGCAGTTTGGGAGGCCGAGGCAGGTGGATCATCTGAGGTCAAGAGTTTGAGACCAGCCTGGCCAACATGGTGAAACCCTGTCTCTACTAAAAATACAAAAATTAGCCAGGCATGGTGGTGTACACCTGTAATCCCAGCTGCTCAGGCAGCTAAGGCAGTAGAATTGCTTGAACCCAAGGGATGGAGTTTGCAGTGAGCGGAGATCGCACCACTGTACTCCAGCCTGGGGACAGAGCAAGACTGCATCTCAAAAAAAAAAAAAAAAAAAAAACAATGGCCGGGCGCAGTGGCTTACACCCGTAATCCTAGCACTTTGGGAGGCCGAGGCGGGCAGATCACGAGGTCAGGAGTTCAAGACCAGCCCGGGCAACACAGTGAAAACTGGTCCCTAGTAAAATACAAAAAATTAGGCAAGCATGGCAGCATGCGCCTATAGTCCCAGCTACTTGGGAGGCTGAGGCAAGAGTGAGGCAAGAGAATTGCTTGAACCCAGGAGGCGGAGGTTGCAGTGAGCCGAGATTGTGCCACTGCACTCCAGCCTGGTCGACAGAGTGAGACTCCGTCTCCAAAAAAAAAAAACAAGATTGCATAAGATGTGAATACTCAGTCATTTTAATCAGTGGGAATAATTATAATTATTATAATTGTTTTTTGATCTTTACGAATCTTGTCAAAATGTTAAAAAAAAGGCTCTTCTTTCTGTCAGTTATTAATGTTTAGAGAAATGAAAAAATAGTAAAAATATTTAGTATACTATAATTTAAAACTTACGAAATATTGAGAATTATTTTCTTTTTTAAAAACTTAGCAAGAATAGTTTAAACTGTGCTTGCCACCTTCCTCTCATATAATTTATAACTAAGTGAGCATCTTTTCTGTACCTTGACAGATTGTCATGTTTCTAAATTTGGATCCGCTTTACATTTGTATATTCATTACATTCTTATTGAGCATCCACCATAGCTGTTCCAGTACTGTGCTAAGAAAAGATCATTTCAATGGATTTGCAGCTAACTTTATGGCTTCAACTCGAGTCTTGCCTTGAAATGTCACCTTTAAACATGCCTAGTCAGATTCAAGGGCTTGCGTGGATTTCTTAGATATAAGGCATTCACATGGACTCTTGTAAAAGAGTAATGGAAACAACTATAGAAATTTGCACTTGTTTACTGAAGACAGGAGAAGTAAAAGCTGCTTTCATAAGCCCAAGAATTACGGAGATTTTTATTAAACTATAACTATTTTCCCAATCACCTCACTAATACAGAGAGCTTCTAAATCATTGCCAGGGGTCATTTTCATACCTTTTGAACATGTTTTGAAAATAGATTACAGGGCCAGGCGCAGTGGCTCACGCCTGTAATCCCAGCACTTTGGGAGGCCGAGGCGGGCAGATCACGAGGTCAGGAGATCGAGACCATCCTGGCTAACACGGTGAAACCCCATCTCTACTAAAAATACAAAAAATTAGCCGGGCATGGTGGCGGTTGCCTGTAGTTCCAGCTACTCAGGAGGCTGAGGCAGGAGAATGGCGTGAACCTGGGAGGCGGAGCTTGCAGTGAGCTGAGATCATACCACTGCACTCCAGCCTGGGCAACAGAGCGAGACTCCATCTCAAAAAAAAAAAAAAAAAGAAAAGAAAATAGATTACATGACTATCTAATTATCTAGTGAATGTAAAAATAAATAATGAAGGCCGGGCACGGTGGCTGAAGCTTGTAATCCCAAATGAGGCAGGTGGATCACCTGAGGTCAGGAGTTCAAGACCAGCCTGGCCAACATGGCAAAACCCTGTCTCTACTAAAAATAGAAAAATTAGCCAGGCATGGTGGCACATGCCTGTAGTCCCAGCTACTTGGGAGGCTGAGGCAGGAGAATCGCTTGAACCCAAGAGGCAGAGGTCACAGTAGGCCAAAATCGTGCCACTGCACTCCAGCCTGGGTGACAGAGCAAGACTCCATCTCATAAATAAATAAATACTTTTGTTTTAAAAGCATATTATTGACCTACCTGTAAGGAATAATTGGTTGAGGGAAGAATTGTGAAAAAAGATGTAGAAAAGATGTAGGGTTGTAAGGGGCTAGAAAAACCCGTGCAGCTGGTAGAGAGGGAATGGAAAGCAGATCCTGTGAAAGGATAGCACAGGAAGAGAGGCAAAATCCATAATCCTTACTTTATTTTTGATCAACACAGTACTGCCAACCCTCAGATTAAGGCAAGGTAAGCAGATTTATATCATCTTTACTCATATCTTCTGATAGATTTACTAAAGATGATTCCATATCTACTAAATTAGAAAGCCAGAGCTACCGCCTTAAACTGCTTGGAGTGCAAATATTCACAAAGAGGCAAAACTGTGACCCAAATTCCTGATTTTTGCTTTTGCTTCCCTTCTTCTCAGGTGCTCTCTACTAGGTAAGATTGGGAGATATTGGACTACTACTAAAATTTAGTGCTCACTTCATTCTACCTCTCAACCTCTACTTTGTCCTTAATGTTTTGCTCCTTTAATGTAGGCAGAGGTTCAAGAAACCAGGAAGATGAGTGATCATAATTTTCACGTTTTATCGTAGTGACTTATTTCATGCCTCTTTCTCCCAGTAGACTACATATTCCATGAGGGCAAAGGCCATGTTATTCATATCTAGCTAGTGCCCAGCATAAGTAACTCACTATCTGTTGAGTGAATGAGTAAACCTAATTTATTATTTTGGAATACATTTCTGTTTTAAATTTATTATTTTTTTTTAGATATGCAACCATTGTCTCCAATTTCTGTCCATGAACGCTACAGTTCTCCTACCGCAGGGAGTGCTAAGAGAAGACTCTTTGGAGAGGACCCCCCAAAGGAAATGCTTATGGACAAGATCATAACAGAAGGAACAAAATTGAAAATCGCTCCTTCTTCAAGCATTACTGCTGAAAATGTATCAATTTTACCTGGTCAAACTCTTCTAACAATGGCCACAGCCCCAGTAACAGGAACAACAGGACATAAAGTTACAATTCCATTACATGGTAACGTTATAGTGCATTTGTTTTGTACTTTTTCTGAGATAAAAATTTAAGAAATGTCTTAGTGGATTAGATCACATGGTTTTTCTAACTCATTATTTTTTCTTGAACCTATACTTTTTTTTTTTAAATAGATTTGAATTTTTTAGAGCAGTTGTAGATTCACAGCAAAATTCAGAGGAAGGTACAGACATTTCTCATAGTCCCCCTTCCCCAACCAGAGGCATATAAAGCCTCCCTCATTATCAGTATTCCACACCAGAATGCTACATTTGTTACAGTTGATGAACCTACATTACTGACACATTACCCAATGCCCATAGTTTACATTAGGGTTCACTCTTGGTGAATAGTTTATTGATTTTGAGAACGTATAATGACATGTATCTGTCACTATAGCTCCATACAGAGTAGTTTCACTGCCCTATAAATCCTCTGTGCCCCACCTTTTTGTTTTGAACCTATAGTGGTTTTTTTTTTATTTTTAAATTTTATAAATTTACTACCCTCTCTGTTTGTTTAGACTTATTTTACTTTTTCTTTTCTTCTTTTTTTATTTTTTGAGACAGGATCTCACTCTGTCACCCACATTGGAGTACAGCAGCATGATCTCATCTCACTGCAACCTCTGCTCCCAGGCTCAAGTGATCGTCCCACCTCAGCCTCCTGAGTAGCTGGGACCACAGGCAAGTGCCACCACTCCCAGCTAATTTTTTCTATTTGTGGTACAGATGAGGTTTTACCATGTTGCCCAGGTCTCAAACTACTTTTAAAATGTTCTTATCTGAGCTTTCCAATATGTATGTATTGAGCAAAAATTCTGTTTTTTGACTAACAGCTCAAGTGCTCAAAATGTTAAAAAAAAAAATGCTTTTTTTTCCAATAAATTTAAACTATAAATGTATCCCAGGCAAATACAAAATAGAGAACAAAATTTGCTTTTTTTTCCATAAATTTAAAGTATAAAAACAAAACCGAATATTCTTGTTTCTAGAAAATAAGGATTTATGCGGGGCATGGTAGCTTTCACCTGTAATCCCAGCACTTTGGGAGACCAAGGCAAGAGGATCACTTTAGCCCAGGAGTTTGAGACCCAGACTGGGCAACATAGCAATATCCTATCTCTACAAAAAATTAAATTAGCTGGGCATGGTGATGTATGCCTATGGTCCCAGCTACTTAGGAGGCTGAGGCAGGAGAATCACTTGAGCCCAGGAATTTGAGGCTACAGTGAGCCATGATCACGCTACTGTACTCCAGCCAGGACAACAGAGCAAGACATTGTCAAAAAAAAAAAGAAAAAGAAAAAAAAAAGGGGGCCCGGGGGGCGCCAGGCACAGTGGCTCACACCTATAATCCCAGCACTTTGGGAGGCTGAGGCAGGTGGATCACTTGAGGTCAGGAGTTTGAGACCAGCCTGGCCAACGTGGTGAAACCCCGTCTCTACTAAAAATAGAGAAAAAACATTAGCCGGGTGTGGTGGCGCATGCCTGTAGTCCCAACTATTCAGGAGGCTGAGGCAGGAGAATTGCTTGAACCTGGGAGGCAGAGGTCTCAGTGAGCCAAGATGAGGCCACTGCACTCCCACCTGGGTGACAGAGTGAGACTGTCTCAAAAAAAAAAAAAAAAAGTCCAGCTGCAGTGGCTCATGCCTGTAATCCTAGCATTTTGGGAGGCCAAGGCAGGCAGATGGCTTGAGCTGACGAGTTCGAGACTAACCTGGGCAACATGGCAAAACTCCCATCTCTAAAAAAAAAATACAAGCCGGGCACAGTAGCTCACTCCTGTAATCCCAGCACTTTGGGAGGCCGAGGAGGGCAGATCATGAGGTCAGGAGATCGAGACCATCCTGGCTAACATGGTGAAACCCTGTGTCTACTAAAAATATTTTAAAAATTAGCCGGGTGTGGTAGCATGTGCCTGTAGTTCCAGCTACTCAGGAGGCTAAGGCAGGAGAATTGAACCCGGGAGGCAGAGGTTGCAGTGAGCCGAGATCACGCCACTGCACTCCAGCCTGGGCGACAGAGCAAGACTCCATCTCAAAAAAAAAAAAAAAAAATTTACCAGGCATAGTGGCTTGCACCTGTAGTCTCAGCTATTTGCGGGGGTTGAAATGGGAGGATCACTTGAGCCCAGGAGGTCGAGGCCACAGTGAGCTGAGATGGCGCCACTGCACTCCAGCCTGAGTGACCAAGTGAGACCCTGTCTCAAAAAAAAAAAAAAAAAGAATTCAGTCATAACCTAGAATTACTATTTTGTAGCCTTCTTATACACACAGATATATGTATATATAATTGTCAAAATATATATAGTTGACAACTTTCCTAGAACATATGCAGATTATTTCTAATAATGCTTATACATTCAGGTGTCGCAAATGATGCTGGAGAGATCACACTGATACCTCTTTCCATGAATACAAATCAGGAGTCCAAAGTCAAGAGTCCTGTATCACTTACTGCTCATTCATTAATTGGTGCTTCTCCAAAACAGACCAATCTGACTAAAGCACAAGAGGTACATTCAACTGGAATAAACAGGCCAAAGAGAACTGGGTCCTTAGCACTATTTTACAGAAAGGTATGTGTTTTTATAGCACTTTAGAAGAATTTGTTTAATCAATGGAAGAAAGATTGAGTAACAGAGACAGACTTTGGTCTTTTTTTTTTCTAATATACATAACACAAAATTTACCATTTTAACCATTTTTAAGTGTACAGTTCAATGGTATTAAATACATTCACATTGTTGTGCAGCTTTATTACTACCGTCTATCTCCAGAACTTTTTCGTCTTCCCATTCTGAAATTCTGTATCCATTTCTCCCTTTCCCCAGCTTCTGGCAACTACTATTCTACTTTCTGTTTCTGTGAATTTGACTACTCTAGGTTCTTCCTATGAGTGAAGTCATACGATATTTGTTTGTTTTTGTGACTGGCTTAGCGTAATGTCTTCTAGGTTCATTCATATTATAGCTTGTGCCAGAATTTCCTTCCTTTTCAAGGCTGAATAATATTCCATTGTATGAAGAAGAGAAAAAAAGAACAAAAGAAAAAATATTCCATCATATGAATATACTTTTTTTTAATACCACATTTTGTTTATTCATTCATCTGCTGATGGGCATTTGGGTTGCTTCTACCTTTTGGCTATTGTGAGTTATGCTGCTATGAACATTTGTGTACAGGTGTCTGTTCAAACCAGGCGTGGTTGCTCATGCCTGTAAACCCAGCACTTTATGAGGCCGAGGCAGGAGGATCACTTGAACCCAGGGGTTTGAGACCACCCTGGGCGACACAGTGAGACCCTATCTCTATTTTAAAAAAAAAAAAAAAAAAAAGCAGCCAGGTATGGTGGCAGATGCCTATAGTCTTGGCTATTTTGGAGGCTGAGGTGGGAGGATCACATGAGCCCAGGAGGTTGAGGCTACAGTGAGTCGAGATCACACCACTGCGCTCCAGCCTGGGCAACAGAACGAGGCCCTGTCTTAAGAAGAAAAAAAAATAGCAACAAATATCTATTCAAGTCTCTGCTTTCAATTCCTTTGGGTATATTCCCAGAAATGGGAGAGTAATTTAGTATTTCATTTTCTGAGGAACCACCGTACCATTTTCCACAGTGGGTGGACCATTTTACATTACCACTAGCAAGGCACAAGTGTTCCAAGTTCTTCTCATCGTTGCCAACGTTTCGTGTTTTCTGGTTTGTTTGTTTTTTTGATAATGGCCATCCAATGGGTATAAAGAGACATCTTACTATAGTTTCAATTTTCATTTCCCTAATGATTAGTAATATTGAGTATCTTTTCATGTGCTTTTGCCCATCTATATATCTTCATTATAGAAATGTCTATTCGAGTCTTTTGCCCATTTTTTTAATTATGAGTTTTGGGTTTTGTTTTTGTTAAATTGTAGGAGTTCTTTATGTATTCTAGATATTAATCTCCTATAAAATATACTATTTACAAGTATTTTCTCCCATTCTGTGGGTTGCCTTTTCATTCCGTTGATAGTGTTCTTGACACATGAAAGTTTTTAATCTTAATAAAGTCAATTTATTCTTTTCATTTTTTGTCTGTGCTTTTGGTGTCATACACAAGAAATCATTGCCAAATCCAGTATTATAAAACTTTTCCCCTATGTTTTCGTCTAAGAGTTTTATAGTTTTTAGCTCTTATATTTATTATGTCTATTTTTTTTTGAGACAGAGTCTCACTTTATCACCCAGGCTGGAGTGCAGTCACGCAGTCACAGCTCACTGCAGCCTCCGCCTCCCAGGTTCAGATGATCCTCCCACCTCGACCCTCTGAGCAGCTAGGACTACAGGCATGTGCCACCATGCCCAGCTAATTTTCGTTTTTTGGGTTTTTTGTTTTTGTTTTTTTTTTTTTTGAGACAGAGTCTCACTCTGTTGCCCAGGCTGGAGTGCAGTAGCGCAATCTCGGCTCACTGCAACCCCTGCCTCCCGGGTTCAAGCAATTCTCCTTTCTCAGCCTCCTGAGTAGCTGGGACTACAGGAATATGCCACCACGCCTGGCTAATTTTTGTATTTTTAGTAGAGACGAGGTTTCACCGTGCTGGTTTGGCTGGTTTCAAACTACTGACCTCAGGTGATCCACCCACCTTGGCCTCCCAAAGTGCTGGGATTACAGGTGTGAGCCACCACGCCGGGCCTGTTTTTGAACTTTTTTGTAGAGACGGGGTTTCACCATGTTGCCCAGGCTGGTCTCAACTCGTGAGCTTAAGTGATCTGCCCACCTCAGCCTCCCAAAGTGCTGGGATTACAGCCGTGAGCCACCACGCCCAGCCCATTTTAATTTTTGTATATGGTGTTAGATAAGGGTCTAAAGTCATTCTTTTGCACATGGATATCCATTTTTCCCAGCACGATTTGTTGAAAGACTGCCCTTTCCCATTGAATGAGCTTAGAATCCTTGTTGAAAAGTCACTTGAGCATAGATATGGGGGTTTAATTCTGGGCTCTCTATTCTATTCATTGGACTATATGTCTATCTGTATTCAGTACCACACTGTTTTGATAACCATAGCTTTGTGTCATAAGTTTTAAAATCAGGAGGTGTGAGACCTCCAACTTTGTTTTTCTTTCTTAAGATTGTTTTAGCTATTTAAGATTTCTTGAGAGTCTGTATGAGTTTTAGGATGGATTTTTCTCTTTCTGCAAAAACATTGTGGAATTTTGACAGAGATTGCATTGAATATGGAGATCGCATTGGCTAGTGTTGACATCTTAAGAATGTCAAGTCTTCCAGTCCATGATCATAGGATGTCTTTTCATTTGCGTCTTCTTTAATTTCTTTCAGCAACATTTTGTAGTTTTCTGTATATGTCTTTTGCAAGACAAGTCCTTGCTTAAGATTATTCCTAAGTATTCTTTTTGATGCTATTGTAAGTAATAAGTAAGTAGAATTGTCTTAATTTCATTTTTTAGATTGTTCATTAATGTAAAGGAACACAAGAGATGTTGTTGTATTGATTTTCTTGCAGCTTTGCTGATTTGTTTATTAATTCTATCAGTTTTTATGGATTCTTTAGGTTTTTTGAGTTTTCCATACACAAGATTATGTCATCTGTGAACAAAGATAATTTTACTTCTTTCTTTGCAATTTGGATTTCTTTTTCCTGCCTTATTGCTCTAGCTAGGAATTCCCGTTCTATGTTGAATAAAAGTGGTGAAAGCAAACATCCTTGTCTTACTCCTGATCTTAGAGGAACACCTTTCAGGTTTTCAATTTGAGTATGATGTTAACTGTGGGTTTTTTATATACAGTTGACCCTTGAACAACATGTTTTTGCACTGTACAAGTCCACTTATATACAGATTTTTTTCAGCCAACACAGAATGAAAATACAGTATTTGAGGGATGTGAAACCTGTGTATATAGAGGGCCATCTTTTTGTACATGGGGATTCTACAGGGCCAAATGCAGGACTTGAGTATGCATACATTCAGGTATATGCAGGGGCTCCTGGAAGAAATCTCCTGTGTATACCAAGGGATTACTGTATATCCTTTATTATGTTTAGGTAGTTTCCTTCTCTTCCTAGCTTTTTGAGTATTTTTATCATGAAAGGGTGTTAAATTTTGTCAAATGCTTTCCTGTATCACTTGAAATGATTATGTGGCCATTTTCCCTTTGTCCTTTTAATATGGTGTGTTATACTGAATGATTTCCTTGTTTTAAATTATCCTTACCTTCTAAAAATAAGTTCTACTTGGTCATGGTGTATAACCCTCTTCATATGCTGTTGAATTTGTTTTACTAGTATTTAGTTGAGGATTTTTGCGCCAATATTCGTAAGAGATAGTGGTCTGTATTTTTTCTTATGCTTTCTTTGTCTGGCTTTGCTATCAAGTAATGTACCTTTAGCCACTTAAAAAATACATTTGACCTTTCAAGAGAACATTATGATCCTGGTGAGCTATAAGTTTAGACTCAGGCTCACAGGGTTTGATTCTGTTTTCAGATCTAACTTATGTTTTTTGCCAGCTTGTATTCTTTTCTAACTTTGAGTAAGTAGTTGGCCAGCCTCTGGAATTTACTGAAACTCTTTTGTGTTATGTTGCCGTAGAATGGAGTTCACTGTGGGACAAATACATGTTGGATCTCATGGGTGAATTTTAATTAGCGAAGAATCATTCTAAAGATTGCTGGGATACTGTGAGAAGGCTATATATTTTTTATTATTATTATTTTTAGAGACAAGGTCTTGCTCTGTTACCCAAGCTACAGTGCAGTGGCATGATCATGGCACACTGTAGCCTTGAACTCCTGGGTTCAAGTGATCCTCCCTCTTTGACCTCCCAAAGCACTGGGATTACTGTGTGAGTCACCACCCAAGCCATTATTTATTTATTTATTTTTGAGACAGTCTTACTCTGTCTACCAAGCTGGAATGCAGTAGCGTGATCTCGGCTCACTACAGCTTCTGTCTCCCAGGTTCAAGCGATTCACCTGCCTCACCCTCCCAAGTAGCTGGGACTATAGGTGTCCACCACCACACCTGGCTAATTTTTGTATTTTTAGTAGAGACGTGGTTTCACCATATTGGCCAGCCTGGTCTCAAACTCCTGACCTCAGGTGATCTGCCCACCACAGCCTCCCAAAGTGCTGGGATTACAGGCATGCGCCACCATGCCCAGCTGTTACTCATAATTTTTATTATAAATCTAGGCCAGGCATGGTGGCTTATGCCTGTAATCTCAGTATTTTCAGAGGCCAAGCCAGGAGGGTTACTTGAGGCTTGCAGTTCAAGACCAGCCTGGGCAACATAGCGAGACCCAGTCTCTACCAAAAAATTAAAAAATTAGCCAGCATAGTGGCCCATGCCTGTAGTCCCAGCTACTCAGGAGGCTGAAGTGGGAGGATAACATGAGCCCATGATTTCGAGGCTGCAGTGAGCTAAGAAGGTGCTACTACACTCCAGCCCAAGCAACAGAGTAAGATCCCGTCTCCAAAACTCAAAAATAAATAAAATAAATCTAATGTGTTACCCTTTAAATTAGCATATGACCAGTTCTTATTATAATGCCTAAATTATTTTAATATTAATGGAAAGGGACTAAAAACGGTTGACCTTAGACATAACTTGAATTTGTCCTATCTCTTACGAGCACATTTTGAATCATCAGCTTCTGATAAGATAGACATGTTAATCAGATATTTATAACCAAACATGACTGCAGTGCATCCCACAGCTAGATGGTTGGCTAGCCCATTCTATTGCCCAGGTTGGAGTACAGTGACTATTCACAGGCACAGTTATAGCACGCTAGAGCCCAAACTCCTAGGCTCAAGTGATCCTCTTTCATTACCCTCCGAGTACCTGGGTCTACAGGCAAATTTAAGTGTATTTCTCTACTAATCATTCTTTTTTTATTATTATTTTGAGACAGGGTCTTGCTCTGTCGCCCAGACTAGAGTGCATAGGCACGATCATGTCTCACTGCAGTCTACCTCCCAAGCTCAAGAGATCCTCCTGCCTCCTGAGTAGTAGGACCACAGGCATGCACCACCCCACCCAGCTAAATTTTTTTTTTTTTTGGTAGAAATGGAGTCTCGCTGTGTTTCCCAGGTTCATCTTGAACTCCTGGGCTCAAGCGATCCTCCCACCTCAGCCTCCCAAAGTGCTGGGATTACAACAGGTGTGAGCCACCATGCCCAACTAATTGTTCTTGTAATAATTTTTTGGTTTTTTTTTGTTGTTTTTTTTTGTTGTTTTTTTTTAAGATGGAGTCTCACTCTGTCACCAGGCTGGAGTGCAGTGGTGCAATCTCAGCTCACTGCAACCTCTGACTCCCTAGTTCAAGCAATTCTCTGCCTCAGCCTCCCGAGTAGCTGGGATTACAGGGACGCACCACCATGCCCAGCTAATTTTTTTATTTTTAGTAGAGACAGGGTTTCACCACGTTGGCCAGAACAGTCTCGATCTCCTGACCTAGTGATCCACCACCTCAGCCTCCCAAAGTACTAGTATTACAGGTGTGAGCCACTGCGCCCAGCCTAATAATTTTTTTTTTTTTTGAGATGGAGTCTTGCTCTGTCACCCAGGCTGGAGTGCAGTGGCACGATCTTGGCTCACTGCAACCTCTGCCGCCCGGGTTCAAGCAATTCTCCTGCCTCAGCCTCCTGAGTAGCTGGGATTACATGTGTGTGCCACCACACCCGGCTAATTTTTGTATTTTTAGTAGAGATGGGATTTCATCATCTTGGCCAGGCTGATCTTGAACTTCTGACCTCGTGATCCACCCGTCTTGGCCTCTCAAAGTGCTGGGATTACAGGCATGAGCCACTGCGCCCGGCAATAATTTTTTATATGTCCTTTTTTCTCTATGCTAAATAAATCTTCTTTAATTTATACTCTTCCTCAATCATGTTTTTCTCCATTCTTTTGTCACTTGATGTCATGGAAGGTCTCAGCCCACACTCTGAATTAGATAATTTTACATTAAGATAAAACATGAGGATTATTTTTTACATTTTTATATCAAATCCTATTTCTTTCACAGTACCTCTAATGTGTTTTCTGACCTCGGGCATAGTGATTATCTATTTATTTCTTAGATTTCAGTTTAGCTGTTTGAAAATAATAGTAGCTTAAACAAGAGAATTTATCTTTCACATAAAGTCTGTGTAAATAGTATGGGACTGCTGTGGTTACCACGACCATTAAGAACCCAGGTCCTGGCCAGGTCGGTGGCTCACGCCTATAATCCTAGCACTTTGGGAGGCCAAGACGGGCGGATCATGAGGTCAGGAGTTCGAGACCATCCTGGCTAACATGGTGAAACCCCATCTCTACTTAAAATACAAAAAAATTACCCAGGCATGGTAGCAGGCACCTGTAGTCCTAGCTACTCGGGAGGCTGAAGCAGGAGAATGGCGTGAACCTGGGAGGCGGAGGTTGCAGTGAGCCGAGATCACGCCACCGCACTCCAGCCTGGGTGACAGAGCAAGACTCCATCTCAAAAAAAAAAAAAACCCAGGTCCCTTCAAGGTTTTTTTGGCCATTTTCAACACAAGGTTTCTAACTCAGTCCATGATGACTGCTTCCCTTCCAGATATCATATCTGCATTCTAGCCAGCAGAAAGAAAAAGAGCATGCCTCCTCACCTTCAGAACCTGTCCTAGAAGTTACATACACCAATGCTGTTTATTTCCCACTTAGTCATATAGCCACTTGTAGAATGTTTTTTTTTTTCTTTTTGGAGACAAGGTCTTGCTCTGTCACCCGTGCAGGGGTGCAGTGGCAAGATCATGGCTCACTGCAGCCTCAACCTCCCGGGCTCAAGCGATCCTCTCACCTCAGCCTCCTGAGTAGCTGGGACTATAGGCACAGGCTACCACACCCAGCTTATTTTTTAATTTTTTGTAGAGAAGGGGTTTCGCTATGTTGCTTAGGATGGTTTCAAACTCCTGGACTCAACCAGTCCGTCCACCTCACCCTCCCAATGTGCTGGGATTACAGATGTGAGCCACCGTGCCCAGGCAGAATTTTCAAAGGGGCAAATATAGTCTTTATTACAGGAAGGTGGGTGTAAATGTTAAGGGTTCTGTTATTGCAGAAGAGGAGACAGACACTGGAAAACAACTCATTTATAGCTTCTACAACCATTCTTTGTCTTCTGTTCCTTTCAATTATAGCTCATTTATTTTCATTACATTGTGGGTTTTGGAGCAACTGATTCTCCAAGGAATTTCATCTTTTAGGGAAATCCCTTCTTTGAATGAAATAGTCTTCAGAAGTATAAACAAAATATATGAAAGCAGAGCTGCTTTGGTTGGCAGTTGGGATGGTTGAGGGAGAGTCTTGCTCTTTTCACCACCTTTACTGGCTTCTCTCCTCTGTCCCTTCACCCCCTCCTATGCCTAAGGACTGTTTTAACAACAGAGCTTGAAAATATAGCAGTTTCCCCATTTACTTACCATTTTTAATTTTCAAAATGGCAAATTATTGCCTCTGATAATTAACCTAAGTTTGACAGAAATAAGACTTTTTGGTGAATTCTTTATTTTGAATGTTGTTTTAGAATCTAACATCCTTTTCCTTTCATTTAATTATAACCTGCTCATAGATTAGAAGCTAGAAAATATAAAAGGAACTGAAATGTCTGAATCTATAATAAATTCAAAATAACCATTCATTGAGTAAATTATAACGATTATCTATGCTGAACTCAGTGTGATGCTGGTGTTCTATGCCTAAATAGAATTTACTGTGAATGTTAGAATCAAAAGCCTTCCAGCGTATGTGTATCCTGTAAGCATTGGATCAGCTCTGTAAAAGATACTTTACCAAGTATTACTTAACTACATATTATTTTTAATTATTCTAGCTAGGACTATATATCTTATCTTCTCCTTTCATGAATATAAAGTTCTAGCATCTTTCTCTCTGCTCTTACCCTACTATTTACTGAGCATGGCTGGACCAGAAACAAGGGGAGAGGATGCAGAAAATTTGTTTGCTGTAAAATAAATCACTGGTGGCTTTGGAGTCAACTGTTTGTCTCTCTTTATATTAGATCACTGAGTAGCTTAAATTAGTTTTTAAGCTCGGTTTGTAGGTATTTTTCTGCCAAAGATAATTTTCTGTAAGGGGTAACTTTTTTTTTCCATCTGGAAATTTAAAGACATAGTTTGGGCCAGGCGCAGTGACTCATGCCTGTAATCCCAGCACTTTGGGAGGCCGAGGCCAGCAGATCACCTGAGCTCAGGAGTTCGAGACCACCCTAGGCAACATGGTGAAACCCCATCTCTACTCAAATACAAAAAAAAAAAAATTAGCCAGGCGTGGTGGCACTTGCCTGTAGTCCCAGCTACTCGGGAGGCTGAGACACAAGCATCACTTGAGCCCGGAGGTGGAGGTTGCAGTGAGCCAAGATCATGCCACTGCACTCCAACTTAGGCTACAGAGTGAGACTCCGTCTCAAAAAAAAAAAAAAAAAAATAGTTTGAATAGAATAGTCTGGTTTAGGAATACCACATCACGGTTATCAAGTCTTAAAATAAAAAAACAATCTTGCAGGATCTAGGGCCAGGGAATTGAACTGAATTTATTTTCACAGGCTTTAAAAAAAACAACAACTTTGTATCTTACTTATTTTAACATTCCTGTTTCGTTCCCATTGTGCTCCTAAAAAGTGTAGAATATAGGAGCAATTTTTTAAATGGTTTTGCTTTCTGACTCATTTTTGGAGTCAAATATTTCATTTATTATTTGGCATGTTAGACCCCCTAGCAATTTTACCTGAACCCAAAGAGAATAGACAGAGACTTCTGAGCTTTGAAAAATTATGCATTCGAGCCGGGCACAGTGGCTCACACCTGTAATCCCAGTACTTTGGGAGGCTGCAGTGCATGGATTACTTGAGGTCAAGAGTTAAAGACCAGCCTGGCCAACATGATGAAGCCCTGTCTCTACTAAAAATACAAAAATTTAGCTAGGCGTGGTGGCATGCACCTGTAAGCCCAGTTACTCGGGAGGCTGAGGCAGGAGAATTGCTTGAATGCAGAAGGCAGAGGTTGCAGTGAGCCAAGATTGTGCCACTGCACTCCAGCCTGGGTGACAGAGCGAGAATCCACCTAAGAAAAAAAAAAAAGGAAAAATTATATGTTCATAATTGTCATGATGCAGGTAAATCCTATATTTCATTTTTTCTTACTTTACATAGTTGGCAGCATAGAGTAATAGATGACATCTTTAAAAAATTTTTTCAAGTAGTTTTGCTTTAATCTATATCCTCCTGCCATAGCAGTGAACTAGTGCTATAGAACAGAAATTTTATTTAATTTAGTATATCAACAGCCTATGTTTTTTAATCTTGGTCTTGGTAAGACATAAAAATTTGAGAAATGATTTACTTGGTGTTTTGCATCAATGTGTTACCTTCTATTTTAGGTCTATCATTTGGCAAGTGTACGCTTACGTGATCTATGTCTAAAACTGGATGTTTCAAATGAGTTACGAAGGAAGATATGGACGTGTTTTGAATTCACTTTAGTTCACTGTCCTGATCTAATGAAAGACAGGCATTTGGATCAGCTCCTCCTTTGTGCCTTTTATATCATGGCAAAGGTAATGTATAAATTGGGAGAAGAGGCTGGGCATGGTGGCTCACACGTATAATCCTAGCACTTTCGGAGGTCAAGGTGAGCAGATAGCTTGAGCCCAGGATTTCGAGACCAGCTTGGGCAACATGGTGAAACCTCATCTCTATAAAAAATATAAAAATCAGCTGGGCATTGTGGCTTGCACCTATAGGCCCAGCTACTTGGGAGACTGAGGTGGGAGGATCTCTTGAGCCCAGGAGGCCAAGGCTGCAGTGAGCCGAGATCATGACACTGTACCTCAGCCTGGGCAATAGAGCAAGACCCTGTCTCAAGAAAAATAAAAGTTTCTGTACCATATCGCATATTGCTTTCTCGTGATTTATTGTGCTGCCTCAGAAGAGCATTTTACTTTCTAGTTGCTACAACGTGTTTTAAGTCATGGAATAACATATCTTGCTTGTTTTTTAAAATTCTCATATATCTGATACAATCATTTGTCTTGACTGTACTGGCCACACTGGCAGTCCTAGCAGATGTATACAGTTAAGACTTGATTTTTCAGCTTTTTGAGACAGAGCATATGTTTTTAAACTCCTTTGTGACCCCTCCTCCCACAATGCCTCTTTGAAATCTCTGTAAAAAATAGGTCTTAATAATTGTTACTGCAGCACTATGGTGGTTGACGAGAAAATGCACCATACAAAAGGCAACAAAAAGGGAGCAAAGAAGAAAATGGTTGATTCATTTTTTAAGAAAGATTGGTTTGATGTAAAAAAGCACCGACTATGTTCAATACAAGAAATACTGGAAAGACACTAGTTACCAGGACTCAAGGAACCAAATTGCATCTGATAGCTTCAAGAGTCATGTGTTTGAAGTGTATCTTGCTGATTTGCAGAATGATGAAGTTGCAGTTAGAAAACTCAACCTGAAGGGCCGGGCGCAGGCTCATGCCTGTAATCCCAGCACTTTGGGAGGCCAAGGCAGGCAGATCACGAGGTCAGGAGATCAAGACCATCCTGGCTAACACAGTGAAACGCTGTCTCTACTAAAAATACAAAAATTAGCTGGGCATGGTGGCACGCGCCTGTAGTCCTAGCTACTCGGGAGGCTGAGGCAGGAGAATCACTTGAAACCGGGAGGCAGAGGTTGCAGTGAGCCAAGATCATGCCACTGCACTCCAGCCTGGATGACAGACTGAGACTCTATCTCAAAAAAAAAAAAAAGAATTAAAAAATTAAAAGATAAATGTTACTAACTAATCGTGTGTTTTCCAGAAGACTGTTAGAGTTCAGGCTTTGCCATTTCTAGCTCATCATTATAGAGAACAGGTTTAGCACTAATGGACAGTGAAGCAGGGGAAAAGAGTGACTTAAGTGAAGTTTATGATCACAGAGATCCCAGAAGGAATTCCTTTTTGGATCACTAATCCATTTTCTTCCTTTTGGCCACCACTGTGACTTCTGTCTAAGCATTAGAAACCCTACAGTCTGTCCTGAAATGTTAAAACCTAATCCTGTAATAGCCACTCAGTTTGATTGAGAATCATCACTGTAAGATATTTTTAATCCTTCGTATGTGGTTAATTTACTTTTAAGTAAGTACTTAAAAATTAATAAAACTGGAGACTGCAGGGAATTAAACAGATCTGAGTTTTCTTATATCTTTTTTTATATAAAGAAATGGATTTTCAGTAGAGTCACACCATAGCAGTTTCACTGCTTTTTGATTAATGAAACTATTAAGTGAGTCCCCACAGGCCACAAAGCCTGAACTTTAAAGGTAGAAAAAATCATAAATGTTAGTGGTTTTTAGTCATGGACTGGCCTGGGGTTAATGGTTTTCTGCAAGGTTGCTCTCAGTGCCAACTTATAATTGAAGTTTTGTTCAGAGCCATTTTTCTTTCAAAAAGCAGTTGATAAATGCGGTTTTTATTTTCCTTAGGTAACAAAAGAAGAAAGAACTTTTCAAGAAATTATGAAAAGTTATAGGAATCAGCCCCAAGCTAATAGTCACGTGAGTTACATTATTTTTCCTACTGTCCAAAAATAGATTTACTCTTTTCCACTGACAAGTTATATAAAAGGTAAACTTATTTTATAGTTTTAATATACTTCAGATTTTCTGTTTTAATGGATAACATTAAACTCAAGAGATAATTTCATTGAAGGACAGTTTCAATAGAAGCCAGGAAGTCTGACTGTTTCCGACTCATCCATATACTTTCATATACTTCTCATAAGTTCTGCCATTCCATTTGTTCATTTAATGAAAGATATGTATAATGGCTGGGTGCGGTGTCTCACGCCTGTAATCCCAGCACTTTGGGAGGTGGAGGCAGGTGGATTACCTGAGGTCAGGAGTTCGAGACCAGCCTGGCCAATATGGTAAAACCCTGTCTCTACTAAAAATACAAAAATTAGCCAGGCGTGGTGTCACACGCCTATAATCCCTGCTACTCGGGAGGCTGAGGCAGGAGAATTGATTGAGCCCAGGAGGCAGAGGTTGCGGTGAGCCAAGAGCATTCCACTGCACTCCAGCCTGGCCGACAGAGCGAGACTCTGTCTCAAAAAAAAAAAAAAAAAAGTTATGTATAATAATAATAATATTCTTTAATTATATGACTTTATTTTTTAATGATATTTAAACCCAGTGAAATTTGAGGATTCATTAACCTAACTACAGCTTCTTTTGCCATCTGCTAAGCATCCTAATGTTTGCATCTTTGAATAGATGTTAAACATTTCTGATTATATTGTTCTGACCGTGGTGAAAATTCCATGAAACCTTTCAGTCATGGTAGCAGAGTGGACTGGCACACAATAAGCATTTAATGAATGTTCATGTCATATTGTTGTTATTATTGTACCTGAAGAACACAAGTAAATTACCTTAAGGGTTTGATCATTCAAGAACCTAGTTGCTCTGCTCTTAGGAAGCATAATGGCCTCTTCTCTGGCCCTGGAAATTGTAGACAGAAAGAGAGAGGTAGTGGCCTAGACTGCAGACCAAAATAGAGATGTGGCCTCAGTATTAGTAGTTATATCCCCTTCTAAGAGAGCTTTGTTTAAGCCCTAAAATACATTATAGCAAGCAATATAGAGACATTTGAAGAACCAAGTACAGGTATTTGTTATATCCTGTGATAAGCTAAGAGTTTCTGGGCTTCTTCAGGAAAATCCCTCAGGAACAGAGCCTAGAAAGCTCTAGATTGTCCTTGAAGATCATTAAGGTGAGGTTAGTGTGAGTCAAGAATGGGCCAAGCCATGGTTCCCTGAATATCTTCTTAATACCAGTAACCTATAATACAGTACAAGGGGGAATGGATCATGCCTTTCCAGCTATCTCAGAGGTGAGAAATAGTTTAGGGGCAGGGAAGGGAAAAGATTTTCATGTGGCCATCTGAAAGGAGATGGGAATGGGCTGGGGGCAGAAAAACAAGCTGCATTAAGAACAAATGACTCTGGTCCAGGCGCAGTGGCTCACGCCTGTAATCCCACCAGTTAAGGAGGCCAAGGCAGACAGATTGCCTGAGCCCAGGAGGTCAAGGCTACAGTGAGCCATGATTGTGCCACTGCACTCCAGTCTGAGCCATAGAGTGAGACCCTGTCTCTAAAAAAAAAAAGAAAAAAAAGACCAATTGATTGTTGTGTAAGGAATTAAGAAGAAGGAGGAATTAATTCAGGTCTTTTGTTTTTTGTTTGTTTGTTTTATTTTGTTTTGTATTTGAGCAGAGTCTTGCTCTGTTGTCCAGGCTGGAGTGCAGTGGTGCGATCTCAGCTCAATGCAACCTCCACCCACTGAGTTCAAGCAGTTCTGCCTCAGCCTCCCTAGTAGCTGGAATTACAACTGTGCGCTACCACACCCAGATAATTTTTGTATTTTTAGTAGAGATGGGCTTTCACCATGTTGGCCAGCTGGTCTTGAACGCCTGGCCTCAAGTGATCCACCCACCTCAGCCTCCCAAAGTGCTGGGATTACAGGTGTGAGCCACTGCACCTGACCAAATTCAGGTCTTTAAAGTTGCTTTCATTTAGTAAAACCTGATCATCAGTCTTTAGTTGCTATTTCTTCTGTTTTATAAACTAAGCCCATCTTAGATGGTAGGCTCTTCTCCAGTATCCCCTCTTTTATGGTATGTGTTATAATCTATACTTACTAGAGCTAATAACATTTTACCCTTGAGTATCACTTATACAGACAAATAGTTTTTAATTGGTTTGATATTTTGCTCTTCTCACTTTGATTTTGTTTAACCTGTACCTCTGTGACTGAGCTGTCCTTTTCTTCCCCTCTGGCATGTAGGTATATAGAAGTGTTCTGCTGAAAAGTATTCCAAGAGAAGTTGTGGCATATAATAAAAATATAAATGATGACTTTGAAATGATAGATTGTGGTAAGTTATCCAATTTAACATATTATATGTAAAACACATTGGATCACACTGTACATAATACAGTGGGTGTCAGACAACATGGAAATGTGAATCATAAGGAGGTGAGGTGGACAATGCATATGTTTTGAAAACAAATAAGTTTGAGATTAGAATGTGCTGGTATAGTTTATTGAAACCATTAATTTGTCCCCTGTTAATTGTGTTTTGGAAGAAGTTTTCTAGTCTACTTATACATGTTAATGAAACACGTAAAAGAGACTTAATAAAATTCTAAAATCTGAATGACAGGGAAAACAAGGTAGCTGACAGTAATCTTCCCGAGGAGTCTGTTAAGAAAATGTCCCGGCTGGGCATGGTGGCTCACACCTGTAATTCCAGCACTTTGGGAGGCCAAGGCGGGTGGATCACGAGTTCAAGAGATCAAGGCCATCCTGGCCAACATGGTGAAACCCCATCTCTACTTAAAAAAAAAATACAAAAATTAGCTAGGTGTGGTGGTATACGCCTGTAGTCCCAGCTACTCAGGAGCCTGAGGCAGGAGAATCGCTTGAAACCAGGAGGCGGAGGTTGCAGTGAGCTGAGATCACGCCACTGCACTCCAGCCTGGCGGCAAAGTGAGACTCTGTCACACACACACACACACACACACACACACACAAGAAAATGTCCTGTTCATATAAGTATTACTTATAGGTAATTCTGCTACCACAGGCAAGACTGCACCCTCTTGCCACCATCATGCTAAGACTTCAGGCACTAGTAATCTTTTTTTTTCAAAGAAAGAAAAATCAAATGGTTAGTATTCATACACCTCTTCTGCCTACCTCCTTTCCCTTGTCTCATCTTTCCATGTATTTCAGGTGTATGTAATATATACATGTGTATATACTATGATTTTTTTTTTTTGAGATAGGGTTTTGTTCTGTCACCTACACTGAAGTGCAGTGGTATGATCATGACTCACTGCAGCATGGACATCCCAGGCTCAATCAATCCTTCCACCTCAGCCTCCCGAGTAGCTGGAACTGCAGGCATGCACCATCACCCTGGCGAATTTTTATATTTTTTGTAGAGACGGGATTTTGCCATGTTTGCTCAGGCTGGTCTCGAAATCGTGAGCTCAAGTGATCCGCCCACCTTGGCCTCCCAAAGTACTAGGATTACAGGCATGAGCCACTGTGCTAAGCCTAGGTACTGTGATTTCTTTAATGCCACAGTGTGAGACATTTAGGTCATTTCTCCTTTTCTTGTCTCGTCTTGTCTCGTCTCGTCTCGTCTTCTCTCCTCTCCCCTCTCCTCTCCTCTCCTTTCCTCTCTTCTTCCCATCCCCATCCCCCTCCTCTCCCCCTCCCCTGCCCTCCTTTCTCTTTTATTTTTTCTTTTCTTTTCTTTTCTGAGACAGGATCTTACTCTGTTACCCAGGCAGGCATGCAGTGGCACAATCATGGCTCACTGCAGCCCTGACCTCCGGTGCTCCTTTCATCTCAGTCTTGTGCCACACCCAACTAATTTTTTGTAGAGGTGGGATTTTGCCATGTTGCCCAGGCTGGTCTCCAACTCCTGGGCTCAAGCAGTCTCCCTACCATGGCCTCCCAAAGTGCTGGGATGACAGGTGTAAGCCACCATGCCTGGCCAGGTTGCTTCTAATTATGCACAGCTCTGTGATGAGCATCATTTGTAGCTTAATCTTTAGGCCACATCCTTAGGATAAATTCTTAAGAGAAAATCTGATGAATTAAAGCAAATTTTTAAATTATAAAAATATCCATAATCATTATGGTGTCCACTGGGATATAAACTTTTAAGATTTCATTCACCAAAAAGATCTTTTAATAATGTCCTAGAATCTGACTCCGTTTGAGGATAATAGGCCAAACTCAATTCTTTTTACATAAGTGTATTATTCTGGAGCCTTTTCAAGGCAACGAGGAGTATATAAGACAGTAACCCTAGCCGGGTGTGGTGGCTCACACCTGTAATCCCAGCACTTTGGGAGGCCAAGGTGGGTGGATCATCTGAGGTCAGGAGTTCGAGACCAGCCTGGCCAACATGGCGAAACCTTGTCTCTACTAAAAATACAAAAATTAGCTGGGCATGGTGGTGAGCACCTGTAATCCCAGCTACTTAGGAGGCTGAGGCACAAGAATTGCTTGAACCCAGGAGGCAGAGGTTGCAGTGAGCCAAGATCACACCACTGCACTCCAGCCTGGGTGACAGCGTGAGACTCCATCTCAAGAAAAAAAAAAAAAAAAAAAAACCGCTGGGCACGGTGGCTCACGCCTGTAATCCAGTACTTTGGGAGGCCGAGGCGGGTGGATCACAAAATCAGGAGTTCAAGACCAGCCTGGCCAAGATGGTGAAACCCGTCTCTACTAAAACTACAAAAATTACCAGGTGCAGTGGCAGACACCTGTAATCCCAGCTACTCAGGAGGCTGAGGCAGGAGAATCACTTGAACTTGGGCGGCAGAGGTTGCAGTGAGCCAAGATCCTGCCACTGCACTCCAGTCTGGGCGACAGAGCTAGACTCTATCTCAAAAAAACAAACAAGCCCGGGTGCGGTGGCTCACGCCTGTAATCCCAGCACTTTGGGAGGCCGAGGCAGGTGGATCATGAGGTCAGGAGATCCAGACCATCCTGGCTAACACGGTGAAACCTCGTCTCCACTAAAAATACAAAAAATTCTCCGGGCGTGGTGGCGGGCGCCTGTAGTCCCAGCTGCTCCAGAGGCTGAGGTAGGAGAAGGGCATGAGCCCAGGAGGTGGAGCTTGCAGTGAGCGGAGATCGCGCCACTGCACTCTACCCTGGGCGACAGAGTGAGACTCCATCTCAAAAAAAAAAAACAACAACAAAAAAAGCCATTTTCTATATTTGTTATACATGTTGCTTACCTATCCAGGGTGGTTTTTCTGTTCCTACAAAACCAGACATCAGAGGTTAGCTAGAAAGCTGTGGATCACTTGCCTGTTTTGTGTTTTTTCTATGAGAAACTAACTGCTAGCAAGTATCTGAGCTACAAGAGCAGTGAAGTTCCAGAGAGTAGAAGTAAGCAAAAGATAATAGACGATGTCGTTTTCTGTTTTGTTTTCTTTTTGATAAGTATCTGCCAAAGAAACTTGGGTGACTGAGAGTTTGCCACTTCCTGTATATATAGGTTTCAGATCAAATTCTGCTACACAATTTCTTTCTTTCTTTCTTTTTTTTTTTTTTTTTTTTGAGATACAGTCTCACTCTTGTTGCCCAGGCTGGAGTGCAATGGTGCGATCTCGGCTCACTGCAACCTCCGCCTCCCAGGTTCAAGTGATTCTCCTGCCTCAGCCTCCCGAGTAGCTGGGATTACAGGCACCTGCCACCAGGCCCAGCTAATTTTTGTATTTTTAGTAGAGATGGGGTTTTGCTATGTTGGCCAGGCTGGTCTTGAACTCCTGATCTCAGGTATTCCACCCGCCTTGGCCTCCCAAAGTGCTGGGATTACAGGCGTCAGCCACTGCACCTGACCTTTTGTTTGTTTGTTTTGAGACCATGTCTTGCTCTGTCACCCAGGCTGGAGTACAGTGGCACAGTCACAGCTCACTGCAGCCTTGACCTCCCAGGCCCGAGTGATTCTCGACTCAGCCACGTCCTGGCTAATTTTTATATTTTTTGTAGAGATGGGGTTTCACCATGTTGCCAAGGCCAGTCTTGAACTCCTGGGTTCAAGTGATCCATCTGCCTTGGCCTCCCAAAGTGCTGGGATTACAGGCGTGAGTCACCGCACACTGCCTTACATACGGTTATTAACTAGATATATTTATTAGCAAGTAAGCAAACAACCATTGTTACAGATCCTGTACAGTGGTGGTGGCACAGGGCAGGGAGAATATCCAGTGATAATGAACTCAGGAATTCTGGCACTCAAAAAGAGAGAACACAGTGGCTTACATCTACAATCCCAGCACTTTGGGAGGCCAAGCCAGGAGGGTGGCTTGAACCCAGGAGTTCAAGACCATTGTGGGTAACATAGTGACAGCCTATTGCTACAAAAAATTTTTTAAAATAGCCACACATGGTGGTGGGCTTCTGTAGTCCAAGCTACTCAGGAGGCTGAATTGGGAGGTTGGCTTGAGCCCAGGATGTCAAGGCTGCAGTGAGCCATGATCTTGCCGCTGTACTCCAGACAGAGCAAGACCCTGTCTCAAAAAAAAAAAAAAAAAAGAGAGAAAGTTATGTAGGAGGATATACAGTCAGACAAGTCTATATTCAGATAAGTCACCTTCCAGTTCTTAGAGCTATGGTTAGATGCTATGACCCAGATTTGGACACACCAAAGAACACCAACTTGGGAAAAACAGTTCTGGTTCTATAAACAAATTCATTATGAGTTGTAAAATAATTACTGTTTAAAAAGCACACACACAATTTATATATCCTATGCAGTAAGTTCATATATCCCAGTTCTATGTCTGACCAGCACCCATAGAAAAGATTTGCTCAAGAACAGGTGCCAAGATTTCAGATGCAGGATTCAGTCAACCTTAAGGCTACCATCAAGCAAATACCGTGGATCAGAATTCAGGGCTGGACACAGGACTTCTCAGAGCTTTTAGCCTTAACATTATTATCCCTAAGAGTAAAGCTGAGAGACTTCACTGGATCTTTCATCCCTTTCATGGCTATTGAGGGTAGTGTCTCAAATTTTTTTTTTTTTTTTTTTTATTGATCATTCTTGGGTGTTTCTCGCAGAGGGAGATTTGGCAGGGTCATAGGACAATAGTGGAGGGAAGGTCAGCAGATAAACAAGTGAACAAAGGTCTCTGGTTTTCCTAGGCAGAGGACCCTGCGGCCTTCCGCAGTGTTTGTGTCCCGGGGTACTTGAGATTAGGGAGTGGTGATGACTTTTAACGAGCATGCTGCCTTCAAGCATCTGTTTAACAAAGCACATCTTGCACCGCCCTTAATCCATTTAACCCTGAGTGGACACAGCACATGTTTCAGAGAGCACAGGGTTGGGGGTAAGGTCACAGATCAACAGGATCCCAAGGCAGAATAATTTTTCTTAGTACAGAACAAAATGAGAAGTCTCCCATGTCTACCTCTTTCTACACAGACACGGCAACCATCCGATTTCTCAAATCTTTTCCCCACCTTTCCCCCCTTTCTATTCCACAAAACCGCCATTCTCATCATGGCCTGTTCTCAATGAGCTGTTGGGTACACCTCCCAGACGGGGTGGTGGCCGGGCAGAGGGGCTCCTCACTTCCCGGTAGGGGCAGCAGGGCAGAGGCGCCCCTCACCTCCCCAACGGGGTGACTGGCCGGGCGGGGGGCTGACCCCCCCACCTCCCTCCCGGACGGGGCGGCTGGCTGGCGGGGGGGCTGAACCCCCCACCTCCCTCCCGGACGGGGCGGCTGGCCGGGCAGAGGGGCTCCTCACTTCCCAGTAGGGGCGGCCAGGCAGAGGCGCCCCTCACCTCCCTGACGGGGTGGCTGGCCGGGCAGGGGGCTGACCCCCCCACCTCCCTCCCGGACTGGGTGGCTGGCCAGGCGGGGGGCTGACCCCCCCACCTCCCTCCCGGACGGGGCGGCTGGCCTGGCGGGGGTTGACCCCCACCTCCCTCCCGGACGGGGTGGCTGCCGGGCGGAGACGCTCCTCACTTCCCAGACGGGGTGGCTGCTGGGCGGAGGGGCTCCTCACTTCTCAGACGGGGCGGCTGGGCAGAGACGCTCCTCACCTCCCAGACGGGGTCGCGGCCGGGTAGAGGCGCTCCTCACATCCCAGACGGGGCGGCGGGGCAGAGGCGCTCCCCACATCTCAGACGATGGGCGGCCGGGCAGAGACGCTCCTCACTTCGTAGATGGGATGGCGGCCGGGAAGAGGCGCTCCTCACTTCCTAGATGGGATGGCGGCCGGGCAGAGATGCTCCTCATTTTCCAGACTGGGCAGCCAGGCAGAGGGGCTCCTCACATCCCAGACGATGGGCGGCCAGGCAGAGACGCTCCTCACTTCCCAGACGGGGTGGCGGCCGGGCAGAGGCTGCAATCTCGGCACTTTGGGAGGCCAAGGCCAGGCGGCTGGGAGGTGGAGGTTGTAGCGAGCCGAGATCACGCCACTGCACTCCAGCCTGGGCACCATTGAGCACTGAGTGAACCAGACTCCGTCTGCAATCCCGGCACCTCGGCAGGCCGAGGCTGGCGGATCACTCGCGGTTAGGAGCTGGAGACCGGCCCAGCCAACACAGCGAAACCCCGTCTCCACCAAAAAAATACGAAAACCAGTCAGGCGTGACAGCGCGCGCCTGCAATCGCAGGCACTGGGCAGGCTGAGGCAGGGAGGTTGCAGTGAGCCGAGATGGCAGCAGTACAGTCCAGCTTCGGCTCGGCATCAGAGGGAGACCGTGGAAAGAGAGGGAGAGGGAGACCGTGGGGAGAGGGAGTGGGAGAGGGAGTCAAATATTTTAACCAATCTGCTTATCTTAAATACTTTTGATTTCCTGAACATGAGCTCATTTTTAGCATTAGTCACACTTAATAAACATTCATTATTTTCATCAGTAAAAACCCATTTCTGGCTGTACATGGTGGCTCACACCTGTAATCCCAGCACTTTGGGAGACCGAGGCGGGCAGATCACTTGAGGTCAGGAGTTTGAGACCAGTCTTGCCGACATGGTGAAACCCCATCTTTACTAAAAATACAAAAATTAGCCAGGCATGGTGGTAAGCACTTGTAATCCCTGCCACTTCGGAGGCTGAGGCAAGAGAATTGCTTGAACCCTGGGGGCTGAGGTTGCAGTGAGCTGAGATTGTGCCACTGCACTCCAGCCTAGGCAACAGAGCAAGACTCTTTCTCAAAAAAAAAAAAAAAAAAATTCTGACCTTGAGTATGTTAATGAGCAAAGCATTGGTCATTGACTGAGATATGCCTAGCAGAAACTGTTGGAGTGGAGAATGAATTTCCTGATTAAAACACCAGCTCACTCCTCATGGGCTGTGAATTCTTCAATGTCATGTTAGCAGACTGCTCCAGAGTGGCAGTCTTGATTAGAATACTTGTGAGACCCAGGTTATAGCTTAACCTAAGTAACACAAACATAACACTGTACTCAAGTGTATTGTAGTTAATTGAAAACTTTACATTGCTTCCTTAGAAACTTGTTTTAAGGATTAAAAAGAATTATATTTAGGCTGAGTGTTGTGGCTCATGCCTGTAATCCCAGCACTTTGGAAGGCTGAGGCAGGAGGATCCCTTGAGCCCGGAAATTAAAGACCAGCATGAGCAACACAGCAAGACCCCTGTCTGCAAAAAATGAAAATAAAAAATTAGCTGGGCATGGTGGCTCACACCTGTAGTCCCAACTACTTGGGAGGCTGAGGCAGGAAGATCACTTGAATCCAGGAATTTGAGATTGGAGTGCACTATGATTGCACCACTGCACTTCAGCCTGGGTGATAGAGCAAGATCTTGTCTCTAAAAATAAAAAAGATAATTATATGTATATGTATGTATGTGTGGACACACACACACACACACACACACACACATAGTCATGTGCCATATAATGATGTTTGAGTCCGTGATGGTCCACACATACAACAGTGGTCCTATAAGATTATAGTGCTGTATTTTTACTGTACCTTTTCTATGTTTAGATATATTTAGATGCACAAATACTTGCCATTGTGATACAATTGCCTGTGGTATTCAATACAGTAACATGCTGTACAGGTTTGTACCTTAGGAGCAATATACTATACCATCCAGCCTAGGTGTGTAGTTGGCCATACAATCTAGGTTTGTGTAAGTATATTCTATAGTATTCTCATGACAAAATCATTTCAACAATGCATTTCTGAGAAGATAACCCATCATTATGCAATACACAACTATGTATACATATATGCATATATATAATATTTAATACAGGGCTTGTTCATAGTAAGGCCTTAGTAATAGCTATTATTTATAAGCAATATCAAATTTATTGTATTAATGAGTATGGCTTTTTTAGCATTAGTCACACTTAATAAACATTCACTATTTTCATCAGTAAAAACCCATTTCTGGCCGGACATGGTGGCTCACACCTGTAATCCCAGCACTTTGGGAGACCGAGATGGGGTCTCACTGTGTTGCCCAGACTGGTCTTGAACTCTTGGGCTCAAGTGATCCTCCCACCTCAGCCTCCCAAAGTGCTGGAATTACAGGCATGAGCCACCATACCCGGCCAAGTATGTTTTTTTAAATGTCTTTTTTTTCTTCAGTTTTTTTTTAATTTTAGAGATGAGATCTTGCTCTGTTGCCCAGGCTGGAATGTAATGGGGCAATCATAGCTCACTGCAACCTTGATTTCCTGGGTTCAAGCGATCCTGTCATCTCAGCCTCCCAAGTAGCTAGGGCTAAAGGTGCATGCCACCACACCTAGTTTTTAAATTTCTTTAATTTTTAAAAAAATTTTTATAGAGACAGGGTTTCACCACACCCAGCCTCCCACAATTTTAAATGTTTGGTTCATTCAAGTAAAGTATAGCTCCTTACCTTATGTTAGTATTAACAGCTGGAATTGGAATGACACAGAAATATAGAGACACTATAGTCTCTGTCTCAAGAAATTTCTAATCTAAGGAGGACATTAAATAATTTTAGACCAGGCGTGTTCGCTCATGTCTGTAATCCCAGCACTTTGAGAGGCCAAGGTGGGAGGATCACTTGAGCCCAGGAGTTAGAGACCAGCCTAGAAAACATAGGGAGACCCTGTCTCTACAAAAAGTAAAAAAAAATTAGCTCGGTGTGGCAGCGTGCACCTGTAGTCCCAGCTACTCGGGAGACTGAGGCAAGAGGATCAAGAACCTTTCATAAAAACAAAACAAAAAAATAATTTTAATTGATCCATATAATGAGAATAACCTAGAAGAGCTGTTAACAAGCCAGTATCCTTTGAAACAGTGTTTCCCAGAATGGTAGTATAAGTGTTTTGGGGGGTCCAGGCGCAGTGGCTCACGCCTGTAATCCCAGCACTTTGGGAGGCCAAGGCGGGCAGATCACCTGAGGTCAGGAGTTCGAGACCAGCCTTTCCAGCTGGCGAAACACCATCTCTACTGAAAATACAAAAATTAGCCAGACGTGGTGGCATGCTTCTGTAATCCCAGCTACCCAGGAGGCTGAGGCAGGAGAGTCGCTGGATCCCAGCGGGCAGAGACTGCAGTGAGCCGAGATTGCACCACTGCACTCCAGGCTGGGTGACAGAGCAAGACTCCGTCTCAAAAAAAAAAAAAGTGTTTTGGGGGAAGAGAGACTATACACAAAAAACTGGGGAAGTATGGAATTAAAGTGAACATGAGAGTTATTTTTTTTCCCCAACTGCAGTACTTCTCAGAGCCTTATACTAACATGAATTTCTGAATTTCCAATATAATATACAGCATTTCCTCAACTTTATTTAACCACATAGCTCCCCTCCCCTCCCACCCTCGTCAAGATCCTTTAGAAATAGCAGAAGTGAAAAAGACATCCAAATTAAGACTGACATCCCCTGGGGCTGTTTGGTTTTTGAACCATGTTTGTGTTTTCTGGTTTTCCTAAGGTGAAGGCATTGCTTCTACCCATGTTCTCAATGTTTGTAGGCCAGTGTATTGAGAATGAGAGCTTTTTTCATATATGTGCTAAATTCTTTTTAATTGGTAGTGGTTTTCTTAGCACATGGTTCTTGTGTATACAAGTAAATGATAGTTTGTAATACCCTGTAATACTCTTCCTTCCCCAAAAAATAGTAGGACAAAGTTCTGCCTGGTTTCACAAGCTATCCCAGAGTTGCACCATTAAGTAGGAAACTATGTTGGGGTAAGCTGTTATTTTACAATTGAGGGTGCTCAGTAAAACCTGAACACTGGTTCCTGATCAGGGTTCCTGTTGTATGTGGTACAATAAGGCTCTTAGAACACCTGTCACCTGCCATGTATTTGCAGAGAAATAAATGTAATTCATTTTGCTTCTTCCTTAACCTCTCAGGATATGCTTTACCTTTTAGAATCTTTCCACCTTTCTCAAAGACACAAGAAGAATATCTGCAGGCCTTTTAGTTGTCTGAAGCTGAGGTTTGCCACTGCCTCCCATACTGTAGAACTTAGCTAAACACCAGCCCAGGGCTGTTACCCCTCTAAGAGCCACTAGTGACAGTGAGCTCAACAGCTATGGTTGTGAAAACATTCTGAAGTGGAATCTAGAGAAAAGAGCACCACCTTCAGTTCATATGTTTGCATTTCTCTAGATTCCAATTTGACTTATAAGTAATACAGATGGATTGCTGAACCTTCTCTGAAAATATTAATTTCTCTACATAAAGATTTGTGGGTTTTTTTTAATATTGTAGAAAGGTCATTTAAATCACCAACTTGTATATTAAAGTATGCTTTGTGGCTGGGCATGGTGGCTCATGCCTGTAATCCCAGCACTTTGAGAGGCTGAGGCTGGTGGATCACTTGAGCCCAGGAGTTGGAAACCATCCTGGGCAACATGGCAAAACCCCGTCTCTACTAAAAATAAAAAATAGCCAGGCATGGTGGCACGTGCCTGTGGTCCCAGCTACTCAGGAGGCTGAGATGGGAGGATCACTTGAATCCAGGAGGTCAGGGCTGCAGTGAGCCAAGATTGCACCACTGCACTCCACCCTGGGTGACAAAGTGAGACCCTGTCTCAAAAAAATAAAAAGTATGCTTTGTATCACAACATTGCATTCTTTTTAACAGACTTAGAAGATGCTACAAAAACACCTGACTGTTCCAGTGGACCAGTGAAAGAGGAAAGAGGTGATCTTATAAAATTTTACAATACAATATATGTAGGAAGAGTGAAGTCATTTGCACTGAAATACGACTTGGCGAATCAGGACCATATGGTATGTTCTATGTTTTACTACTTTATTATTATTTGCTGTCATAGTTGGATTACTATAAGTTTATTTTGCTAGATAAATATGTCCAAGTAAAATTACTAGCAATTAATCAGAGCATGTCCAGTAACTTAATCAGTGATTAAGGCTATGGTACAACAGAGACCAGAGGAAATCATGGGATCTGTTGCCCAGGCTAGAGTGCAGTGGCGAGATCTGGGCTCACTGCAACCCTTGCTTCCAGGCCTCAAGCGATCCTCCCACCCCAGCCTCCCAAATAGCTGGTACGACAGCCACATGCCCCCACGCCTAGCTAATTTTTTTGTATTTTTAGTAGATACGGGGTTTCACCATGTTGGCCAGGCTGGTCTTGAACTCCTGGACTCAAGCAATCTACCCACCTCAGCCTCCTAAAGTGATGGGATCACAGGTGTGAACCACCACGCCTGGCATGAATTTTATCTATACCATGATTATGTTGCTAGAAATTCCGTATACATATGGGTAAGAACTTGATGGGAACATGAATATTAAAACAACTAATTTGTTTTTTTTGTTTTCTTTTTTTTTTTTTTTTTGAGACAGTCTCACCCTGTCACCCAGGCTGGCGTGCAGTGGTGCGATCTCAGCTCAACTGCAACCTCTGCCTCCCGGGCTCAAGTGATTCTCCTGCCTCAGCCTCCCTAGTAGCTAGGATTACAGGAGTGTGTCACCACACCTGGCTAATTTTTTGTATCTTTAGTAGAGACAGGGTTTCACCATGTTGGCCAGGCTGGTCTTGAACTCCTGACCTTGTGATCCGCCCACCTCGGCCTCCCAGAGTGCTGGGATTACAGGCATGAGCCACTGCACCCAGCAAATTTGGTAAATTTTTCTGTTGTTATATTGTGAGATTAATGTTTTTCTCAAGTCAAAGACAAAAGGGGCCAGGTGTGGTGGCTCATGCCTGTAATCTCAGCACTTTGGGAGGCCTAGGCGGGCGGATCACCAGAGGTCAGGAGTTTGAGACCAGCCTGGCCAACATGGTGAAATCCCATCTCTACCAAAAATTAGCTGGGCGTGGTGGCAGGCACCTGTAATCCCAGCTACTCGGGAGGCTGAGGCAGGAGAATCACTTGAACCCAGAAAGCGGAGGTTGCAGTGAGCAGAGATCGCGCCACTGCACTCCAGCCTGGGTGACAAGAGGGAAACTCTGTCTCAAAAAAAAAACAAAAGGAGGTCAGGTGCTGTGGCTCATGCCTGTAATCCCAGCACTTTGGGAAGCTAAGCCTGGAGGATTGCTTGAGCCCAGAAATTTGAGACCAGCCTAGAAACACAGGAAGACCCTGTCTCTTAAAAAAAAAAACTAAAAACTAGCCGTGTAGTGGCTGGTACACACCTTTAGTCCCAACTACTCAGCAAGCTAAGGTAGGTGGATCGCTTGGGCCCAGGAGGTCAAGGCTGCAATGAGCCACAATCGCACCACCACACTCCAGTCTGGGCAACAGAGCAAGACCCTGCCTCAAAAAAAAAAAAAAAAAAAGAAAGAAAAAAAAAAAAGAAAAGAAGGCCCTAGCAGAAGCTGCAGCCGGACAGCCAATAGCTGTTTCTATGTATCTATGTGCCTCTGTAGATTTCTGTTCTTCCTCTTTTCATGGAATATGGTCTATGACTATCCTCAGAGGTCATAACTGTTCATCCTGCTTCAGTTTCACTTCCCCTCTGTCATGTGCTATACTCGGAATATCTCTACCATCTTAATTTATTTCCATTATACAGGATATTAAAAATGAAATCCTTGCTCATCCAACTTATTTATAAATCTTTTCCATTTCCATATGAAGTCTTTCCCATTTCATTAACAGATTTTTTCCACGTTGGAATCATCCTGCTGGCTAATAGAATTCTCTGCCTCTTTTATTCTCTCTGCTACTGCTTTGGTTGTGAGCAGGTATGTGTGTAGAGAGAGCTTGTTACAGCAAGTGTTAGAAGATTGGTTACTCTTTGTCCCTACTTTTTTTTTTTTTTTTTGAGAAGGAGTCTCGCTCTGTTGCCCAGGCTGGAGTGCAAGTGGCACAATCTCAGCTCACTGCAACCTCTGCCTCCTGGGTTCAGGCAATTCTGTAACTCAGCCTCCTGAGTAGCTGGCATTACAGGCGCCTGTCACCACGCCCAGCTGATTTTCGTATTTTTAGTAGAGACAGAGTTTCACCATCTTGGCCAGGCTGGTCTTGAACTCCTGACCTCATGATCCACCCGCCTCAGCCTCCCAAAGTGTTGGGATTACAGGCATGAGCCACCGCGCCCAGCCTGTCCTTACTTTTTAAGCATGAATATGAGGTTCTCATGCTCGTGGCTTAACTCCTGGTGTCTTGTCCAGAATTTTTTTTTTCTTTTGAGACAGAGTCTCACTCTGTCACCCCAGGAGGAGTGCAGTGACATAATCGCAGCTCACTGCAGCCTCTGTCCCCGGGTTCAAACAACTGTCATGCTCAGCCTCCCGAGTGGCAGGGACTATAGGCGCACGCCACCACACCTGGCTAATTTTTATATTTTTAGGAGCTACTCAGGAGGCTGAAGTGGGGTTTCACCATGTTGGCCAGGCTGGTCTCCAATTCCTGGCCTCAAGTGATCCGAGCACCTTGGCCTCCCAAAGTGCTGGGATTATAGGAGTGAGCCACTGCACCCGGCCCCAGAATTCTTTTTTTTTTTTTTTTTTTTTTGAGGCAGAGTCTTGGTCTGTCACCCAGGATGGAGTGCAGTGGCACAATCTGGGCTCACTGCAACACCTCTGCCTCCTGGGTTCAAGCAATTCTAGTGCCTCAGCCTCCCAAATAGCTCGGATTACAGGCATATGCCACCACGCCCAGCTAATTTTTGCATTTTTAGTGGAGACGGAGTTTCACCATGTTGGCCAGGCTGGTCTCAAACTCCTGACCTCAGGTGATCCGCCCATCTCAGCCTCCCAAAGTGCTGGCATTACAGGTGTGAGCCACTGTGCCTGGCCAGAATTCTTAATACTAGTTATAGGACTTCCTGAAAGATCCAGGAAAATAGGCCGGGCATAGTGGCTCACACCTGTAATCCCAGCACTTTGGGAGGCCAAGGTGGGTGGATCACCTGAGGTCAGGAGTTCGAGACCAGCCTGGCCAACATGGTCATCTCTATTAAAAATACAAAATTAACCGGGCGTGGTGGCACATGCCTGTAATCCCAGCACATGCCTGTAATCCCAGCTACTTGGGAGGCTGAGGGAGGAGAATTGCTTGAACCTGGGAGGCAGAGGTTGCAGTGAGCCTAGATTGCGCCATCGCACTCCAGCCTGGGCAACAAGAGCAAGAGATACTCCATCTCAAAAAAAAAAAAAGATTCAGGAAAATAAATTCTAGTTTATCTATTGTTGTTAAAAAAAAAAAAGAAGAAGTAAAGGATCATTTTTTTTCTCAACCATAAATGAGCTTTTTACAGTATAACTGTTTTCTAACTAGAAGATACCATAAGAATAAAAATATGGGATTCAAAAACAAAGAAAAACTTTTATCTAAAAAATCTGACTTTTGGGTTATTTTAGATGGATGCTCCACCACTCTCTCCTTTTCCACATATTAAACAACAGCCAGGCTCACCACGCCGCATTTCCCAGCAGCACTCCATTTATATTTCCCCGCACAAGAATGGGTCAGGCCTTACACCAAGAAGCGCTCTGCTGTACAAGTTCAATGGCAGCCCTTCTAAGGTAAGGTGAATAGGCTAAAAGTTGGATTTCAGATTAACAGTCAGTAACTGTTAATCCTGCCTCTTTTTTTTTTTTTCTTTTTTGGCCAAGTTACTACTATACTAATAAAATATGAAATGTTAACTATGGCATGTCTCCTCTCATCAAGAGCAGTATATTCAGTTTGAGGTAGTTTAATCCATTATTATTGACATGGTATTTGTGGAGTTCACTTTGAAAGTCCAGCATGTTTTCCTGTTCAAGCAAGATCTTGAGAAGGGACCAGTAAGGCAACACCTGCAAGTGGTCAGACCTGGGGGATGTCAAGTTGAAAGAAAGGCATTGGAAGTGAAAGTGCATTTGGTAGATGGCACCCAGGATAGGAAGATGTCTGAAAACACAAGCCTCCTCTTACGTACATAGACAACTCTGTGATCATCTCCATCCTTATCCTTGTTCAGTGGTGAAGATGTGGTATGGACATGATTGCTGTTTTCAGAGACTTCATGGACTATCAAGCAGATATGTTCAGTATGTCTCCAGAAGTCAGAATCAGTATAAACTGGAAGAAATTGTAGTGGGGCAGATTGTAACTCTGTCCAAATACAGTGGCTCCTTCTTATTACTTTCCTATTCAGTTATACAGATAACTACAGAGTTCCTACTATACTTGACAAAGTTGGCTAAGATAATATACCTGACTGGACACAGTGACTCAAGCCTGTAATCCTAGCACTTTGGGAGGCCAAGGCGGGCAGATTGCCTGAGCTCAGGAGTTCAAGACCAGCCTGGGCAACATGGTGAAACCCCGTCTTTACTAAAAATACAAAAAATTAGCCAGGCATGGTGGTGCGCACCTATAATCTCAGCTACTCTGCTGTGGAGGCTGAGGCAGGAGAATCACTTGAACCCGGCAGGCGGAGGTTGCAGTGAGCCGAGATCACCCCTTTGCACTCCAGCCTGGGCGACAGAACGAGACTCTGTCTCAAAAAAAAAAAATGTTGAAAATCATTACTCTAAGGAAGAAGATCTCAAACTGTAGGGAGCTTTAAAATCATTGGGAGGGCTTGTTAAAACAGATTAGGGCCGGGCACGGTGGCTCATGCCTGTAATCCCAGCACTTTGGGAGGCCGAGGCAGGCAGATCACGAGATCAGGAGTTCAAGACCAGCCTGGCCAACATGGTGAAACCCCGTCTCTAAAAATACAAAAATTAGCCGGGCATGGTGGTGGGCACCTGTAATCCCAGCTACTTGGGAGGCTGAGGCAGGAGAATCGCTTGAACCCAGGAGGCAGAGGTTGCAGTGAGCCGAGATCGTGCCATTGCACTCCAGCCTGGGCGACAAGAGCAAGACTTAGTCTCAAAAAAAAAAAAAAAAAAAAAAAACAGATAAGGCTAGGCACGGTGGCTCACACCTGTAATTCTAGCATTTTGGGAGCCCAAGGTGGGGGAACACTTGAGGCCAGGAGTTCAAGACCAGCCTGGCCAACATGGCAAAACCCTGTCTCTACTAAAAAGACAAAAAAATAGCCAGGCATGGTGGCATGTGCCTGTAGTCCCAGCTAGGGAGGCTGAGGCAGGAGAATAGCTTGAGCCCAGGAGGCAGAGCTTGCAGTGAGCCAAGATCATGCCCTGCACTCCAGCCTGGGCAACAGAGAGAGACTGTCTCAAAAAATAAAAAATTCTAGATGCTTCTGCTGCTTCTGGTCTGGGTACTACACATCGAGAGCTACTGTTATACAGTAAATTCAGTTGTTTTGGTTTGGATTGGTTTGGTTTGTTTTTTTTTTTTTTTTTTTTTTTTATTGTTCTGCAACCTGCTATTTTAATTCAACTCTACCTCATGGACATCTTTTCACAGATTTAGACTCTTAGTTCACAGGGTAGGAAAGCACAAAGGCCATAGGACTCTTGCATAATGGGAAGCTTATTTTTCTTTTTTTTTTTTTTTCCATTTTTTTTCTTTTTTATTGATCATTCTTGGGTGTTTCTCGCAGAGGGGGATTTGGCAGGGTCACAGGACAATAGTGGAGGGAAGGTCAGCAGATAAGTGAACAAAGGTCTCTGGTTTTCCTAGGCAGAGGACCCTGCAGCCTTCCGCAGTGTTTGTGTCCCTGGGTACTTGAGATTAGGGAGTGGTGATGACTCTTAACGAGCATGCTGCCTTCAAGCATCTGTTTAACAAAGCACATCTTGCACCACCCTTAATCCATTCAACCCTGAGTGGACATAGCACATGTTTCAGAGAGCACAGGGTTGGGGGTAAGGTCACAGATCAACAGGATCCCAAGGCAGAAGAATTTTTCTTAGTACAGAACAAAATGAAAAGTCTCCCATGTCTACCTCTTTCTACACAGACATGGCAACCATCCGATTTCTCAATCTTTTCCCCACCTTTCCCCCCTTTCTATTCCACAAAACCGCCATTGTCATCATGGCCGGTTCTCAATGAGCTGTTGAGTACACCTCCCAGACGGGGTGGTGGCCGGGCAGAGGGGCTCCTCACTTCCCAGTAGGGGCGGCCGGGCAGGGGCGGCCGGGCAGAGGCGCCCCTCACCTCCCGGACGGGGCGGCTGGCCGGGCGGGGGGCTGACCCCCCCGCCTCCCTCCGGGACAGGGCGACTGGCCAGGCGGGGGGCTGACCTCCCCGCCTCCCTCCCGGATGGGGCGGCTGGCCGGGTGGGGGGCTGACCCCCCCCACCTCCCTCCCGGATGGGGCGGCTGGCCAGGCAGAGGGGCTCCTCTCTTCCCAGTAGGGGCGGCCGGGCAGAGGCGCCCCTCACCTCCCGGATGGGGCGGCTGGCCGGGCGGGGGGCTGACCCCCCCACCTCCCTCCTGGACGGGGCGGCTGGCCGGGCAGAGGGGCTCCTCACGTCCCAGTAGGGGCGGCCAGGCAGAGGCGCCCCTCACCTCCCGGACGGGGCGGCTGGCCGGGCGGGGGGCTGACCCCCCCGCCTCCCTCCTGGACGGGGCGGCTGGCCGGGCGGGGGGCTGACCTCCCCGCCTCCCTCCCGGACGGGGCGGCTGGCCGGGCAGAGGGGCTCCTCTCTTCCCAGTAGGGGCGGCCGGGCAGAGGCGCCCCTCACCTCCCGGATGTGGCGGCTGGCCGGGCCCGGGGCTGACCCCCCCACATCCTTCCTGGACGGGGCGGCTGGCCGGGCAGAGGGGCTCCTCACTTCCCAGTAGGGGCGGCCGGGCAGAGGCGCCCCTCACCTCCCGGACGGGGCGGCTGGCCGGGCGGGGGGGCTGACCCCCCCCACCTCCCTCCCGGACGGGCAGCTGGCTGGGCAGAGGGATGACCCCCCCACCTCCCTCCTGGATGGGGCGGCTGGCCGGGCGGGGGGCTAACCCCCCCACCTCCCTTCTGGACGGGGCGGCTGGCCGGGTGGGGGGCTGACCCCCACCTCCCTCCCAGACGGGGTGGCTGCCAGGCGAAGACGCTCCTCACTTCCCAGACGGAGTGGCTGCCGGGCGGAGGGGCTCCTCACTTCTCAGAGGGTGTGGCTGCTGGGCGGAGGGGCTCCTCACTTCTCAGACGGGGCGGTTGCCAGGCAGAGGGTCTCCTCACTTCTCAGACGGGGCGGCCGGGCAGAGACGCTCCTCACATCCCAGACGGGGCAGCAGGGCAGAGGCGCTCCCCACATTGCAGAAGATGGGCGGCCTGGCAGAGACGCTCCTCACTTCCTAGATGGGATGGCGGCCGGGCAGAGACACTCCTCACTTTCCAGACTGGGCAGCCAGGCAGAGAGGCTCCTCACATCCCAGACGATGGGCGGCCAGGCAGAGACGCTCCTCACTTCCCAGACGGGGTGGCGGCCGGGCAGAGTCTGCAATCTCGGCACTTTGCGGGGCCAAGGCAGGCAGCTGGGAAGTGGAGGTTGTAGCGAGCCGAGATCACGCCACTGCACTCCAGCCTGGGCACCATTGAGCACTGAGTAAACGCGACTCCGTCTGCCATCCCGGCACCTCGGGAGGCCGAGGCTGGCGGATCACTCGCGGTTAGGAGCTGGAGACCGGCCCGGCCAACACAGCGAAACCCCATCTCCACCAAAAAAATACGAAAACCAGTCAGGCGTGGCGGCGCGTGCCTGCAATCGCAGGCACTCGGCAGGCTGAGGCAGGAGAATCAGGCAGGGAGGTTGCAGTGAGCCGAGATGGCAGCAGTACAGTCCAGCTTTGGCTCGGCATCAGGGGGAGACCGTGGAAAGAGAGGGAGAGGGAGACCGTGGGGAGAGGGAGAGGGAGAGGAGGGAGAGGGAGAGGAGGGAGGGAGAGGAGGGAGAGGGAGAGGAGGGAGACGGGAAGCTTATTTTTCTATTCTTGGTTTGGTTTTTGAGACAAGGTCTCACTCTGTTTCCCAGGCATGATCACTGCTCACTGCAGCTTCAACCTCCCCAGGCTCAGGTGATGCTCCTTAACCTCCCGAGTAGCTGAGACTACAGGCACAAGCCACCACACCTGGCTAATTTTTGTATTTTTTGTAGAGACCAGGTTTGCCATGTTGCCCAGGCTGGTCTGAAACTCCTGGGCTCAAGTGATTGAACCATCTTGGCCTCCCAAAGTGCTGGTATTACAGGCCACCACACCTGGCCTTAAATCTAATTTTTAAACCACCTGAAAAGATTAGTTCAAGCCATCCCTTATTAGGTTGTTCTAAGTTTTAAAAAGAGTCCTTATCCCAGTGTTAAGATTTGGATAGAGGATAGAGCACAGGAAAAAACAATTAGCTTGGTTGTTTGCTGCCATTTCCCCTCTCCCTCTTTTACTCACACACGTTCTCTATTTCTGCACAGAGTTTGAAAGATATCAACAACATGATAAGGCAAGGTGAGCAGAGAACCAAGAAGCGAGTAATAGCCATCGATAGTGATGCAGAATCCCCTGCCAAACGCGTCTGTCAAGAAAATGATGACGTTTTACTGAAACGACTACAGGATGTTGTCAGTGAAAGAGCAAATCATTAATGTTGTTCTTGTTTCTATGATAAAAGCACTTTCAGATTGTTCTGCAGAAAGTTGGAGCTCTGTCCTTCAAACCTTTTAGCCCTATAGATGATAAATATCACTGGGTTATAAGAAAAAATTGCACAAAAATTATGTGCTTTTTAAAATATTTATCCAAAATGTAGTTGACAGAGATGTATTTTGAGTTGGATTGGAAAGGAATATTTTAAGTGCCTTTTAAAAATACTAATAGTCCGGCCAGGCGCTGTGGCTCACGCCTGTAATCCCAGGACTTTGGGAGGCCAAGGCGGGCAGATCACCGGAGGTCAGGAGTTCGAGACCAGCCTGACCAACATGGAGAAACCCCATCTCTACTAAAAATACAAAATTAGCCGGGTGTGGTGGCGCATGCCTGTAATCCCAGCTACTTGGGAGGCTGAGGCAGAATTGCTTGAACCCAGGAAGCGGAGGTTGTGGTGAGCCAAGGTTGCGCCACTGCACTCCAGCCTGGGCAACAAGAGTAAAACTCCATCTCAAAAAATATATATATATATATAAATAGGGAATTTTTTTTAATGTTTGCTCCTTGAGTTTTCAAGATGAAATAAGGAGAAACCCCATAACTTTTTAGCTCTCTTTTAAAAATAAATGTCTCCTTCTGTGTTCTGTAATATGAGGATAAATAATCTACTTTTGATAGCATGCTTTGAGATATTTGTATTCTTAATTTAATATTGAAGGAAGGGGTTGGTTCCCATAGTACCTGGCCAGAGGGTTATATACCATCCTGTCTCTGGCCCACTGTGGTAATTCCACATCCAGGTACCACCGCCATTCAGAGTTGTCTCACCCCTTCTCGTGCCTTTTCTCTCCTTGAGCTTTATAAACAGATTTGTACCTGAGCCCCAGTGCTACACTCATCCTTGCTTTCCAGCCCTAAGCCATCTCAGCCTGATGTCACAACCCAATAAATGGGGCACTTTCTTCTTTTGTAAACTATTATCATTTTGGTTTCTGTGACATTAACTTAATTATATATGATCGTATTAACTCATGTAGTTCTCAAAATAGGCAGCTGCTTCTGAAGCCAGTAAAATAAAATTCAGTTAGTTATTAAAAACTAAATTCCTATTAGTAAGGTAACACCATGATTATGTGTGATATACTGTTTTTGAGATCATAGTTATCAGTCATTCTCAATATCTAATTGAGTCCCTAAGAATATTTTAAACCTTTTAAAAATCACATAAATATCATCTCATGCCTCATAATTCTAATATATTTAATACATCAGTAAAATAGCTGCTTATTACTTCCCACACTTTGTTCTCAGTATTGTTAGTGCATCATGAGTTTCCTGCTAGTGTTTGACCACTGGGTACTCCTGAAGATGTTTTTTAGTACTAGGGATGCTTTTCAGTATTAGGGATGCTTTTTTCAGTACTAGGGATGTACTAGGGAGTACTGAGTACTCCTGAAGATGTTTTTCAGTACTAGGGATGCTTTTTTCAGTGTTAGGGATGCTTTTCAGTACTAGGGATGCTTTTTTCAGTGCTAGGGATGCTTTTCAGTACTAGGGATGCTTTCCAAAATATCACCTCTTTAACGTTTACTTTTTCTAGTGTGTGTCTGGAATCCAAAGGACATGAATAAGCCACTCATAATTAATTTTGAGAAGTTTTATCAAATGTTTATGTTTCTAACTGCAAACCTTAATTTTGGAAAGGCACAATGTTTAACTCACCTATGTTTAACCATGGCTAATTTAAAATAGTCTAAGATTTGGCCGTCACTAATTAGTATTCTCAAGAATTTCATTTTTCAATTTTAAGAAGAAAAGGGATTTTGGTCACATTTTGCTTGTAAATGAAAATTACATCCTCATTCTTTGTGTAGTATCTACACATTGTTATAAGCCAAAAAACAAAGTCTGTCTGGAATCTTTGTACATATTTGTATGTTGCTATAATTGTTATTTTTATCTTCATTATTGTGCAAAATATAAATGAGCATTTGTACATTGACTGTATAAGAAACCATGGGCCAGGTCCTGTGGCTCATGCCTATAATCCCAACACTTTGGGAGGCTGAGGCAGGAGGATTGCTTCAGTCCAGGAGTTCAAGACTAACCTGGGCAACATAGCCCTCATCTCTACAAAAAATAAAAAAATTAGTTGGGTGTGATGGCATGTGCCTGTAGTCCCAGCTACTCAGGAGACTGACATGAGAGGATCACTTGAGACTGGGAGATTCTGAGGCTGCAGTGAGCTGTGATTGCACCACTACACTCCATCCTAGGTGAGAGGGCAAGACCCTTTCTCAGAAAAGGAAAAAAAGAAATTCTGGACATGTTTTTATCAGTTTTCAGGACTTGGTATCAATGTACATAGAATGGCTAATAAAAATTGGAATTGAGATTATTGAAAAAAAACTCTTTTCTGTATGACTGGAAGCAGTTGCACAGCCATCTGAAATCTGTCTGTTTTAATATCTATGTCTCTAAAATTCCTTAGAATAACTTAAAAGTTAATGTTCCTGTGGTTTCCAGGGTCTAGGGGGAAAATGAAAAATAACTGCTTAATGGATACAGAGTTTTTTGGGGGGGGAGTGATGAAACTATTTTGGAACTTGATAGAGGTGGTGTAGTTGCATAACATTGTGAATTTACTAAATGCCACTGTATTGGACATTTAAAAATGGTTAATTTTGTGTTATGTAGATTTCACCTTAAATTTTTTTTTAAGTCTTGATTTCACCTTAAATTTTTTTTTAAGTCTTAGATACTATATTAGTCCATTTTCATACTGCTGATAAAGAAATATCCAACCGAGACTGGGAAGAAAAAGAGGTTTAATGGACTTACAGTTCCACGTGGCTGGGAGGCCTCACAACCATGGCAAAAGGCAAGGAGGAGCAAGTCATATCTTACATGGATGGTGGCAGGCAAAGAGAGCTTGTGCAGGGAAACTCCTGTTTTTTGTTTGTTTGTTTGTTTATTTGTTTGTTTTTGAGACAGAGTCTTGCACTGTCACCAGGCTGGAGTGCAGTGGTGGGATCTTGGCTCACTGCAACCTCTGCCTCCCGGGTTCAAGTGATTCTCCTGCCTCAGCCTCCCAGGTAGCTGGGACTACAGGCGTGTGCCACCACGCCCAGCTAATTTTTGTATTTTTGTAGAGATGGAGTTTCACCATGTTGGCCAGGATGGTCTCGATCTCTTGACCTCATGATCCACCTGCCTCAGCTTCCTAAAGTGCTGGGATTACAGGCATGAGCCACCATGCCCAGCGGAAACTCCCGTTTTTAAAAGAATCAGATCTCATGAGACACATTCACTATCAGGAGAAGAGCCCAGGAAAGACCTGACCCGATAATTCAATCACCTCCCACTGGGTTTCTCCCACAACATATGGGAATTGTGGGAGTTACAATTCACAATGAGATTTGGGTGGGGACACAGCCAAACCATATCATTCTGCCCCTGGCCCCTCCCAAATCTCACATCCTCAGATTTCAAAACCAATCATGCCTTCCTAACAGTCCCCTAAAGTCTTATTTCAGCATTAACTCAAACCTCCACAGTTCAACATCTCATCTGAGATAAGGCAAGTCACTTCCATCTATGAGCCTGTAAAATCAAAAGCAAGTAAGTTACTTCCTAGCTACAACAGGGGCATGGGCACTGGGTAAATACAGCCATTTCAAATGAGAAAAATTGGCCAAAACAAAGGGGCTACATGCCCCATGCAAGTCTGAAATTGAGTGGGGCAGTCAAATCTTAAAAGCTCCAAAATGACCTCTTTTGACTCCATGTTTTACATCCAGGTCATGCTAATGCAAGAGGTGGGTTCCCATGGTCTTGGGCAGCTCCACCCCTGTGGCTTTACCTCCCAGCTTCCCTCCCGGCTGCTTTCACAGGATGGTGTTGAGTGTCTGCGATTTTTCCAGGCACACAGTGCAAGCTATCAGTGGATCTATCATTCTGGGGTCTGGAGGACAGTGGCCCTCTTCTCTCAGCTCCACTAGGCAGTGCCCCAGTAGCGACTCTTTGTGGGGACTCCAACCCCACATCTCTTTTCCACACTGCCCTAGCAGAGGTTCTCCATGAGAGCCCTGTCCCTGCAACAAACTTCTGCCTGGATATCCAGGCATTTTCATGCATCCTCTGAAATCTAGGCAGAGGTTCCCAAACCTCAATTTTGACTTCTGTGCACACCATGTGAAAGCTGCCAAGGCTTGAGGCGTACATGCTCTGAAGCCATGGCCCAAGCTCTACATTGACCCCTTCAGTCACGGCTGGAGCAGCTAGGACGTAGGGCACCAAGTTCCCAGGCTGCAACCAGCAAGGGGATTCTGGGCCCAGCCCACAAAACCACTTTTTCCTCTTAAACCTCCAGGCCTGTGAATGTCGGGGGGATGTGATGAAGACCTCTGACATGCCCTGAAGACATTTTCCCCATTGTCTTGGTGATTAACATTCAGCTCCTCATTGCTTATGCAAATTTCTGCAGCCAGCTTGAATTTCTCCTCAGAAAATGGGATTTTCTTTGTTTGTTTGTTTTTTGTTTTGAGATGGAGTTTTGCTCTTGTTGCCCAGGCTGGAGTACAGTGGCGCAAACTCAGCTCACCACAACCTCCACCTCCCAGGTTCAAGTGATTCTCCTGCCTCAGCCTCCCAAGTGGCTGGGACTAGAGGCATGCACCACCAAGCCCGGCTAATTTTCTATTTTTAGTAGAGATGGGGTTTCTCCATTTTGGTCAGGCTGGTCTTGAACTCCCAACCTCAGGTAATCCACCTGCCTTGGCTTCCCAAAGTGCTGGGATTACAGGCGTGAGCCACCATGCCCAGCCAGGATTTTCATTTCTATCACATTGTCAGTCTGCAAATTTTCTGAACTTTTATGCTCTGCTTCCCTTATAAAACTGAATGCCAACCGGGCACAGTGGCTCACACCTGTTATCTCAGCACTTTGGGAGGCCAAGGTGGGCAGATCACAAGGTCAGGAGATCGAGACCATCCTGGCCAACATGATGAAACCCTGTCTCCACTAAAAAATACAAAAATTAGCTGGGTGTGGTGGTGCACTCATGTAATCCCAGCTACTCAGAAGGCTGAGGCAGGAGAAATGCTTGAACCCGGGAGGCAGAGGTTGCAGTGAGCTGAGATCGTGCCACTGCACTCCAGCTAGCGACAGAGCAAGACTCCATCTCAAAAAATAAAAATAAAAATAACAATGCCTTTAACAGCACCCAAGTCACCTCTTGAATGCTTTGCTGCTTAGAAATTTCTTCCACCAGATACCTTAAATCATCTCTCTGAAGTTCAAAGTTCCACAGATCTCTAGGGCAGGGGCAAAATGCCACCAGTAGATCTGCTAAAACATAACAAGAGTCACCTTTGCTCCAGTTCACAACAAGTTTCTTATCTCCATCTAAGAGCACTTCATGCTGAATTTCATTGTCCATATTATTATCAGCATTTTGATCAAAGCCATTCAGCAAGTTTCTAGGAAATTCAAAACTGTCCCACATTTTCCTGTCTTCTTCTGACCCTCCAAATTGTTCCAACCTCTGCCTATTTCCCAGTTCCAAAGTCACTTCCACATATTCAGGTATCTTTTCAGCAGCACCCCACTTCTGGTACCAAAATTACTGTATTAGTCTATTTTCATGCTGCTGATAAAGACATACCCAAGACGAAAGTAAAAAAGGTTTAACGGACTTACAGTTTCACCTGGCTGGGGAGGCCTCACAATCATGGTGAAAGGCAAGGAGCAAGTCACATCTTACATGGGTGGCAGCAGGCAGAGAGAGAGTTTGTGCAGGGAAACTCCCATTTTTAAAACCATCAGATTTCTTGAGATGTATTCACTATCATGAGAACAGCCCAGGAAAGACTTGCCCCCGTAATTCAATCACCTGCCACCAGGTTCCTCCCACGACACATGGGAATTGTGGGAGTTACAATTCAAAATGAGTTTTGAATGGGGACACAGCCAAGCCATATCAGATACATATGAAGAAACAGGATTATTTCAAGGCCTTGGAATGAACATGTGAACTACGTTATAGTTAATTAAGGAAATGGCTCATTACTCTCTTTGGAGTGCTTTCAAGGTGTATTTCTCCACATGAGACCTACAGCTTAAAAATTCTTTTTTTTTTTTTTTCTTGAGAGGGCGTCTCGCACTTGTTGCCCAGGCTGGAGTGTAATGGTGTGATCTCGGCTCACTGCAACCTCTGCCTCCTGGGTTCAAGCAATTCTGCCTCAGCCTCCTCAGTAGCGGGGATTACAGGCTCCCACCACCACGCCCAGCTAATTTTTTGTATTTTTATTAGTAGAGACAGGGTTTCACCATGTTGGCCAAGCTGGTCTCAAACCTGCCTTGGCCTCCCAAAGTGCTGGGATTACAGGCATGAGCCACAAACCTGGCCTTAAAAATTCTTTCCTAATTAAGATCTTAATGTGGGCCAAGTGTGGTGACTCATGCCTCTAATCCCAGCACTTTGGGAGGCCAAGGCAGAAGGATCACTTGAGGCCAAGAGTTGAAGACCATCCTAAGAAACATAGTGAGACACCTGTCTCTACAAACAAAAAAAAAAAAAGTGTGGTTAGATGATTAGATTATATTCAGATTTTTTATAAAAAGGGTAATGTTCCTGCTTGTTTTAATTTTGTTCCTTGTGAGTGCTTTCACTAAGCCAAAAAGCATTTATTGGCTGCCTACTCTGTTCCTACCCTCGGCTAGGTGCAAGGGATATAAAGATGAACCAGACATAGTACCTGTACTCAAGATATAATATTGCTAGCCCCTCATATGATAAGTATAGTAATACAGCTCTGTGCCAAGAGGGGTAGTTTAGCACAAAGAAGGAAGTGTTTTACTCTACCTCAGCACATGTGCCAGAGGAACCTCTAAAAGGAGAGTCTTGCTCTATTGCCCAGGCTGGAGTGCAGTAGCACAATCTTGGCTGACTACAACCTCCACCTCCCGGGTTCAAGCAATTGTCCTGCCTCTGCCTCCTGAGTAGCTGGGATTACAGGCACCTGCCATCATGCCCGGCTAACTTTTGTATTTTTAAGTAGAGACGGGTTTCACCATGTTGGTCAGGCTGGTCTTGAACTCCTGACCTCAAGTGATCCGCCTGCCTCTGCCTCCCCAAGTGCTGGGATTACAGACATGAGCCACTGTGCTCAGCCAGTAGTTTCATCCTTGTGGGAAAATAACTGTTTGCCAGGACAGTAAAAGTATTCAAGACAAAGTGAGAATAAACTGTGGAAAGACCTAGATGTGTGAAAGTACCATAGGTTTGGGAATTACAGGTAATTTAATGTTTTAAATCCTTAGATGACCCTATTTGAAGATAATCTGGCAAAGCTGGACTGTAGCGTGCATATGCACAAGTGTCATAGAAAATGGGGCTATTTCGGCAGGCAGGAGGCTTTCATGGTTGGGTTTTCAACACCAGGTTAAACAGCTCAGGCTTGATTATTTCTGGTGGTTCTCAACATTGGCTGCACCTGGGGAAATTTTCTTTTTTTTTTTTTTTTTTTTTTTAAGATGGACTCTCACTGTTACCCAGGCTGGAGTGCAGTGGTGTCATCTGCAACCTCCACCTCCTGGGTTCAAGCAATCCACCAGCCTCAGCCTCCCAAGTAGCTGGAACTACAGGCGTGTGCTACCTATTCAGGAGACTGAGGCAGGAGAATAGCTTGAACCCAGAAGGCGGAGGTTGCAGTGACCCAAGATTGAGCCACTGCACTCCAGCCTGGGTGACAAGACTGAGACTCCGTATCAAAAAAAAAAAAAAAAACCCTGAAACTGGGTAATTTACCAGAAAGGAGGTTTCAGCCAGGCACGGTGGCTCACACCTATAATCCCAACATTTTGGGAGGCCGAGGCAGGTGGATCACTTGAGGTCAGGAGTTCGAGACCAGCCTGGCCAACATGGTGAAACCCTGTCTCTATTAAAAATACAAAAATTAGCCGACCGTGGTGGTGGACGCCTGTGTCAAGTGAGTCCGTGTGAAGAGACGACCAAACAGGCTTTGTGTGAGCAATAAAGCTGTTTATTCACTTGGGTGCAAGTGGGCTGAGTCCGAAAAGAGAGTCAGCGAAGGGAGATAGGGAATGGGTTGCTTTATAGGAGTTGGGTAGGTAATGGAAAATTATAGCAAAAGGTGGTTATCTATTGTTAGCAGAGGAGGGGTTTACAAGGTGCATGGTGGAGAGATCATAAGACTCATTGTCCAGAAGAAGAATGTCACAAAGTTGATTGATCAGCTAAGGTAGGGCAGGGACAAGTCACAATAATAAAATATTGTAATGTTAGTTAATCAGTTAAGGCAGGAACTCGCTGTTTTACTTCTTTGTAGTTTTTTTCTTTTGCTGCTCCAGACTTCTTGGCTCCTGCAGGCCACCTAGATGTGTATGTGCAGGTCACAGGGGTTATAATGGCTGAGCTTCAGCTCAGAGGCCTGACAGCCTGTTATCCAGGCTATTCGGGAGGGAGGCCGAGGCAGGAGAATTACTTGAACTTGGGAGGCGGAGGTTGCAGTGAGCCAAGATCATGCCATTGCACTCCAGCCTGGGCGACAGAGTGAGACTCCGTCTCAAAAAGCAACAACAACAACAACAAAACAGAAAGGTTTCATTGGTTCATTGTTCCACAGGTTGTACTGGAAGCATGGCTGGGGAGGCAAGGCGCAGGGCAGCAGGACCCTGGGCCTGGCTTGCAAAACCATTCTTCCCTCCTAGGCCTCTGCCCCCACTTTTCTGGGTGGGGCTGCTGCAAAGTTCTCTGAAATGCCTTTGAGACCTTTTCCTCATTGTCTTAGCTATTAGCACTTGGCTCCTCTTTACTTCTGCAAATTTCTATAGCTAGCTTGAATTCCCGTCCTGAAAATGGGTTTTGTTTTTTGTTGTTTTTTTTTTTCTTTCGAGACGGAGTTTCCCTCTTGTTGCCCAGGCTGGAGTGCAATGGCGTGATCTTGGCTCACTGCAACCTCCGCCCTCCAGGTTCAAGCGATTCTCCTGCCTCACCCTCCCAAGTAGGTGGGACTATAGGCATGTGCCAACATGTCCGGCTAATTTTTGTATTTTTAGTTTTACCACATTGTCCAGGCTGGTCTCTAACTCCTGACCTCAAGTAATCCACCCGCCTCGGCCTCCCAAGGGTTTTTCTTTTCTACCACATGGCCAGGCTGCAAATTTTCCACACTTTCATGCTCTGCTTGCCTTTTAAATATAAGTTCCAGTTGTAGATCAACTCTTTATTCACGCGTATAAGCATACACTATTAGAAGCAGCCAGACCACATCTCTAATGCTTTGCTGCCTAGAAATTTCTTCCACCAGATACCCTATATCATCTCTCTCAAGTTCAAAGCTCCACAGATCTCTAGGGCACTGGATCAAAGCTCCAGTGTCTTTGCTAAAGCATAGCAAGAGTGACCTTTACTCCAGTTCCCAATAAGTTCCTCATCTCCATCTGAGACCACCTCAGCCTGGACTTCATTGTCCAGATCACTTTCAGCATTTAGGTCACAATTTAACAAGTCTCTAGGAAGTTCCAAACTTCCTCTCAACTTTCTGTCTTCTTCCGAGCCCTCCAAACCATTCCAACCTCTGCCCATTACCCAATTCCAAAGCTGCTTCCATATATTCAGGTATCTTTACAGCAATGCCCCTACTTTCCAGTACCAATTTTCTGTATTAGTTTGTTCTCTCACGGCTATAAATAAATACCTGAAACTGGGTAATTTATAAGAAAAGAGGTTTAATTGGCTTACAGTTCTGTGGGCTGTACAGGAAGCTGGCTGGAGAGGCCTTAGGAAACTTACAATCATTGGCGGAAGGTGAAAAGGAAGGAGGCACATCTTATGTGGCCGGAGCAGGAGGAAGAGAGAGCAGGGGGAGGGGCTACACACTTTTAAACTACCAGATCTTGTGAGAAATCACTATCACGAGAACAGAAAGAGGGAAATATGCCTCCATGATCCAATCACCTTCCACCAGGCCCCTCTGTAAGGAAAATGGCTGTGCTTCAGTCAGGAGTGGGCTGAGGCAGACATCCAGTACAGCATGACAGCAGGTTGGGACCACAGGTGCACAATTGCATGCAGTATGTAATCACATTTATGTAGCCATTTTGATGTATCCTGTTTGTGTGAGCTCATACCTGGCTTTGAGCCACTATTGTCTGTGAAAATATAACTGCTCTGCTGACTCTGTAGGAGAGAGAGAGATAATAAGGCCATGTCCCAACTGCCTATACTCCCTAGAGTGTTTTTTCAGCTACCCGCCACCCATCCACCAACTCCTCTTGGACCCCAGCTCAGATTGGAAACTGACACCCTCTTCCAACACTGGGGATTACAGTTTGACATGAGATTTGGGTAGGGACACAAATCTAAACCACATCAGGGAGCCACTGAAGAGGTTTTAATTTTAAATAGATCTACAATGACAAAATTTGATGTTTATTTTAGAGTTGCAGTTTCCTAATGAGCAAGGACAGGATTATCTGAGAGACGTGTTAACAATACTGATTCCTAGGCTCCACCCTTGACCAGTGAAATCATAATCTCCAGGGGAATTGTTACTGAAACACCAGGAGTTCTATCTTGGTCTTGTTGCTGGCTGCATAGAAAGCCAATCACTGCTGGGCACAAAATGGCTCACGCCTGTAATCCCAGCACTTTCAGAGGCCAAGGCAGGCAGATCACCTGAGGTCAGGAGTTTGAGACCAGCCTGACCAATATGATGAAACTCCATCTCTACTAAAATGCGAAAATTAGCCAGGCGTGGTGGCATGCACCTGTAATCCCAGCTACTCGGGAGGCTGAGACAAGAGAATCACTTGAACCCGGGAGGCGGAGGTTGCAGTGAGCCAAGATCTCACCATTGCACTCCAGCCTGGGCAACAAAAGCAAAATTCTGTCTCAAAAAAAAAAAAAAAAAGAAAAGAAAAGAAAGCCCATCACTGAGACAAGTATTGCCAGGGAAGAGGGTTTTAATCATGCTGCAGTTGAGGAGATGGCAGATTAGTCTCAAATCCATCTCCCTAAGCAATTAAATTCAGGCATTTATATAGCAAGGAAGAAATGTAACTTCATACAGAAAAATAGGAATTAAGGTGGGGTAAGGAAGAGGAGCTGGTCAAACAGGTATTGGATAGAGAATCATGATGGGTGAAGGGTCTGGCACCTCACTGTCCTCATGCAGTGATCCTGGTGAGTTTAAGTTCCTAGATACTGTCTGGGAGCCCTGCTGGTTGGTTTCCTGAGAAAGGAACTCAGACAAAACAAATGTAATTTTCTTAAGTTTTAAGACTGAGTCAATTTTGTTTTATTCAAAAGAAACCATAAACATCAGTCCTATGAAACAATTGACATCAGTTCTATGGGACAATTGGACCAGTTTCAGTCCCCTCTCCCAACTTTCTATCAATTCCTCAATCATGGGGAATCTGGTCATTGATTGATTTTTTTTTTTTTTTTTTTTTTTTTTTTGAGATGGAGTCTGACTCTGTCACCCAGCCTGGAGTGCAGTGGTGCAATCTCAGCTCACTGCAACCTCCATCTCCCAGGTTCAAGCGATTCCCCCGCTTCAGCCTCCTGATTACCTGGGATTACAGACACACACTACCACGCCCAGCTAATTTTTATATTTTTTAGTAGAAACAGGGTTTCACCGTGTTGGCCAGGCTGGTCTCTAACTTCCGGCCACAGGTGATCCACCTGCCTTGGCCTCCCAAAGTGCTGGGATTACAGGCATGAGTCACCGCACCCGGCCCACTTTTGCTGTTTTTTGGTCCATGTCTTCGTGGACCAAAATCTCAAGGAGGCTTCTGTGATTCCAGCAAGGGTGGCTTTGCGGGTTGGTGAAAGTCGTATCTAGCCAGGTCCAAGCGAGATGGGCAGGATTTCGCCTCTGGCGTGTCTCACTGATGGGTCGTCTAGGGGTGCTCTGTAGAAAGGTGACTCTTGAATATTGAGAGGAAAGTATCCCTCACTGAGGGTCATCTGGAGCTTGATGTCCAGAAGGTGACAGGAAACAAATTGGGTTATCAGATTTAGAAGACATGGACCAAAAAGAAGCAAAAGTAGGAGACTAACAAGTGGGCCTAAAAGAAGACAACCCAGGAGAACCATTTCCATGTTCCCTCCTAATCTAACCAACCCTGAGAGGCTTGTTCCTTGTTCCCATACATAGGAGACTCAATTTACGAGTTGTCTGATGTTGTCGTATACTTTTCCCAATTGATTTAACCAAAAGCAACATTTTTCATCTAAGGCTAAACAAATTCTTCCCTGTGCTGCCATTAACGTATGTACTCCTTGGCGATTTGGGAGGACTATGGCTGCTGACGAGTCAATTTGTTCTTGCACAGCTATTAAGGTTTTAGTTGTGGCATCAATGTTGTTGGCTATGTCTGTTGAGAGCTGGTCAAGGAGGCTTCTGTGACTCTGGCAATTCTGGTTCCCATACTGGATATAATGCCACATCTAGCAAGAAGTGGAATTAATTGGATAGCCCTCTTCACCCTGGGCAAGATGAAATGCTTGGGCCGGGCACAGTGGCTCACGCCTGTAATCCCAGCACTTTGGGAGGCTGAGGTGGGTGGATCACCTGAGGTCAGGAGTTCGAGACCAGCCTGGCCAACATGGTGAAACTCTGTCTCTACTATAAATACAAAAATTAGCCGGGTGCATGCCTGTAATCCCAGCTACTAGGGTGACTGAGGCAGGAGGATCGCTTGAACCTGGGAGGCCGAGGTTGCAATGAGCCAAGATCGTGCCATTGCACTCTAGCCTGGGCAACAGAGCGAGACTCCATCTCAAAAAAAAAAAAAAAAATAGAATGTCCATAGATCCATTAATTGGTACTGAAGAGAGAGATTGCCAGGAGCTCTGAAGATGTCTGGAGATACACAGCCTATGGTACACATTCCAGTCCAGTTAATGCAGAGGCATTGGTGAAATAACTGGCCACAAATGTAGAAGGCTCCTCGGGTCTTAAGTAGAGATGTCAAAAAGAAACAAAGGGGGCCGGGCGCAATGGCTCATGCCTGTAATCCCAGCACTTTGGGAGGCCGAGGTGGGCGGATCACGAGGTCAGGAGATCGAGACCATCCTGGCTAACACAGTGAAAACCCATCTCTACTAACAATACAAAAACAAAATTAGCCAGGCGTGGTGGCGGGCACCTGTAGTCCCAGCTACTTGGGAGGCTGAGGCAGGCAAATGGCATGAACCCAGGAGGTGGAGCTTGCAGTGAGCCAAGATCGCACCATTGTACTCCGGCCTGGGCAACAGAGCAAGACTCCGTCTCAAAAAAAAAAAAAAAAGAAAGAAAGAAAGGGGTGCCACTTGCCCCCATTACCCGACAGGATTTGGAGGAAAGCTGCCTGGAGAAGGAGGTTAGCATAAAGTAGACAGCTCTTGTATTTCGAAGGAAATGTATAGAGTCCTACCTGCCACTTCCAGAGTTGTCCTTGGCTTTGTTCCTTTAATGACAACGTCTGATTTGGAAGCTGGTGAGTGAAGAGCCCCTTCAGTTCAAGGCCATTATTGGGTGGAGATCTGACCGGGAGGCCTTTTGTCTCCTGGGACAGTCTTTCCAGTGGCCGAGCCTATGGCAGATTGGTCAGGCTATGCATGGCATCCTTCCATTTTGGGCAATTCCTTCTCTAGTGGCCTAGTCTTCCCCACTGATGGCAGTTACCTGGAGGAGTGTCTTGAAGGCAACCTGGAGGGGGCTGGTGGGCTTGCACAACAGCTAGTAGTTGAGCCTGCCTCTTGTCCCTACATTTTCGTTTTCCTTAGCCCTGTCCTCCTTGTCCTGATTTTGGTTATAAAGGATCGAGGAGGCTCATTTGAGGATTTCTGGCATAGGAGTACTTGGTCCTAAGGCTGACTTTTGTAATTTTTCCTGATATCCGGGATGGCTTGGGTAAAGAAATGGTCCTTTACAACTAGTTGTCCCTCAGGGGATTCTGGGTTTAAGTTGGTATGCTTAATACGGGTTTCCTGTAGCCTTTCGAGAAAGGCTATGGGATTTTTGGTTGGCCCCTGGTTTATGGTGGCTAACTTATTAGAGTTCCTAGACTTAACCTTACTTTATTTTATTCCCTCTATTAGACACAGCAGCATGTGGTTCCTGGCCCATATTTTTGCTTGGATATTGTAGTCCCAATTGGGGTCTTGTTGGGGAACAGCTGTAGCCCCTCGAGAGTAGTTGACGTTTGCCAGGTGTAATTCATCCCCACAGTGTCTGGCTGCTTCACAGATGGTTTCTCTTTCCTCCCGTGAGAGGGCTTGTCCCAGGAGGATATTTATGTCCTTTCAAGTTAATCTAAATGTAAGGGCTGACCGGGCACAGTGGCTCATGCCTATAATCCTAGCACTTTGAGAGGCTGAGGCAAGTGGATCACCTGAGGTCAGGAGTTCAAGACCAGCCTGACCAACATGGCGAAACCCCGTCTCTACTAAGAATAGAAAAATTAGCTGGGCATGGTGGCATGCATCTGTAGTCCCAGCTACTCGGGAGGCTGAGGCATGACAATTGCTTGAACCCAGGAGGTGAAGGTTGCAGTGAGCCGAGATCATACCACTGCACTCCAGCCTGGGTGACAGAGCGAGACTCTGTCTCAAAAAAATAAATAAATAAATGTAAGGGTGAATATTTGGAAGCCTTCAATGAGCTTCTGGGGTCATTTGAGAACTTTCCTAGTTTTTTTTTTTTTTTTTTTTTAATTTGCCAAAGGTCCAGGCTGAAAAGGAGATGAGGACTTGGATGGGTCCAACTGGCTCACTTACTTCCTCTAACAAGCAGAGCCTGGAGGGAGAACTAACGGGCTTTGTGTAGGGCAGGGCTGATTCCAAAGGTCTGGGAGTGAGATAAACAGGGGAGGAGGCAGGTGGCTGTTTTTCACTTTTTGGCCTGTGGAGGAGGGGGAGGCAATTTTTCCCCTTGGCTTTTGGAGGAGAAGGGAGTCAGCAGGTGAGTCCCAGTGGAGGGCCCTGGAGAAGGCAGCTAAGCATAGCTAGGACAGTGGGGTTTGCCTTACAAGCTTTATAAGGATTGGGGTTTTTCCTTCAGGCCATGAAGGTTCGTAAATAGAGGACCTCTGACTATTTGCCCTGATGGTGGCAGGAAAGGTCCAGCTGGAGGACGGTATGAAAATTTGTACTTTTGCCGGGCGCAGTGGCTCACATCTGTAATCCCAGCACTTTGGGAGGCTGAGGTGGGCAGATCGCGAGGTTAGGAGATCGAGACCATCCTGGCCAACACGGTGAAACCCCGTCTCTACTAAAAATACAAAAAATTAGCTGGGCATGGTGGCGGGCGCCTGTAGTCCCAGCTACTCGGGTTGCTGAGGCAGGAGAATGGTGTGAACCTGGGAGGCGGAGCTTGCAGTGAGCCAAGATGGCGCCACTCCAGCCTGGGAGACAGAGAGAGACTCCATCTCAAAAAAAAAAAAAATTAAAATTTGTACTTTTGTTTTGGCCAGAGTTCCTCTGGTTTTGCAAAGGAAAATTAGTTTTTCGTTTTAGGGTTTGGGGTTGAACTTATCCCAGTTCTTGAGATGCATCCGAGGGGCACGTCTTGTTGTATGGAGACATGATTACCCATCTGTGAAGAGAGAGCAGAGGAGAGAAGGGAAAAGGCATCTCTTCTAGTTTCCCTACTATCTTTTTCCTGCACTTATGGCAGACCGGACTGAACAGGGTGTCCCCCCATTCATCCTAGGGGCTCCAGAATGAACCAGTGCTTACTGGGTACCCTAACCCTGGTCTTGTCCCATTTCCGGGACCAGCCTTCAACTCTGTCCTAGGGGAAATCTGTTTTGTGCCTATAGGTGGGGACTCGCCTTCATCGCTGTTCTGTAGGTACTTTGGTCTCTTGCACCTGTGGTTTTGGGCCACCCTGTATCATTGTCTCCATGACCTTATAGTGACTCTTGTTCTAAGCATTCCAATAACAAAATTATTATCTCTTTTCTCATATTCCCACTCCCTGTGTTCTTTTTTTTTGAGATGGAGTCTCGCTCTTTCGCCAGGCTGGAGTGCAATGGCACACTCTCGGCTCACTGCAGCCTCCGCCTCCTGGGTTCAAGCGACTCTCCAGCCTCAGCCTCTCCAGTAGCTGGGACTACAGGTGCACCCCACCACGCCCACCTAATTTTTGTATTTGTAGTAGAGATGGGGTTTCACCATGTTGGCCAGAATGGTCTTGATCTCTTGACCTGGTGATCCGCTTGCCTTGGCCTCCCAAAGTGCTGGGATTACAGGCGTGAGCCACCGCGCCTGGCCTCCCATGTTCTTTATGTAGACAAGAAGCCTGTTTTTCAGCTAACTGACACAAGGGAGCTGGACGTCTCCCCTTTCAAATTAAACCTTGAAGGTCCAGATGTATATTGAAAAGGGTGGCCAGGTGCAGTAGCTCGCACCTGTAATCTCAGCACTTTGGGATGCCAAGGCAGGCGGGTCACTTGAGGTCAGGAGTTCGATGCCAGCCTGGCCAAAATGACGAAACTATGTCTCTACTAAAAATACAAAAATTGGCTGGGCACGGTGGCTCAGGCCTGTAATTTCTCTAATTCCTTAAAATTAGTAACCTAGGTGGGACTGGAAGATTAATCTTTGAAGCTGCATTTATGTAACATGCATATTGTGCTTACCTACATTGTAACTTCGAGCAGACCAATAAACATAGTAATGTTGAAGATGATCTTATTCACAGTTTTTACAAGACTGAGAACACCTTGGTTATTATTCACATTAAAGAGGAGTAGGCCGGGCGCAGTGGCTCACACCTGTAATCCCAGCATTTTGGGAGGCCAAGGTGGGTGGAACACGAAGTCAGGAGTGCGAGATCAGCCTGGCCAACGTGGTGAAACCCCATCCCTACTAAAAATACAAAAATCAGCCTGGCATGGTGGTATGCACCTGTAGTCCCAGCTACTCAGAAGGCTGAGGTAGGAGAATCACTTGAACCTGGGAGGCAAAGGTTGCAATGAGCCAAGATCGCACGATTGCACTACAGCCTGGCCAACAGAGCAAGACCCTGTCTGAAAAAAAAAAAAAAAGGAGTATTATTTTCAGTTTGGGTGGCTGCAGGGAAGTCAGGTTTCCCCTAGCAAGCATGCTCTGAGTGTCAGGGAGGAAACTGGCACTAGATTCTGAGGGAGAGATCAGGTCTTCCTTAGGGGAAATACCCTTTTCCTTGGGCAAGAGGTTAAGGTGGCACTGAGCCTTCGGGGTGTGGGTAGAAGCTGGTGCTAAGCCTCTGAGGTGGAAAGCTTAGGGAGGTCACAGTAAAGGTGAGGAGTTGGGGGCTCCCAGAAGACGATTAGGGAGAGAAGGTGCGGAAGACAAGGAGCAGCAAGGAGAGAGCCATAAGATTGTGTAAAGGGAGAAGATTCACTGGAACACATTCTCCACCCCTAGAAAGGTTGGTTGTGATAAAAATCCTTCAACAAGCTGAGTTTCTTCTGTGTGTGATAGGGGTGAGAAGGAAGATTTACTCCAAAACAGAGGTAACAAATGAAGATGTTTCCAGGACAAAGGAAGACAAGCTTGAGAAAGAAAGAAGACGGCCTGGGAATTCCCAAAATATGGGGGATACTTATAGAAATCTGAGTAAGCCCAAGACTGTTATCAAAAGACACAGTGTAGGCCGTGTGCAATGGTTCACGCCTGTAATCCCAGCACTTTGAGAATCCGAGGTAGGAGGATTCGTTGATCCCAGGAGTTTGGAGACCAGCCTGGGCTACATAAGGAGACCCTGTCTCTACAAAAAATAAAATTAGACAGGTGGCGGTGCATGCCTGTGGTCCCAGCTACTCAGGAGGCTGAGGTGGGAGGATCACTTGAGCCCAGGAGGTTGAGGCTGCAATGAGCTATGATTGCACTACTGCACACCAGCCTGGGTGCCAGAGTGAAATGCTGTCTCAAAAAAAAAAAAAAAAAAGTGGGCCTGTGAAACCACAGCGCTTGGCTTTGAATCCTAATGTGAACTTGGGCAAGTTACTTAAAAACTCTTGAGCTTTATTTATTTATTTATTTATTTTGAGACTGAGTTTCGCCTGTCGCCCAGGCTGGAGTACAGTGGCGTGATCTGGGATCACTGCAAGCTCCGCCTCCTGGGTTCACGCCATTCTCATGCCTCAGCCTCCCGAGTAGCTGGGACTACAGGTGCTCACCACCACGCCCGGTTAATTTTTTTTGTATTTTTAGTAGAGACAGGGTTTCACCGTGTTACCCAGGATGGTCTCGATCTGCTGACGTCGTGATCCACCTGCCTCAGCCTCCCAAAGTGCTGGGATTACAGGCGTGAGCCACCACGCCCAGCCAACTCTTGAGCTTTAATTTCTTCATCTGTAAAATTGAAATAATGGCTTTATTATAGAGTGTTATGAGAATTGAGCCTGGCACATAGAAAATGCTGAATACATGTAAGATATAATTATTATAAAAAGTATGCTTGCGGCCAGGCAGGGTGGCTCACGCCTGTAATCCCAGCACTTTGAGAGGCTGAGGTGTGTGGATCACTTGAAGTCAGGACTTCCAGACCAGCCTGGCCAACATGGTGAAACCCCATCTTACTAAAAATACAAAAATTAGCCGGGCATGGTGTCGCACACCTATAATCCCAGCTACTCGGCAGGCTGACTCAGAATTCCTTGAACCTCGGAGGCGGAGGTTGCAGTGAGCCAAGATAGTGCCACTGCACTCCGGCCTGGGCAACAGAGTGAGACTCTGTCTGAAAAAATAAAAGGTATGCTTGGGCCTCCTTCTTAAATTCATTAATTTAACAAATATCAAGTCCATATTTAATTATTTAATCTACGCATCAGTCTATACCCTGGGAAAACCACATTAAAAAAATACTGCCTACATGGAGCTCATATTCTAGTGGGGGAGTCAGTATATGAGTAGATAATAAGTGCTAGGACGAAAAATACAACAGGATAAGAGTGTAGGGAAAGCTGAATTGGTCTAGGAAATGTGACCTGACACTTGAGCACAAATAGCTTTTTTTTTTTTTGAGACGGAGTCTCGCTCTGTCACCAGGCTAGAGTGCAGTGGCATGGTCTTGGCTCACTGCAACCTCCACCCCCTGGGTTCAAGCGATTCTCCTGCCTCAGCCTCCCGAGTAGCTGGGACTACAGGTGTGTACCACCACACTGGGCTAATTTTTTTTTTTTTTAATTTTAGTAGAGGTGGGGTTTCACCATGTTGGCCAGCATGGCCTCAATCTGCTGACCTCATGATCTGCCCACCTCGGCCTCCCAAAATGCTGGGATTACAGGCGTGAGCCACCATGCCTGTCCAAAAATACCTTTATGTGATGAAATACCTTCAGTATTTTAACAATCCTGTATCGGCCGGGCATGGTGGCTCACGCCTGTAATCCCAGCACTTTGGGAGGCCGAGGCGGGTGGATCACGAGTTCAGGAGATAGAGATCATCCTGGCTAACACGGTGAAACCCCGTCTCTACTAAAAATACAAAAAATTAGCCAGGTATGGTGGCGGGCACCTATAGTCCCAGCTACTCAAGAGGCTGAGGCAGGAGAATGGCGTGAACCCGGGAGGTGGAGCTTGCAGTGAGCTTAGATTGCCCCACCGCACTGCAGCCTGGGGGTCAGAACTAGACTCTGTCTCAAAAAAAAAAAAAAAAAAAATCCTGTATCATGATGTTATACATTAGCCAATACCTGATTTTTAACTTTGCAAACCTTAGACTCACTAAACAAAATTTATTCCAAGTGCCAATATCTGAAATAAATCCAACCAAAATCCTCCTCACCCTTTTTTCTTGCCTTGTTTGGTAATAAATAATGGGAGAGGCTGGGGGTGGTGGCTCATGCCTGTAATCCCAGCACTTTGGGAGGCCGAGGCATGTGGATCACCTGAGGTCAGGAGTTGGAGACCAGCCTGGCCAACCTAGTGAAACCCCGTCTCTACTAAAAATACAAAAATTAGCTGGGCATGGTGGTGGGCGCCTATAATCCCAGCTACTCAGGAGGCTGAGGCAGGAGAATCGCTTGAACCTGGGAGGCGGAGGTTGCAGTGAGCCAAGATTGTGCCACTGCACTCCAACCTGGGCGACAAGAGCAAAACTCCATCTCAAAATAAATAATAAATACATAAATAATGGGAGATTCAGACATTGGAACACAACATTAAAATTGTCACAGAATGCCAGGCCCGGTAGCTCACACCTGTAATCCCAGCACTTTGGGAGGCCGAGGTGGGCGGAAATTCGAGACCTGAGGTCAGAAGTTCCAGACCAGCCTGACCAACATGGAGAAACCCCGTCTCTACTAAAATACGAAAAAATTAGCCGGGTGTGGTGGCACATCACTATAATCCCAGCTACTTGGAAGGCTGAGGCAGGAGAATCGCTTGAACCTGGGAGGTGAAGGTTGCGGTGAGCCGAGATCGTGCCATTGCACTCTAGCCTGGGCAACACGAATGAAACTCTGTCTCAAAAAAAATTAATTAAAAAAATTGTCACAGAAGTCTAATTTAGACAATACAAGGATGACCCTGATATATTAAGTGATATCTGTGAACCATTTTTACATTAAAAATACATAATATATGCATGTTTTTTAAAGTCTGGGAAGATTCACTTCTAAAGATGGCCTTGATGTAGAACAACTAGAACTTTTACACATTGCTGGTTGGAATGCAAAATGGGTAGTAGCCACTTTGGGAAAGAATATGGCAATATCTTATGAAGTTTGACATATACTTACCATTTGACCCATGAACCCAACACATACAAAATTAAAGGGAAATAAAAATGTATGATCAGGCCGGGGGCGGTGGCTCATGCTTGTTGTGATCCCAGCACTTTGGGAGGCTGAGGCGGATGGGTCACTTGAGGCCAGGAGTTCAAGACCAACCTGGGCAACATGGCGTGACTCCGTCTCTACAAAACATACAAAAAAATAGCACACTCGCTCCCTCTCTCTCTCTCCCTCTCCCTCTCCCTCACCCTCCCCCTCTCCCTCTCCCCTCTTTCCACGGTCTCCCTCTCCCTCTCCCTCTCTTTCCACGGTCTCCCTCTCCCTCTCCCTCTCCCTCTCTTTCCACGGTCTCCCTCTCCCTCTCTTTCCACGGTCTCCCTCTCATGCCGAGCCGAAGCTGGACTGTGCTGCTGCCATCTCGGCTCACTGCAACCTCCCTGCCTGATTGTCCTGCCTCAGCCTGCCGAGTGCCTGCAATTGCAGGCGCGCGCCGCCACGCCTGACTGGTTTTCGTATTTTTTTGGTGGAGACGGGGTTTCGCTGTGATGGCCGGGCCGGTCTCCAGCTCCTGACCGCGAGTGATCCGCCAGCCTCGGCCTCCCGAGGTGCCGGGATTGCAGACAGAGTCTCGTTAACTCAGTGCTCAATGGTGCCCAGGCTGGAGTGCAGTGGCGTGATCTCGGCTCGCTACAACCTCCACCTCCCAGCCGCCTGCCTTGGCCCCCCAAAGTGCCGAGATTGCAGCCTCTGCCCGGCCGCTACCCCGTCTGGGAAGTGAGGAGCGTCTCTGCCTGGCCGCCCATCGTCTGGGATGTGAGGAGCCCCTCTGCCTGGCTGCCCAGTCTGGAAAGTGAGGAGCGCCTCTTCCCGGTCGCCATCCCATCTAGGAAGTGAGGAGCGTCTCTGCCCGGCTGCCCATCGTCTGAGATGTGGGGAGTGCCTCTGCCCTGCTGCCCCGTCTGGGATGTGAGGAGCGCCTCGGCCCGGCCGCGACCCTGTCTGGGAGGTGAGGAGCGTCTCTGCCCGGCCGCCCTGTCTGAGAAGTGAGGAGACCCCCCGCCTGGCAACCGCCCCGTCTGAGAAGTGAGGAGCCCCTCCGCCCTGCTGCCACCCCGTCTGGGAAGTGAGGAGCGTCTCCGCCCAGCAGCCACCCTGTCCGGGAGGGAGGTGGGGGTCAGCCCCCCACCCGGCCAGCCGCCCCGTCCGGGAGGTGAGGGGCGCCTCTGCCCGGCCGCCCCTACTGGGAAGTGAGGAGCCCCTCTGCCTGGCCAGCCGCCCTGTCCGGGAGGGAGGTGGGGGGGTCAGCCCCCCGCCCGGCCAGCCGCCCCGTCTGGGAGGTGAGGGGCGCCTCTGCCCGGCTGCCCCTACTGGGAAGTGAGGAGCCCCTCTGCCTGGCCAGCCGCCCCGTCCGGGAGGGAGGTGGGGGGGTCAGCCCCCCGCCCGGCCAGCTGCCCCGTCCGGGAGGTGAGGGGCGCCTCTGCCCGGCTGCCCCTACTGGGAAGTGAGGAGCCCCTCTGCCCGGCCAGCCGCCCCGTCCGGGAGGGAGGTGGGGGGTCAGCCCCCCGCCCGGCCAGCCGCCCAGTCCGGGAGGGAGGTGGGGGGGTCAGCCCCCCTCCCGGCCAGCCGCCCCGTCCGGGAGGGAGGTGGGGGGGTCAGCCCCCTGCCCGGCCAGCCGCCCTGTCCGGGAGGTGAGGGGCGCCTCTGCCCGGCCGCCCCTACTGGGAAGTCAGGAGCCCCTCTGCCCGGCCACCACCCCGTCTGGGAGGTGTACCCAACAGCTCACTGAGAACGGGCCATGATGACAATGGCGGTTTTGTGGAATAGAAAAGGGGGAAAGGTGGGAAAAAGAATGAGAAATCGGATGGTTGCCGTGTCTGTGTAGAAAGAAGTAGACATGGGAGACTTTTCATTTTGTTCTGTACTAAGAAAAATTCTTCTGCCTTGGGATCCTGTTGATCTGTGACCTTACCCCCAACCCTGTGCTCTCTGAAACATGTGCTGTGTCCACTCAGGGTTAAATGGATTAAGGGTGGTGCAAGATGTGCTTTGTTAAACAGACGCTTGAAGGCAGCATGCTGGTTAAGAGTCATCACCACTCCCTAATCTCAAGTACCCAGGGACACAAACACTCTGCCTAGGAAAACCAGAGACCTTTGTTCACTTGTTTATCTGCTGACCTTCCCTCCACTATTGTCCTATGACCCTGCCAAATCCCCCCCTGCGAGAAACACCCAAGAATGATCAATAAAAAAATAAAAAAATAAAAAAATAAAAAATAAAAAATAAAAAAAATAAAAAAAAAAAATAGCACACTCCTGTAGTCCCAGCTACTTGGGAGGCTGAGGTAGGAGGATTGCTTGAGCCCAGGAAGTTGAGGCTGCAGTGAGCCATGATCACACCACCACACTCCAGTCTGGGCAACAGAGGGAAAAAAATGTTGAAAGACTGCACACAAATGTTTATATTGATAGTTATTCATATTAATCAAACCCTGCAAACAACCCAAACATCCATTAACTGGTTACAAAGGAAGATTGCTCAGCAATAGAAAATAAATATTGATACATGCAATAAAGATGAATCTCAAAAACATAATACTAAGTAAAAGAACTAAAATACAAAAGACTATATACTTTGCATATATAAAAATATTTACATGAAATTTTCAAAAAGGCAAAATCATAGTGACATAAAACAGAGCAACAGTTGCCTGGGCGTGTGGCAGGAAGGATGTGGGGAGGGCAGGGAAGAAGATCAAAGGGCATGAGAAAACTTTTTAGAGTGATGGAAATATTCTATATTTTGTTTGTGGTGGTAGTTTTACAGCTATATGCATCACTAAAATTCATCGAATTGTGCACTTAAGACAGGTGTATTTTATTGTATGTAAATTTTATTTTATGTAAAACTGTACACTTAAGACAGGTTTATTTTATTGTATTTTATTGCATGTAATAAAGCTGGAAAAATTCATCATGTTTTACGACTTAAGATTTGCATAATTTCCTTCATGTAAAAAAAAATTGTAATAAACAATTAAAAACAGGTGACCTTTTATAATGGAGCAGCTTAACTTCAAAATTAATTTTATTTTACTTTTATTAGTTTTTGAGACAGGCTCACGATGTGTCACCCAGGCTGGAGTGCAGTGGCGTGATTAGAGCTCCCTGCAGCCTCAAGCTTCTGGGCTCAAGCAATCCTCCCACCTCAGCTTCTCAAGTAGCTGGGACTACAGGCAAGCAGCATTTCACCTGCCTAACTTTCTTTTTTTTTTTTTTTTGAGATGGATTCTTGCTCTGTCACCCAGGCTAGAGTACAGTGGCATGATCTTGGCTCACTGCAACCTCTGCCTCCCGGGTTCAAGCGATTCTTCTGCCTCAGCCTCCTGAGTAGCTGGGACCACAGGCACGTGCCATCACACCTGGCTAATTTTTGTATTTTTTAGTAGAGACGAGGTTTCACCATATTGGCCAGGCTGGTCTCGATCTCCTGACCTCGTGATCCACCTGCCTCAGCCTCCCAAAGTGCTGGGATTATAGGCTTGAGCCACTGCGCCCGGCCTACAAAGCTTTTTTTATGAGATGGAGTCCCGCTCTGTGGCCCAGGCTGGAGTGCAGTGGCACGATCTCAATGCAACCTCCGCCTCCCAGGTTCATTTCTCCTGCCTCAGCCTCCCAAATAGCTGGGACTACAGGCGAACGCCACCATGTCTGGCTAATTTTTGTATTTTTAGTAGAGACAGGGTTTTGCCATGTTGGCCAAGAGGGTCTGGAACTCCTGACCTCAAGTGATCCGTCCACCTTGGCCTCCAAAAGCGCTGGGATTACAGGTATGAGCCACTGTGCCTGGCCTGTTTTACTATTATTAAAATTAAGTGATTAAGTAGTAACAAAAAAACTGAGACTTTCTAGTGATTTTTGATCCTAAGCCTTCTCTCACTGTTGGGCCTTCATTTGTGTACTTAAAATCAATATATGTACAAGTGTTGCACTGGTTTAAAGATTCTAATGGTGAAAGTTACCGGATTACTGTATCTAGAAACCAATCTTGGAAATGGGAGATGATGCTCTTTTTTCTTTTTTAATTTTCTTAAATTTTTTCTTTATTTTTGGCTGGGCGCGGTGGCTCACACCTGTAATCCCAGCACTTTGGGAGGCTGAGACAGGGGGATCACGAGGTCAGGAGATTGAGACCATCCTGGCTAACACGGTGAAAACCCGTCTCTATTAAAAATATAAAAAATTAGCCGGGCGCGGTAGCGGGCGCCTGTAGTCCCAGCTACTCGGGAGGCTGAGGCAGGAGAATGGCGTGAACCCGGGAGGCGGAGCTTGCAGGGAGCAGAGCTCAGGCCACTGCACTTCAGCCTGGGCGACAGAGCGAGACTCCGTCTCAAAAAATAAATAAATAAATAAATAAAAATTTTCTTTATTTTTTTGAGATGGAGTCTTGCTCTGTTGCCTAGGTTGGAGTACAGTGGTGCGATCTCAGCTCACTGCAATCTCCGCCTCGTGGGTTCAAGTGATTCTCATGCTTCAGCCTCCTGAGTAACTGGGATTACCGGTGCGGGCCACCACGCACAGCTAATTTTTTGTATTTTAGTAGAGATGGGGTTTCACTATGTTCATCAGGCTGGTCTTGATCACCTCAGGTGATCCGCCGGTCTCGGCCTCCCAAAGTGTTGTTGAGATTACAGGCAAGAGCCACCGTGCCTGGCCATTAAGTTTTTTCTCTTGTTTAATTAACTTCAATTCTGCCACTTCCTAGATACTCTTTTAAAATAGCTGAAATTATTGTGTGCTTAGTCTCACTCTGTCCTTGTTTTGTTGTATAATATTTTTTATTTTATTTTATTTTATTTTTTGAGACAGAGTCTTGCTCTGTCACCCAGGCTGGAGTGCAGTGGTGTGATCTCAGTTCACTGCAACCTCTGCTTCCCAGATTCAAGCAATTCTCCTGCCTTAGCCTCCGGAGTCGCTGGGATTACAGGCATGCATCACCAACCTGGCTAATTTTGTATTTTTAGTAGAGACGGGGTTTCACCATGTTGGTCAGGCTGATCTCAAACTCCTGACCTTAGCTGATCTGCCTGCCTCTGCCTCCCAAAATGCTGAGATTACAGGCGTGAGCCACCGCGCCCAGCCTGTTGTATAGTATTTAAATGAAAGGGACATAGAAGAAAATAGTTGTTGAGGTTTTAAGATAATCATTCCTACTTTCTCTGTTACTCTATTTAAAACGATGACAAGAAAAATTCATTGTCTTACTTTGCTAAGTTTGGCCTAGGAGCTGTCAGTCTTTTTTTTTTGAGACGGTCTCACCATGTTGCCTAGGCTGGAGTGCACTGGCAGTCTCAGCTCACTGCAATCTCCACCTCTCAGGTTCAAGCAATTTTCAGGACTCAGCCTCCCGAGTAGCTGCCATTACAGGCATGCGCCACCAGACCTGGCTAATTTTTTTTTTTTTTTTTTTGAGACACTGTTTTGCTCCTGTTGCCCAGGCTGGAGTGGGCAACAGGATTAATGCACATGCTTGAGCCCACTCACCCAACTCCTGAGATCTTATCAGGAAGCTGCTGATCACCAGTTCCAGGTGTTTCTATCTATCAGGAGACTGTCTCTTCCTCTGGCACTGACTGTGACCAATTATTATTTTAGATGGACACTTTTTTTTTTAGATGGAGTCTCGCCCTGTTGGCCAGGCTGGAGTGCAGTGGCGGGATCGTGGCTCACTACAACCTCTGCCTCCTGGGTTCCAGCGATTCTCCTGTCTCAGCCTCCCAAGTAGCTGGGATTACAGGCGTGTGCCACCACGCCCGACTAATTTTTGTATTTTTAGGAGAGATGGGGTTTCACCATTTTTGCCAGGCTGGTCTTGAACTCCTGACTTCAGGTGATCCACCCCTCTCAGCCTCCCAAAGTGCTGGGATTACAGGTGTGAGCCACCGCGCCCAGCCCAGAGGGACACTTTAACAACTGACAGTTACCTGATGGTTGCCTGACATTACTTGAGGCCTTTTCCTGCCCTGCTCATGTCTGTCTAACTACCTACTCTAACATCACTATGTTGCCCAGGCTGGTCTCAAACTCCTGGCCTCATGTAATCTTCTTGCCTTGGCCTCCCAAAGTGCTCAGATTACATTACAACTTGCCTATACTTTTTTTTATTACAAATCAAATCAATGCCCCCAAGAAAACCCCATTATTCTGATACAGGGGCCCAGACACCTGCCTTGTGTCAGTATGCTTTGGATGCTAATGTTTAATTTAGAGAAAAACTCTGAGATAATTTTTTCCCTCAAAATTGGCTCTAACTATAATATCACACACCCACCTCTTCGGCAATAGTCCGTGAGCCTAGAGGGATTGAACGGTTTCAGTTTCTGGCCCCATATCTCATGAAAGCACTTCATTTTGATTGTCACCTCTTGGGGTCTGAAGACAAGGCATTGACTGGTGTCAGTGCTTAAGATTTAGTAGGAACTGGTGTCTTTTCCAGACCCAGGAGCCAAAGCCCTATAATTTAGCAGCACAAGGATTAGTTAATAGAACATTTGTACTGCAGAGAGTCCTGGCATTCTCTCTAACATGTCACAGATTAAAATGCTGTGATTTCGTGTTCAGTCATTACTGCCTGCAGTACTTCAAACCACTGTGTTAAAGTAGTTAGCTTACTCATTGCATACATCTAATTGCTAGCAATCTAGTGACAGAACTGTGATCAAAAGCATCACAAATGTGATAGGTTCTGCTGGGTGCAGTGGCTCATGCCTATAATCTCAGCAGTCTGGGAGGCTGAGGTAGGTAGATCACTTGAGGCCAGGAGTTCAAAACCAGCCTAGCCAAAATGACAAAACCATGTCTCTACTAAAAACAAAAATTGACTGGGCATGGTGGCTCAGGCCTGTAATCCCAGCACTTTGGGAGGCCAAGATGGGCAGGTCACCTGAGGTCAGGAGTTTAAGACCAGACTGGCGCATTAAGAGGCAAAATGGCCCATGTCTGATCTTCCTCTGCGGTTGTTCGACTGGTAAAGGAAAATTGTACCTACAGAGCATGTGCACAACCTCAGTAAACGCACTGTGCATGCAGTCACCCTCCCAAGTGCTGACCACCACTGCACATGCAGCAGTCAAGGGGAGGGGAAAAATCAAGTGAGAAAAGAAAACCCTGGAACCACGCCAGTGTATAAACCCCCAAGTCAAGGGCTGAACACGGCACTTGCATCTCCCAAGTTGCCCACTTCTCCCTCTTCCAAATGTGCTTTGCTTCCTTTTGCTCCTGCTGTAACACTTTTTAATAAACTCTCACTCCTGCTCTTAAGCTTGCCTCTGTCTCTTGCTCTGCCTTAAAACTACTTCTGCCCCTGCCAAATGCTTTCCTCTGCAGAGGCAAGGATTGAGTTTGCAGCAGATCTGTACAAATTTGCTGCTGGTAACATGCGTTGGTGTCACAACTAAGATACATTCCCTAGTGGTAAGAAACCTTGATATGGTTTGGTTCTGTGTCCCCATGCAAATCTCACCTTGAATTGTAATAATCCCCACATGTGGTGGGAGGGATCCGGTGGGAGGTCATTGAATCGTGGGAGTGGGTTTTTTCCGTGCTGTTCTCGTGATAGTGAATAAGTCTCATGAGATCTGATGGTTTAATAAAGGGGAGCTCCCCTGAACATACTCTCTTGCCTGTTGCCATGTAGGATGTGCCTTTGCTTCTCCTTTGCCTTCCGCCGTGATTGTGAGGCCTCCCCAGCCATGCGGAACTATGAGTCCATTAAACCTCTTTCCTTTATAAAATATCCAGCCTTGGGTATGTCTTTATTAGCAGCTTGAGAACGGACTAATACACACCTCTACACCTTGCCTTCTTCAGCTGGAGGCGTTTAACTCCGATACGCAGTTTCCTTCTCCCCTTTTGCTCTCCTGTTTACTAACCATCCTCTAGAATGATTCCTCTCGGCCACAATGGTTCTGGTCCTCTTGGCTAATCTCTCAGCTCACCCTCATGGGTGACTTGTAGGGGTGGGAAGGATCTTGTATTCCACACTGAGTAGACCTGAGACACTAATGGCCCACTGGGACAGTGAGGCTTGTGGGAGTGGTAGGGTAAAGGCTAAGACCATGTCATGTATGGGGCTACCTTTGCTTCTTCAACAAAAATCAGCTCTTTCCCCAAATCCTGCACTGTCTATTCTCTTGTTTCCTCCGTGTGTATTCTGAAATGGCCTTGTGCACCCACCAGACTGTCTGCCTTGCAAGCAAGTCTGCCTTTTCTCTGCTTTCACTTTGCATGACACATGACTTCCTTCTCTGCCTTCAACACACAATCCCCGTTTGTGATTTGTGCTCCCGCGGCCTTTGTTGCATTTGTGTAGCAGGCAAAGAGCGGGTCTCCCTTGTGGATGACCCTTGAAATTTGTAGCTGTTTTGACCTTACCAGCTCAATGACCTCCTAACCTTCCCCTGTCTGTTGGTTCATTGCTGGGACAGGCACTAGTTGGAAGCCAGGCTCTGCCAGCTCCTTGTGACTTACCAAATACTTTTCATCCCTGTTACACTCCAAGGCCAAGTTTTTTGGTGGCTTTTGAAGCAGTTTGTCTACATAGGGCCTTACTCTGTGGCCCTTTAATGGCCCTACCTACTGGCTTTTCTTCGAGTTAGCAGCGCTTTGTCATTTTCGAGCCCTTATCCCAAGCCCCAGGTCCTCTGGAGGTTCCTTCTTTATGTCAAGGGGGCAAGTCAACACCGCCCACTCAAATCCAATGGCTGCTGTTTTTGTGAGCATGTGAAGGCTTTCCATGAGTATTTCTCTCACTTCCTCCTATAACAGAAGGACTTTCCTGTCTGTTTAAGCATTTGTTCTGCATGTTACCCTGGGAGGATGAGGAACCCCAAATACAAATTTTCCTCAATTCCTCTAATCACCTCCATGCTCTTTTCTTTTTACTTTTTTTTTTTTTTTTGAGATGGAGTCTTGCTCTGTTGCCCAGGCTACAGTGCAGTGGTGCAATCTTGGCTCCCTGCAACCTCTGCCTTCCGGGTTCAAGCGATTCTTCTGCCTCAGTCTCCGGAGTAGCTGGGGTTACAGGCGTGTACCACCATGCCCAGCTAATTTTTGCATTTTTAGTAGAGATGGGGTTTCACCATGTTGGCCAGGCTGGTCTCAAACTCGTGACCTCAAGTGATCCTCCTGCCTCGGCCTCCCAAAGTGAAGGGGGCCTGCCCCTCCACACCTGTGGGTATTTCTTGCAAGGTGGAGATGAGAGACTGAGAAAAGGAAATAAGACACAGAGACAAAGTATAGAGGAAGAAAAGTGGGCCCAGGGGACTGGCGCTCAGCAAGTGAGGACCTGCACCGGCGCTGGTCTCTGAGTTCCCTCAGTATTTATTGACCACTATCTCTACTATCTCGGCGAGGGGGATGTGGCAGGACTATAGAGTAATGGTAGGGAGAGGGTCAGCAGGAAAACATGTGAGCAAAGGACTCTGTGTCATAAATAAGTTTAAGGAAAGGTGCTGTGCCTGGATGTGCATGTTTGACTTTACACAAACATCTCAGTGCAGTAAAGAGCAGTATTGCCGCCAGCATGTCTCACCTCCAGCCACAAGGCGGTTTTCTCCTATCTCGGTAAATAGAATGTACGATCGGGTTTTATACCGAGACATTCCATTCCCAGGGATGAGCAGGAGACAGATGCCTTCCTCTTATTTCAACTGCAAAGAGGCCTTCCTCTTTCACTAATCCTCCTCAGCACAGACCCTTTACGGGTGGCGGGCTGGGGGACAGTCAAGTCTTTCCCTTCCCATGAGGCCATATCTCAGGCTGTCTCAGTGGGGGGAAACCTTGGACAATACCCAGGCTTTCTTGGGCAGAGGTCCCTGCGGCCTTCCGCCGTGCATTGTGTCCCTGGGTAGTTGAGAATGGAGAATGGTGATGACTTTTACCAAGCATACTGCCTGCAAACACATTTTTAACAAAGGACATCCTGCACAGCCCTAAATCCATTAAACCTTGAGTCAGTACAGCATATGTTTCTGTGAGCACGGGGTTGGGGCTAAGGTTACAGATTAACAGCATCTCAAGGCAGAAGAACTTTTCTTAGTACAGATCAAAATGGAATTTCTTATGTCTTGCTTTTTCTACATAGACACCGTAACAGTCTGATCTCCCTTTTCCCCACATCAAAGTGCTGAGATTACAAGCGCAAGCTACTGCACCCAGCCGCCCTTTTCAATATACATCAGGACCTTCAAGGTTTTATTTGAAAGGAGAGAAGTCCAGCCCCCTTGCATCAGTTAACTGAAAAACAGGCTTCTCATCTATATAAAGAACATGGGAGGCCAGGTACGGTGGCTGATGCCTGTAATTCCAGCACTTTGGGAGGCCGAGGCAAGCGGATCAAGAGGTCAAGAGATCAAGACCATCCTGGCCAACATGGTGAAACTCCATCTCTACTACAAACACAAAAATTAGCAGGGCATGGTGGCACACGCCTGTAATCCCAGCTACTCGGGAGGCTGAGACAGGAGAATCACTGGAACTCAGGAGGCAGAAGTTGCAGTGAGCCGCAATCATGCCACTGCACTCCAGCCTGGCCAACAGGGCGAGACTCCATCTGAAAAAAAAAAAAAGCGTCCATCTAAAATAATAATTGGTCACAGTCAGTGCGAGGAGAAGATACAGTCTCCTGATAGATAGAAACACCTGGAACTGGTGATCAGCAGCTTCCTGATAAGATCTCAGGAGTTGGGTGAGTGGGCTCAAGCATGTGCATTAATCCTGTTGCTCACTCCAGCCTGGGCAACAGGAGCAAAACAGTGTCTCAAAAAAAAAAAAAAAATTAGCCAGGCCTGGTGGTGCATGCCTGTAATGGCAGCTACTCGGGAGGCTGAGTCCTGAAAATTGCTTGAACCTGAGAGGTGGAGATTGCAGTGAGCTGAGACTGAGCCACTGCGCTCCAGCCTAGGCAACATGGTGAGACCCTGTCTCAAAAAAAAAGACTGACAGCTCCTATGCCAAACTTAGCAAAGTAAGACAATGAATTTTTCTCATCATCATTTTAAATAGAGTAACAGAGAAAGTACCAATGATTATCTTAAAACCTCAACAACTATTTTCTTCTATGTGCCTTTTATTTAAATACTATACAACAGGCTGGGTGTGGTGGCTCATGCCTGTAATCTCAGCACTTTGGGAGGCAGAGGCATATGGATCAGGTGAGGTCAGGAGTTCGAGATCAGCCTGACCAACATGGTGAAATCCTGCCTCTACTAAAAATACAAAATTAGCCGGGTGTGGTGATGCATGCCTGTAATCCCAGCGACTCAGGAGGCTAAGGCAGGAGAATTGCTTGAATCTGGGAAGCGGAGGTTGCAGTGAACTGAGATCACACCACTGCACTCCAGCCTGGATGACAGAGTGAGACTCCGTCTCAAAAAATAAAATAAAATAAAAAATACTATACAACAAAACAAGGACAGAGTGAGACTAAGCACACAATAATTTCAGCTATTTTAAGAGAGCATCTAGCAAGTGGCAGAATTGAAGTTAATTAAACAAGAGAAAACAATTTAATGGCCAGGCACGGTGGCTCACGCCTGTAATCTCAACAACACTTTGGGAGGCCGAGACCGGTGGATCACCTGAGGTAAGGAGTTCAAGACCAGCCTGATGAACATAGTGAAACCCCGTCTCTACTAAAATACAAAAAATTAGCTGTGCGTGGTGGCACGCACCTGTAGTCCCAGCTACTCGGGAGGCTGAGGCAGGAGAATCGCTTGAACCCAGGGGGTGGAGGTTGCAGTGAGCCAAGACCATGCCACTGCACTCTAGCCTGGTGACAGAGCGAGACTCCGTCTCAAAAAAAAAAAAGCTATTTGTGCTCAAGTGTCAGGTCACATTTCCTAGACCAATTCAGCTTTCCCTACACTCTTATCCTGTTGTATTTTTCGTCCTAGCACTTATTATCTACTCATATACTGACTCCCCCACTAGAATATGAGCTCCATGTAGGCAGTATTTTTTTAATGTGGTTTTCCCAGGGTATAGACTGATGCGTAGATTAAATAATTAAATATGGACTTGATATTTGTTAAATTAATGAATTTAAGAAGGAGGCCCAAGCATACCTTTTATTTTTTCAGACAGAGTCTCACTCTGTTGCCCAGGCCGGAGTGCAGTGGCACTATCTTGGCTCACTGCAACCTCCGCCTCCGAGGTTCAAGGAATTCTGAGTCAGCCTGCCGAGTAGCTGGGATTATAGGTGTGCGACACCATGCCTGGCTAATTTTCATATTTTTGGTAAGATGGGGCTTCACCATGTTGGCCAGGCTGGTCTGGAAGTCCTGACTTCAAGTGATCCACCCACCTCAGCCTCTCAAAGTGCTGGGATTAGAGGCGTGAGCCACCCTGCCTGGACGCAAGCATACTTTTTATAATAACTATATCTCACATGTATTCAGATTTTCTATGTGCCAGGCTCAATTCTCATAACACTCTATAATAAAGCCATTATTTCAATTTTACAGATGAAGAAATTAAAGCTCAAGAGTTTTTAAGTAACTTGCCCAAGTTCACATTAGGATTCAAAGCCAAGCGCTGTGGTTTCACAGGCCCACTTTTTTTTTTTTTTTTTTTGAGACAGCATTTCACTCTGGCACCCAGGCTGGTGTGCAGTAGTGCAATCATAGCTCATTGCAGCCTCAACCTCCTGGGCTCAAGTGATCCTCCCACCTCAGCCTCCTGAGTAGCTGGGACCACAGGCATGCACCGCCACCTGTCTAATTTTATTTTTTGTAGAGACAGGGTCTCCTTATGTAGCCCAGGCTGGTCTCCAAACTCCTGGGATCAACGAATCCTCCTACCTCGGATTCTCAAAGTGCTGGGATTACAGGCGTGAACCATTGCACACGGCCTACACTGTGTCTTTTGATAACAGTCTTGGGCTGACTCAGATTTCTATAAGTATCCCCCATATTTTGGGAATTCCCAGGCCGTCTTCTTTCTTTCTCAAGCTTGTCTTCCTTTGTCCTGGAAACATCTTCATTTGTTACCTCTGTTTTGGAGTAAATCTTCCTTCTCACCCCTATCACACACAGAAGAAACTCAGCTTGTTGAAGGATTTTTATCACAACCAACCTTTCTAGGGGTGGAGAATGTGTTCCAGTGAATCTTCTCCCTTTACACAATCTTATGGCTCTCTCCTTGCTGTTCCTTGTCTTCCGCACCTTCTCTCCCTAATCGTCTTCTGGGAGCCCCCAACTCCTCACCTTTACTGTGACCTCCCTAAGCTTTCCACCTCAGAGGCTTAGCACCAGCTTCTACCCACACCCCGAAGGCTCAGTGCCACCTTAACCTCTTGCCCAAGGAAAAGGGTATTTCCCCTAAGGAAGACCTGATCTCTCCCTCAGAATCTAGTGCCAGTTTCCTCCCTGACACTCAGAGCATGCTTGCTAGGGGAAACCTGACTTCCCTGCAGCCACCCAAACTGAAAATAATACTCCTCTTTTTTTTTTTCAGACAGGGTCTTGCTCTGTCGGCCAGGCTGGAGTGCAATGGCGCGATCTTGGCTCACTGCAACCTTTGCCTCCCAGGTTCAAGTGATTCTCCTACCTCAGCCTTCTGAGTAGCTGGGACTACAGGTGCATACCACCATGCCAGGCTGATTTTTGTATTTTTAGTAGGGATGGGGTTTCACCACGTTGGCCAGGCTGATCTCGCACTCCTGACTTCGTGTTCCACCCACCTTGGCCTCCCAAAATGCTGGGATTACAGGTGTGAGCCACTGCGCCCGGCCTACTCCTCTTTAATGTGAATAATAACCAAGGTGTTCTCAGTCTTGTAAAAACTGTGAATAAGATCATCTTCAACATTACTATGTTTATTGGTCTGCTCGAAGTTGCAATGTAGGTAAACAGAATATGCATGTTACACAAATGCAGCTTCAAAGATCAATCTTCCAGTCCCACCTAGGTTACTAGTTTTAAGGAACTGGAGAAATTATTTATTTCTCTCTCAAATAAGGATCAGAGCTAGAATTAGAGAAATTCTGAAACTACTGTTCCTTTGCTTCTGAATCACAGTGATAACCAGGTCCCAAGCAAGGAATAACTTCAGGTCTTGGCACAGGGGTCAAGGTAAGGATCACCATGCAAGCAACATATTTACCTTTGAGAAAGGAATGTTAGAAAGTGATCAAAGCCTTCCTTAACACTTGAATCAATGTGTATATTGTTAATAATAATAGCACACTTAGCATGAAGAAATAGATTAAGTATGTGTGGGACTTTATTTTGGATCATATCTTTTTCATATCTTTTTTTTTTTTTTTATGTCAGCATCTCATTCTGTCACCAGGCTGGCGTGCAGTGATGAGATCTTGGCTCACTGCAACCTCTGCCTCCTGGGTTTAAGCGATTCTTGTGCCTCAGCCTCCGGAATATCTGGGATTACAAGCGTGCACCACCATGCCCAACTAATTTTTATATTTTTAGTAGAGATGGGGTTTCACCATGCTGGCCAGGCTGGTCTCAAACTCCTGGCAATCCACCTGCCTTGGGCTCCCAGCAATCCACCTGGATTGGGCTCCCAAAGTGCTGGGGTTGCAGGTGTCAGCGACTGCGCCCAACCTGCATCAGATCCTTAAACATACAGGGGCTCCCGGTAATAATGAGCTCCATAATGCCTCAGAAGCCTGGGGCCCAAAGTTTGGGAACCACTGAGTCAAAACGTCCAACTTTAGAGCATCAACTCAGGAGTGGACATTGCATGGCACACACATGGTAGTATACACATGATTCCTCTGTTAGGACCACCATAACAAAATATCACAGATTGGGTGGTTTTGAGACGGGGTAGGGACGGCCCTCGGTGTGTCTCCTATTGTGCCACCCCCACTAATGCATTCCTGCATTCCTCTAGACATACCTACTAACTACCAGACCTTGTACCACCACCACCCTGGCACCTTACCTGTGGTCAAAATCTTGCAGCTGCTGCAAGCTATCTGAAGAAACGAAGATAAGAAGCATTCCACCATAAATCTTGCTCAAGAAAACTAACCCCACCACCCGCATACACACAAGGCCAGGAGAATGACTGATCCTTAATCCTACCATTATGATAATAGGAAAAATCACACCCAGGGGTGAAGATTTAACATGCTAATGAGACATGCGATGCAAGAAGAAGCATGTAACCGAACTGCTTTGCTGAGACCAGCTCAGTGGTGGAGACCCTAACCCAGTGGCGCTAGAGGAAGTAAAGACGCACACACAGAAATATAGAGGTGTGGAGTGGGAAATCAGGGGTCTCACAGCCTTCAGAGCCGAGAGCCTTGAACAGAGATTTACCCACGTATTTTTTGACAGCAAGCCAGTGATAAGCATTGTTTCTGTAGATTATACATTAACTAATAGTATTCCTTATGGGAAATAAAGGGATGGGTTTGGCTAGTTATCTGCAGCAGGATCATATCCTTAAGGCACAGATTGCTCATGCTATTGTTTGTGGTTTAAGAACACTTTTAAGCGGTTTTCCACCCTGGGTGGGCCAGGTGTTCCTTGCCCTCATTCTGGTAAACCCACAACCTTCCAGCGTGGGCGTCATGGCCATCATGAACATGTCACAGTGTCACAGTGCCACAGTGCTGCACAGATTTTTGTCTGTGGCCAGTTTTGGGGCCAGTTTATGGCCAGATTTTGGGGGGCCTGTTCCCAACACTGCTTAGGTGCCCCAGTTTTCTGCCTCTACATGTGTAAATGTCACTCCCTTCCTGCTTTTTGCCACTTTAAAATTACTCTCCTAGCTGTGCATGGTGGCTGACACCTGTAATCCCAGCACTTTGGGTGGCTGAGGCGGACAGATCACTTGAGGTCAGGATTTTGTGACCAGCCTAACCAATATGGTGAAACCTCATCTCTACTAAAAATAACAAAAATTAGTTGGGTGTGGTGGCATGCACCTGTAGTCCCAGCTACTCGGGAGGCTGAGGCAGGAGAATCGCTTGAACCTGGGAGGCAGAGGTTGCAGTGAGCTGAGATGTTGCCACTGCACTCCAGCCTGGGCAACAGAGCAAGACTCCATCTCAAAACACAACAACAAAAAATTACTCTCCTGACTCTCTTTGGGGAACCAGTCAGAGAACTCTCTCTCTTGTGCTGTCTTCTCTGTGTTCGAAAATAAGCCCCTAGGCCGGGCACAGTGGCTCACGTCTCTAATCCCAGTACTTTGGGAGGCCGAGGTGGGTGGACCACCTGAGGTTGGGAGTTTGAGAGCAGCCTGACCAACATGGAGAAACCCCATCTCTACTAAAAATACAAAAAATTAGCTGGGCCTGGTGGCACATGCCTGTTATCCCAGCTACTTGGGAGACTGAGGTAGGAGAATCACTTGAACCTGGGAGGCAGAAGTTATAGTGAACTGAGATCACACCATTGCACTCCAGCCTGGGCAATAAGAATGAAACTCCTTCTCGAAAAAAAAAAAAAAGAAAGAAAAGCAAAAGAAAATAAGTGCCTAGTAACACCTTGTCTGGGAAACTTGCTCTGCCTCCCATCAATTTTTATTACATGAAAGTTGAAGAACCTGTGGTTGATACCAGCTCAAACAAGAGGAATGTATTTTTTCACAGTTCTGGAGGCCGGAATTACAAGATCAGGGGCCAGCAAGGCTGGTTCCTGGTGAGGCCTCTCTTCCTGATTTGCAGAAGGCTGCCTTCTTGCCGTGTCCTCCCATGGCCTCTCTTTGGTGTGTGAGCAGGAAAAGAAAGATCTCTGGTGTCCGTTCATCTTAAAAGGACACTGCTCCTACCAGAATCCTACCCTATTCGTCTCATTTAACCTTAATTACCTCCTTACAGGCCCTGTCTCCAAATATAGTGATATTGAGGTCTGGTGCTTCAGCATATGAATGCAGGGGACAGAGAGGTCACAGTTCAGTCCATAATGCTGTGGGTCCACTCAGGGAGAAACAAGGAATTTCTCAGAGGAAAGGATCTTTGTGAGCTTGGCTGATGGACAGTGCTACTCACTAGAGACAGTAGGACGTGAGATGATGAGGAATTGGAGTAGACTGGACTGCATACAAGTGTCACTACAAGGGGAAAGCCAGCCAGATAACACTGGGTACCTGGAGCTGAGTGTCAGATATTGGAGTTGCAAAGTGTCTCAGGGATGCTGTCAGTTATAAAGGAGAAAAAAAAATCTAAAAATTCAACATACACACAAACAAGAGAAAATTCAAATAATGCTGGCTTCAAATGAAGGAAATTTTACTGGCTCATGTAGGTGGAAGCGTTACCGGTGGAGAGTGTCCAGGTTCTTGGCATCTTGCACAGAGAATTGGACAAAACACACAAACAAAGCGAGGAAGGAATGAAGAGATTTACTGAAAATGAAAGTACACTACCCAGTGTGAGAGTGGCCTGGGCATAGAGGATGAAAGGCCCCATTACGGAATTTGTGGGGGTTTAGGCCGGGCGCGGTGGCTCACGCCTGTAATTCCAGCACTTTGGGAGGCTGAGGTGGGCGGATCACCTGAGGTCAGGAGTTTGAGACCAGTCTGGCCAACGTGGTGAAACCCCGTCTCTACTAAAAATACAAAAAATCAGCCGGGTATGGTGGCACGTGCCTGTAATTCCAGCTACTCTGGAGGCTGAGGCAGGAGAATCCCTTGAACCCAGGAGGCGGAGGTTGCAGTGAGCCGAGATCGTGCCATTGCACTCCAGCCTAGCGGACAAGAGCAAGACTTTGTCTCAAAAAAAAAAAAAAGTTTGTGGAGGTTTAAATACCCTCTAGGGGTTTCCACTGGTCACTTGGTGTATGCCTTATGTAAACGAAGAGGATGAAGTAAAGTTACAAAGTCATGTACTTGACGTACGACTCGGCATACGCCGTATGGAGAGGATATTTCCTGTGATAGCTGAAGTGTGAATCGGCCTCATGTTCCCTGCCTCCAGACCGTATTTTCCTGCCACAGAAGTACAAAGATAGGGTAGACTTTTTGGTTGGTTGACCAAATGGCTGAATATACTCATCAAAGGCCTAAGGTCTTTCCATAGTGATTGCTTCTTCATAAACCTCTTCTAATGGTTTTAGGATGGCAAATTCCCCTTTTGTTGTAACACAGGGGATCTCAAGCAAATTTATGTGGGATTAAGACTCGCTGGCCAGGCACGGTGGCTCAGGCCGGGTGCAATGGGTCGCGCCTGTAATCCCACCACTTTGGGAGGCCGAGGTGGGCAGATCACCTGAGGTCAGGAGTTCGAGACCAACCTGGCCAACATGGTGAAACTCTATCTCCACTAAAAGTACAAAAATGAGCATGGTGGCGTGCGTCTGTAATCCCAGCTACCTGGGAGGCTGAAGCAGTAGAATTGCTTGAACCTGGGAGGTGGAGGTTGCAGTGAGCTGAGATCACGTCACTGCACTCCAGCCTGGGCAACAGAGCAAGACTCTGTCTCAAAAAAAAAAAAAGACTCTCTGATGCAATTACCATTTGAGTTTAGGAATCTGTGCTATGTTTGAAATATGAGTTATAAACGACTCTTAGCAATGACTTTTAAAAGGATCTAGGCCAGGCATGGTGGCTCATGCTTGCAATTCCAGCACTTTGAGAGGGTGAAGTAGGAGGATTGCTTTAGCTTGGGAGTTTAAGACCAGCCTGGGCAACAAAGTGAGACGCCCGTTTCTACAAAAAATTTGTAAAAATTAGCTGGGTGAGGTGGTGTGTGCCTGTGGTCTCAGCTACTCAGAAGACTGAGGTAGGTGGATCACTTGAGCCTTAGGAGGTTGAGGTTGCAGTGAGCTGCGTTCACACTGCTGCACTCCAGCCGGGGCAACAGAGTGAGATCCCGTCTCAAATAAATAAATTAATTAATTAATTGAAAGATACATGACTTATTTTTACCCAAGGATACCCTAGGCTCCTAAGGGAAGTCTGGCCACTTCCTTGTGTGTTTGAGCATCCCAAACTCCAAATAACACAGTCACTCCCACCCCAAGCACTGAGACACTCCCGAGGAGTCACAATACACTCTATAGGACGAGATGGCTTCTCTCCCTGAAACAATGTAAAAGCAACAGACCTTGTACTCAGCTCAAGTTGCAGAAAAGAGAAATAGTAGTTTTTTTGTTTCCTTTATTTTGTTTTGTTTTATTGAGAAGGAGTCTCACTCTGTCACCAAGGGCAGAGTGCAGTGGCACAATCTCAGCTCACTGCAACCTTCGCCTCCCAGGTTCAAGCGATACTCCTGCCTCAGGGTCTCGCTCTGTTGAGACAGGGTCTTGCTCTGTTGCCCTTCTGAGTAGCTGGGATTACAAGCCTTTGCCACCATGCCTGGCTAATTTTTGTATTTTTAGTAAAGACAGGGTTTCACCATGTTGGCCTGGCTGGTCTCGAACTCCTGACCTCAGATGATCTGCCCACCTTGGCCTCCCAAAGTGCTAGGATTACTGGCACAAGCCACCACGTCCGGGGTGAGCAATAGCTTTCAAGGCAGATCTTGGTGAAACCCCAAGAACTTAATATTAACACACACGTGTAACCCTGGACGAGTCATTTTACCTCTCTGAGTTTCATTCCCTCGTCTGTTCAATGGGTATAAAAATACCTGGGAACTTTGTCCGAAGCCAATTCCTTTCCTCCTAGAAGTAGTCTTTTCCCTGTGACCCAAAGGGTAAACATGTGACCTGATTCGGTCAATCATTTTATGACCTTGTCCACAGTGACTGGTCCAGCAATGGATGCTGAAATGAACTTGTTGAAGTCATTCCCTTGCAATTTTTCCGTTGGAACTGGAGGAGCAGAGGCTTTCTCTTACCTCTAGATGTGGAGCCCTAAGGATGGGACATGAGAGCTCTTTGGCCCCATTGTTTGACCTCATCTCTTACCACTTCCCATTTTACTCACTCTACCCCATCCACAATGGCCTGCTTGGTATTGCTCAAATCCAGGCATGCTTCTGCTTCAGGACCTTTGGACTTCCTCTTTCCCTTTTCTGCAATGCTTTTCTTCCAGACATCTGCAAAGCTGACTCTTTCATTTCCTTCAACTCTCTGCTCAAATGTCACCTTCTCAAAGACCTATCCTGAAACTCTATCCAAAATGGTGACGGTGACCCTATCCTTCTCTCTACTCCTCTTTTCTTTCTTTTTCTCTTTCTTTTCTTTCAACGGAGTCTCGCTGTGTCGCCCAGAGCTAGAGTGCAGTGGCATGATCTTGGCTCACTGCAACCTCTGCCTCCCAGGTTCAAGCAATTCTCCTGCCTCAGCCTCCCGAGTAGCTGGGACTACAGGTGTGTGCCACCACGCCCAGCTAATTTTTTGTTTTTTTAGTAGAGACCGGGTTTCACCGTGTTAGCCAGGATGATCTCAATCTCCTGACCTTGTGATCCGCCCTGCCTCCGCCTACTCAAGTGCTAGGATTACAGGCGTCAGCCACTGTGCCCGGCCTCTTTCTGTCTTTCTTTCTTTCTTTCTTTCTTTTTTTGAGACAGGGTCTCGCTCTGTCGCCCAGGCTGGAGTGCAGTGGTGCAATCTGGGCTCACTGCAACCTCTGCCTCCCAGGCTCAGATGATTCTCCCACCTCAGCCTCCAGAGTAGCTGGGACTAGAAGCAGACACCACTACGCCCGGCTAATTTTTGTATTTTTTGTAGAGGCAGGGTTTCGCCAAGTTGCCCAGGCTAGTCTCAAACTCCTGGACTCAAATGATCCTCCCACCTTGACCTCACAAAGTGCTGGGATTACAGGTGTGAGCCACTGTGCCCACCCACTCCTCTGCTCCTAATCTCTTACCTTGCTCTGTTTTTATTTTCCATAGCACTAACTTCTACCATATAATCTAAGTTTATTATTGTTATTTATATTATTATTACTCATTGCCAGTCTCCTACCCATCTCAACTAGAATATATGTTTCTACATCTATGAACACAAAAAGACTGATAGCAAACACACTAAAAGGTGACCTTTGGCTCTGTGTGTGTGTGTATATTTTGTGCATTTGTTTTCTAAGGTTTCTTTCTTTTTTAATTTATTTTTTATTTTTTTGAGATAAGGTCTTACTCTTTCACCCAAGCTGGAGTGCCGTGGCACAATCATAGCTCACTGCAGCCTTGACCTCCTGCACTCAAGTGATCCTCCTGCCTCAGCCTCTTGAGTAGCTGGGATTACAGGAGCCAGCCACCATGCCTGGCTCTAAGTTTCCTTTTTTCTCTCTCTTTATAATTTTATTATTATTACTATTATTTGGAGAAAGGATCTCACCCTGTCGCCCAGGCTGGAGTGTAGTGGCATAATCATGGCTCACTGTAGCCTCAACCTCTCCAGGCTCAGGTGATCCTCCCACCTCAGCCTCCTGAGTAGTTGGGACTACAGGCATACGTCACCATGCCAAGCTAATTTTTGTATTTTTTGTAGGGACGGGTTCTCACTATGTTGCTCAGGTTGGTCTCAAACTCCTGAGCTGAAGTGATCTGCCCACCTTGGCCTCCCAAACTGCTGGCATTACAGGTATGAGCCACCAGGCCCGGCCTTTTTAATTTTTTAATTTTTATTTTTTATAGAGACAGGGTCTTGCTATGTTGACCAGGTTGCTCTCTGTCTCCTGGCCTCATGCAATCCTCTCACCTCAGCCTTTCAAAGTACTGGGATTATAGGCATGTGCCACCACACCTGGCCTAGTGTTCTTTATTTCTTTTTCTTTTTTTTTTCTTTGAGGTAGGGTCTTACTTCCTTTGCCCAGGCTAGAAGTGCAGTGGCTTGATCTCAGCTCATTGCAGCGTCAACTTCCCAGGCAAACATGATCTTCCCACCTCAGCTTCCCTAGTGGCTGGGATTACAGGCACAAGCCACCACACACAGCTAATTTTTTTTTTATTATTACATTTTTAATAGAGACGGAGTTTTGTCACATTGTCCAGGCTGGTCTCAAACTCCTGAGCTCAAGGGACCCACCCACCATGCCCTCCCAAGGGGCTAGGATTACATGCAAGAGCCACCGCACCCGGTTCAAGTTTTCTTTCTTGAGCATTATTTATTTTATTTCATTTTATTTTTTGAGATGGAGTCTTGCTCTGGTGCCCAGGCTGGAGTACAGTGGAATGATCTTGGCTCACTGCAACCCCTCCGCCTTCCGGGTTCAAGTGATTCTCCTGCCTCAGTCTCCTGAGTAGCTGGGATTACAGACGTGCACCTGGCTAATTTTTGTATTTTTGGTAGAGACGGTGTTTCACCATGTTGGCCAGGCTGGTTTTGAACTCCTGACCACAGGTGATCCGCCCACCTCGGCCTCCCAAAGTGCTGGGATTACAGGCGTGAGCCACTGCGCCTGTCCTACTTGAGCATTATCTTTAACAGGTAAGAAAATCAATACTTAAAAAAAAATTTTTTTGGCTCAGCTTCGCAATTTGGGCAGATGGGAAAAAAAGTCTTGAGGAGGCTAAGTTCAGTAAATGATAAAAGGCAGTAAAACAGAGATGCAGAGGGTGGTGGCAGCTGGCATTGAGAACCAGCAACACTGGCTGAAAAGGAAGCTGTGAAGAGATGTAAAAACCACAGGTGAATGCTGCCAGAAATAAAATTGCCCAGCTTGCCTGGCTGGGTGGAAGGTAAATAGATAAGGTCAGGGAAAGCTTGCTGGGCTTATTCAAGGTCATTGGGCAGTGGGCCTTAAATTAATTGATCTTATTGTTTTTTCTAGTCCTAACCATACTGAGATTGACTTTAGAAGAGGGCAGCTTGAGCAGTCATTTCTCTCACTATGGCCAGAGTCCAGGGCCTGTGTCCAGTGGGTGTTGGTTCCCAGGCTGTGGAATTATGATGGAAAAGGATCGTTAGGACTGTAAGAGGAGTTAAATGAAGTGGCAAACTGGAAAGAGCCTATACTTTGGAGCGAGGGAGCACTGCCTTTGAATCCTCTCTCTGTCCCTTACCAGCCATGTTGACCCTGAACAAGTAACTAATGACCTAGCGCAAGATCAAAGGCCCCTTGAAAGTAGGGAATTAGGGAAAATATAATAAGTATGGCAATAAATTATACTTTTTAACAAACAAAAACAGAAAATAAAAGTTCTGGATGGGTGCGGTGGCTCATGCCTGTAATCTGAGCACTTTGGGAGGCCAAGGCACTTGAGGTCAGGAGTTCACTGATCACTTGAGGTCAGGAGTTCAAAGCCAGCCTGGCCAACATGGTGAAACCCCGTCTCTACTAAAAATACAAAAAAATTAGTTGGGCGTCGTGGCGGGTGCCTATAATCCCAGCTACTCAGGAGGCTGAGGCAGGAGAATCGCTTGAACCCGGGAGGCAGAGGTTTGCAGTGAGCCCAGATTGCACCACTGCACTCCACCCTGGGCCACAGAGCAAGACTCTGTCTCAAAAAAAATTAAAATTAAAATTAAAATAAAAAAATGAAATTAAAAAACTAAAAATTCTTAAAAGCAGCTGCTTTGAACAAACACAGTTGATTAAACTAAAAACCCTGCTATAACACCTTCTATTGTCCAGGAAACCTTGATGTCAGGGCAGGTTTCCCCACAGGTCTTATAAACACAAGTTTTTAAATCAGCCATTTCTGACTTGAGATTAAGTCTTTCATACATATGCTATTTGTTTTCTTATCCCGTTTTGGTTTCGCAAGTCTTGGCAACTGTCAGGTCTTTTCACAAAGTTCTCTAGTGTTTGAGGGCATTTTTTTGGGGGGCCTGGCCTTGTGTGCAGATGGAAAACAACTCTTTTTTTTTTTTTTTTTTTGAGATAGAGTTTCACTTTTGTCTCCCAGGCTATGGCTCACTTCAACCTCCACCTCCCAGGTTCAAGCGATTCTCCTGCCTCAGCCTCCTGAGTAGCTGGGATTACAGGCGGCTGCCACCACGCCCGGCTAATTTTTTTTTTTTTTTTTTTGAGACGGAGTCTCGCTCTGTTGCCCAGGCTGGAGTGCAGTGGCGCGATCCAAGCTCACTGCAACCTCCGCCTCCCAGGTTCAAGCAATTCTCTGCCTCAGCCTCTCAAGTAGCTGGGATTACAGGTGCCTGCTACGATGCCCAGCTAATTGTTTTGTATTTTTAGTAGAGACGGGTTTCATCATGTTGGCCAGACTAGTCTTGAACTCCTGACCTTGTGATCCACCCGCCTCGGCCTCCCAAAGTGCTGGGATTACAGGTGACAGCTACTGCGCCTGGCCACCCAGCTAATTTTTGTAATTTTAGTAGAGACAGGGTTTTGCCATGTTGGCCAGGCTGGTCTCGAACTCCTGACCTCAGGTGATCCACCCGCCTCGGCCTCCCAAAGTGCTGGGATTACAGACGTGAGCCACTGCGCCTGGCAGGAACACCTTTATACTTTCCTCCATGGGTCTGCAGGAAAAGGGAGCCATTGAAAATTGTGGGTTAAATAATAGAAAATAGTTTTATATCAAAACCCCCTTTACTTATTTATTTATTTTTTATTATTATTATTTTTGAAACAGAGTCTTGCTCTGTTGCCCAGGCTGGAGTGCAACGGGAAGATCTTGGCTCACTGCAACCTACACCTCCCACATTTGAGTGATTCTCGTGCCCCCGCCTCCTGAGTAGCTGGGATTACAGGCATGCACCACCAGGCCTGGCTAATTTTTGTATTTTAGTAGAGATGGGGTTTCACCATGTTGGCCAGGTTGGCCTTGAACTCCTGGCCTCAAGTGAGTGCTCTGGCCTCCCAAAGTGCTGGGATTACAGGCATGAGCCACTGCACCCAGCCCCAAACCCCCTTTAACAAGCAGTGGTTGGCAAGTTATCAAGACCATGGACTTTGGAACCAAGTTACATCTCTTGGGTTTGAATACAGGCTTCATCATTTCCTAGCTGTAAGACCTTGGGCAGCTGGGTACGGCTGTGTAATCCCAGCACTTTGGGAGGCTGAGGTGTGGGAATCACCTGAGGTCAGGAGTTCAAGACCAGCCTGGCCAACATGGTGAAATCCTGTCTCTACTAAAAATACAAAAATTAGCCAGGTGTGGTGGCAGGCGCCTGTAGTCCCAGCTACTTGGGAGTCTGAGGCATGAGAATCACTTGAACCTGGGAGGCAGAGGTTGCAGTGAGCTGAGATCACGCCACTGCACTCCAGCTTGGGAAACAGAGCAAGACTCCGTCTCAAAAAAAAAAAAGAAGACCTGCGGCAAATTACTTTTTCCTACATCCTAAGGTAATTGTGATAATTAAGTGAAGTAATATGTGTAGAGCCCTTAGAACTTTACAATATTTGTAAAACCCTTAGAAGTTATAAAAATTATTTAATATTTAAATAATTTAATGAATGTACTTAATTCATTTAGTATTATGTATAAATATAAAATTATTTTATATTTGTAAAGCCCTTAGAACCGTGCCTGGCACACAGTAAAGCTCTGTTTGCAAATAATATTTTGGCTCACCAGTAGACCACTAGTTCATACTGCTTGATGATAAGCTATTCCGCCTCATTCGTCCTTGACCCCCTAAACAGGTCTATGCCTTGGTTGCTGGGAAGGTGTGTTGGCTTTATTAACAGTAATAGTGATATGTCCTTTTACCAGGCAATTGCATGGACCAGTATTTATAGGGAAGTTTGAGCCCTGCCGCAGAGGGGTTAAGTGATGGGAAAATGCCTGCCATTTTCACATGCTGTTACAACCAGGCAGTAAAAGTCCTCAGAAGTTAAATTTTAAGTAATCAGACTGGCCACTTTCCTTCCTCTGGGAATGCAGTTGGGATGGAGGGCTCTGTCTCTAGTTGGAAAGAAGTCTGAAGTCCCCTCCTGTGTGGACACCAGACAACAGGTATCCCAGGGCCCTCTAGTTGACCAGCAATACTGTGGAATGAAGACACCCTCAAGTCACATTTGAAATCATTCCGGGTTCTTCCAGTTCAGCACCTTGACTGTTTTCCTCTTCACTGGGAAGGTGCTGGCAGCCTGACGGCCTTTTAGGCTTCTTTTAAGTTTGGGGCATCTGAAACCCGGCCAAGGTGCGGCGGGTAGTGTACTCATTCGAAGGAGAATACCCCCAATTCACTAGACGAGCCCCTAATTGGGGGTGCGGTGCCGGGCGCGCTCTTTCCTCCCCCTTTCCACCAGCACTGCCCTCAGTTCTGCTTCTAGCCACGCCCTTTCGCGTTCACGTCCAGCGCCCTGGCGGGATTGATTTGAGGACGACTGGACTGCCATTGCGCCTGCGCAGGGAGCCCAAGGCAAGAGCCGCTAGGCTGCCCTGCCCGAAGGGCTCAACTGTCAGTGAGCCTGCGCAGGAGGCCAATAGGCTGCCAATACTCCTTGGACTCCCCGCCAGGGCCCTGCTGTCAGTGCGCCTGCGCGCGGGTCCGGCGCCGAGGTTCTTGACTGCTGTGCCGGACGCCAGGTGTAGCCATGCAGCGAGCCGATTCCGAGCAGCCCTCCAAGCGTCCCCGTTGCGATGACAGCCCGAGAACCCCCTCAAACACCCCTTCCGCAGAGGCAGACTGGTCCCCGGGCCTGGAACTCCATCCCGACTACAAGACATGGGGTCCGGAGCAGGTGTGCTCCTTCCTCAGGCGCGGTGGCTTTGAAGAGCCGGTGCTGCTGAAGAACATCCGAGGTAGCGGCTCCGGAGGGGCTGAGGGGCGAAGGGCGGCGACCTGGGGCGCGGGCCAGGCGCCCTGAGGGAGGGGGCCCCACGAGAGGACCGAGGCCGAGGAGCGAGCCCTGCGGCGGGAGGCACCCGGGAGGGCGGACCTGCGCTGGGGGCGCCGAGGAAAGGAAGACCCGAGGCGGGGGAGGGAGCCCTGCGGCGGGGGTTCCCAGGAGGGCCTGCGGCATGGGGCTCCCGGGACTGACTCCCCGAGGCGGAGGAAGAAGACATGGGGTCGCCTGGGATAGGCGATTCGTAGGATGGGAGCAGGCTCCCGGGATTGAGGACCTGGGAGGGGCAGTCGTAGATTGGGATCTCACTCTCGTGGGTTTCTTCACTAACTTGCCACCCCGGCGCGGGACAAGCGAGACTCGGGTCCCTTTTTTTTAGTTAGAAGGAGATTTTTCCCCAGACCTTGGTGGGCGGCTTGCTGTCATCCAGGCTCGCGGGACCCCTCCGCGCTAACCGCAGCTCCTTGAACACTTGCCACATCAGAGGATGTTCTGGGGCTTTTAGGTTTCGGTTTCCTCCCTGAATTGAGGCTTTTCCTGAAGGGGAAGGAACTGGCTTGGTTAATCTCTGAATTCCCATCACCTTCCTTGGCATCCCAGCAGCGCCCGATAGGCGTGTGTTGACTGCACTTGCAGAACATGGTAAGGAACATGTTTTGCTCTTTAAAAGCAGGTTCCCCTCCAAAATCTGAACCTTGGGGTTGTTCAGTTGACCACTGAATCCCCAGCATGCCACAGTTTGGCCACATCCCCTGGAGAAGTGTTTAGGTTGAGTTTTAATCATATTTTACTGATTCGTATCCAAGCATCCATCCTTGTGAATTCTACTCAACTTTTTGTGGTGGGTGTGAGATTTGACTCCTGCCTTATATCCTCTAGGTGTCCAATAGGAAGGTGATTCTTTGGTGGTTGGGATTTGCAAATTTAGTAAATTTTTGCATTTGTTAGGTGGGGCCCTGTTTGGCTAGGTTGGAAACTGGGGTAGGAGGAACATTAGTGGTTCAGGACCCAAAGATAGCTTGAATGGGTATGGGAAATTGCATTTCTCCTTTTTTTTTTTTCTTCCCCCTTTTGCCCTTTCGTTTCCCTCCACTGCTGGGATGGATTATTACTTTATTTTCTTTGACTAGCAACAAGTGGAGTGAAGTAGTTCCATATTTTCTGTCTCAAAATGTGGTTGGCTCTCTGTTTCAGTGGTTTGTAGATTAACTCGTTACCCTCCAGAATGATGTGTGTTCCTTAAACCTACAACCTATTGCTATCAAAGACACTATGTGCTTTCATTTGGTAAAAACTGACCAACTGTTCCCAATTGCTCATGTCTTAGCTTCTGCTTTGTCTTGACCAAACTTTATTCGGACTTCTCTCTTCCCTTATGGGCCCCTCAACTCTTGCTTACCCCCAGATCTGACCAGGCAGGCACTAAAGCAGTGGAATATGCCTCCCTCTGGTCAGTTTCTTTTGAGAACCGGCTGACCACAGTAGGATGCTGTCCTGTTGGGCTACACTGCTCATTTTCCCTTGCTCGTCCAGGTTCCTATCCAAAGATTCTGCTTATTTCTGCTTGCCCGTCCTTTATCATATAAAAGAAGACCCTTTTTCTGTTGGATTCTTTTTTTTTTTTTTTTTTTTTTTTGAGACAGAGTCTCGCTCTGTCGCCAGGCTGGAGTGCAGTGGCGCCATCTCGGCCCAGTGCAACCTCTAACTGCCTGGTTCAAGCTATTCTCCTGCCTCAGCCTCCCGAGTAGCTGGGATTACAGGCATGTGCCACCACGCCCAGCTAATTTTTTTGTATTTTTAGTAGAGATGGGGTTTCACCATGTTGGCCAGGATGGTCTCCATCTCCTGAACTCGTGATCCGCCTGCCTCAGCCTCCCAAAGTGCTGGGATTACAGGCGTGAGCCACCGCGCCCGGCCTCATTTTTTTTTTTTTTTTAATTAGAGACAGGGTTTTGCCATGTTGGCCAGGCTGGTCTCAAACTCTTGGCTTCGAGTGACCATCCACCCACCTCGGCCTCCTAAAGTGCTGGGATTACAAGTGTGAGCCACCATGCCCAACCTCTGTTTGGTTCTTGGGCCTCTGTTTGATTATTTTTTAAAATTTATTTTATTATTTTATTTTTTTTCTGAGATGGAGTCTCGCTCTGTCACGCAGGCTGAAGTGCACCGGCACAATCTCAGCTCACTGCAACCTCTGCCTCTCGGGTTCAAGTGGTTCTCCTGCCTCAGCCTCCCTAGTTGCTGGGATTACAGGTGCACGCCACCACGCCTGGCTAATTTTGTGTTTTTAGTAAAGACAGGGTTTCACCATGTTGGCCAGGCTGGTCTCCAACTCCTGTCCTCAGGTGATGCATCCGCCTCTGCCTCCCAAAGTGCTGGGATTACAGGCGTGAGCCACCGCGCCCGGCCGGCCTATGTGTTTGATTCCTGAGCCTCTTGCAGATATCTGATATTGGAGCTTTCTCCCTGTAGAAATAGTCTTTCTTCTTTTCTTTTCTTTTTTTCTTTTCTTTTTTTTTTTTTTTTGAGACAGAGTCTCGCTCTGTCGCCAGGCTGAAATGCAGTGGTGTGATCTCGGCTCACTGTAACCTCTGCCTCCCGGGTTCAAGCAATTCTCCTGCCTCAGCCTCCTGAGTAGCTGTGACTACAGGTGCCCACCACCACACCTGGCTAATTTTTGTATTTTTAGTAGAGATGGGGTTTCACCATGTTGGCCAGGATGGTCTTAATCTCTTGACCTGATGATTCACACGCCTTGGCCTCCCAAAGTGCTGGGATTACAGGTGTGAGCCACCACGCCCGACCAGCAATAGTCTTTCTTTCTAATAAAGTTTCTCTTGGCCGGGCACGGTGGCTCACGCCTGTAATCCCAGCACTTTGGAAGGCCGAAGCAGGTAGATCACCTGAGGTCAGGAATTCAAGCCCAGCCTGGCCAACATGGTGAAACACCGTCTCTACTAAAAATACAAAAATTAGCCGGGCATGGTGGTATGTGCCTGTAGTCCCAGCTACTTGGGAAGCTGAGGCAGGAGAATCACTTGAACCTGGGAGGCGGAGGTTGCAGTGAGCCAAGATCCCGCCACTGCACTCCAGCCTGGGCGACCGAGTGAGACTCCATCTCGGAAAAGAAAAAAAAAGTCTCTCTTTATCTAAGTCCATTTTTTTTTTAATTTGATAAGCCAAGCACAAGGTACAGTGTCCCTTTTCTCATTATGGAATACAGCCTCACAAGAAGTCTGAAATAAGTTACTACACTCAACACATTTTACCGATGATGTATGCGAGGTCCAAAGATGTAAAGTAACTTTTCAGAGATCACACCACTACAAAAAAGAGCTAGATTTTTTAAGGTTAGGTCTTTGGACTCTAGAACTCATGTGATCTATACCTTAACAAGTATTCTCATCAAAAACCACTGGAGGCCTGGCCCAGTGGCTCATACCTATAATCCCAGCACTTTGGGAGGCCAGTGTGGGAAGATCACTTGAGCCCAAGAATTCAAGACCAGCCTGGGCAACATCAGGAGACCTCAACTTTACAAAAAATAAAAATAAAAATTAGCTAGGTGCAGTGGCACATGCCTGTGGTCCCAGCTACTCAGGAGGCTGAGGCAGGAGGATCGCTTGAGCCCAGGAGGTCAAGGCTGCAGTGAGATGTGATCGCACCACTGCACTCCAACCTGGGCAACAAGCAAAACCCTGTCTCAAAGAAAATAAAAGAAAATAGTCCAGAGTTCTGGAATTTGAGGTCAGGAAAGATTAGAATTAATTGTATAGAAAGAGAAAGGAAAAAACCCAACAACACACACACACACACACACACACACACACACACACACACCCCTCTTCCAAATCAGAGTATTGAGTGCTTTCCCAGGACACACACACACACACACACACTCACACACACACACACCTCTTCCAAATCAGAGTATTGAGTGCTTTCCCAGGACACACACACACACACACACACACACACACACACACCTCTTCCAAATCACACACACCTCTTCCAAATCAGAGTATTGAGTGCTTTCCCAGGACACACACACACACACACACACACACACACACACACACACCTCTTCCAAATCAGAGTATTGAGTGCTTTCCCAGGAGGTTTGAGAAAAATCAACACTTTAAGCACTCTTGAATTCACGGTTTTAACTTGTTAATTCTAAGAACAATAGACTTAGGTTTCCTTCCCTCCCCAACTCAAACCTTGTTAATTCTAAGAACAATAGACTTAGGTTTCCTTCCCTCCCCAACTCAAAGCTGCTGACCTGGCAAAACCCCAACAGGTAGTCGGGTTTCACTTTCCTTTTTGCAACTGGTTTTTCTTGGAACTAATTTACACAAATAATTTTGAAATTTTCACGTGATTTATCAAAAAATGCTTCTTGGTTTAGTTATTTAATTAAAATTAAGTCTTTACAAGTAGCAGATCAAAAAAGTGGTACTTGGCACAATCCATTGCCTGCAGTGGGTACTCACTTATGTGGATCTGGGTAAATGTTGGTGTATCCAAATTGAAAGAAAATGAAAAGCATATGTTGTATACATTGAATTTGTCTTTTTTCTTCCATAGAAAATGAAATCACAGGCGCATTACTGCCTTGTCTTGATGAGTCTCGTTTTGAAAATCTTGGAGTAAGGTAAGAATGAAGAAATAAATTCACGTTATAACCAAACACACTTTATCCATCTTTCAGGGACAAAGCCCAAAATCTCTGATATAAACTGTCCTCATTTTAAATCTATGAAGTGCTTTAAAACAGCAGAATCCCTTGCCTGCTGGTTTTGTTTGTTCATTTGTTTTTTGAGATAGTCTCTTGTTCACCCAGGCTGGAGTATCTCGGCTCACTGCAACCTCTGCCTCCCGGCTTCAAGTTATTCTCCTGCCTCAGCCTCCTGAGTAGCTAGGATTACAGGTGCCCACCACCATGCCCCACTAATTTTTTTTCGGTTTTTTTTTTTTTTGAGACAGAGTCTCGCTCTGTCTCCCAGGCTGGAGTGCAGTGGCGTGATCTTGGCTCACTGCAAGCTCCGCCTCCCGGGTTCATGCCATTCTCCTGCCTCAGCCTCCCGAGTAGCTGGGACTACAGGCGCCTGCCACCACGCCTGGCTACTTTTTTGTATTTTTTGGTAGACACAGGGTTTCACCATGTTAGCCAGGATGGTGTCAATCTCCTGACCTCGTGATCTGCCCGCCTCAGCCTCCCAGAGTGCTGGAATTACCGCGCCCGGCTGCCCCACTGATTTTTGTACTTTTAGTAGAGATGGGGTTTCACCATGTTGGCCAGACTGGTCTTGAACTCTTGGCCTCAAGTGATCCGCTTGCCTCGGCCTCCCAAAGTGCTGAGATTACAGGTGTGAGCCACCGCGACTGGCCACCTGCTGTTTGTTTTCGCTGTACAAATCCTATGTTTGCTATTACTGTTTATTCCTATTTTAGTTTATTTTTAATTTTATTTATTTATTTATTTATTGAGACAGAGTCTCACTCTGTCACCCAGACTGGAGTGCAATGGTGCGATCCCGGCTCACTGAACCCCCTGGGTTCAAGCCATTCTCCTGCCTCAGCTTCCTGAGTAGCTGGGATTACAGGCATGCACCACCATGCCCAGCTAAGTTTTGTATTTTTAGTAGAGACAGGGTTTCACCATGTTGGCCAGGCTGGTCTCGAACTCCTGACCTAAGGTGGTCTGGAGTTCTGACCTAAGGTGGGCCAAGGTCTGCCCACCTTGGCCTCCCAAAGTGCTGAGATTACAGGCATAAGCCACCGTGTGTGGCCTTATTCCTATTTTAAATAATGTTGCAGACAAATCTTCATCAAGTTTGTAGTGACCAACTTTTTACTCTCAAGTTCAGAATAATTGAATTATACACACTGGGAAATACATAAGAACCAATAGGGAAAAAAATGTTAGTAAGAAAATCAAGGCTACACCCCTATCTTGAGCATATTTCTAGGTTTTCCTAAAGATTGGAATATGCCCTGGTATTAGATTTAAAGACACTATGCAAAACAGGCACTTTTTAGTTGTATAATTTGGGAGAAGTCATTTAACCCTTCAGTTTCTGTACCTGTAAAATGGATAACAATAATGAGATGATGTACATAAAGTGTTGAAGCATATGATTAACGCTTAGTAAATTTTATAGATAGTGATACAGAAAATTAAAAAATTAGCCGGGTACTGTGCATGCACCTGTAGTCCCACCTACACTCAGGAGGCTGAAGCAGGAAGATCCCTTGAGCCCAGGAGTTCAAGGTTGCAGTGATCTATGATAAGCTCCTGCACTCCAGCTTGGGCAGCAGAATAAGACCCTGTCTCAGATAGGTAGGTAGGTAGATAGATACATATATACATACATACATACATAGTTACATAGATCCATCTCTGTGTATGGCTGTAGGTTCTAGGGTCTAGATTAGAGTGGGGCTCCTTTAATGATCTCAGTAGAGGATCTGGTGCTTAAATACTTCTTTTTTTTGAAGCGGAGTTTTGCTTTTGTTGCCCAGGCTGGAGTGCAATGGCACGATCTCGTCTTACCTCAACCTTCACCTCCCAGGTTCAAGTGATTCTCCTGCCTCAGCCTCCCGAGTAGCTGGGATTACAGGCATGCGCCACCATGCCCAGCTAATTTTGTATTTTTAGTAGAGACGGGGTTTCTCCATGTTAGTCAGGCTGGTCTCGAACTCCCGACCTCAGGTGATCCACCCACCTCGTCCTCCCAAAGTGCTGGGATTATAGGCGCGAGCCACTGCGACCGGCCTTAAATACTTCTTAAAATGAAGATTTTGTTTCTGTTAGAAAATTGGCAACAGTGGGGAAATATGGCCTTCTCTTCTGAAATTTTAGTTACATGTTGTTTGTGGTAACAGTAACCAAAGAATCAAAACAAAGGATTATACTGAATTACTTCCTGTGCTGTTGCTTAGTAATTGATAACAGAAGTACATTGTGAAACAAGATCACTGTAGAACATTTAACTGACTTCCAGTAAATATCCTTTGGATCAGAATCTCCAGGGACCTCATCTTAGCCCTTTCTTTTTTTTTTTTTTTTTGAGACGAAGTCTCACTCTGTTGCCCAGGCTGGAGTTCAAGTTCAGTGGTGTTCAAGTGATTCTCCTGCCTCAGCCTCCTAAGTAGCTGGGACTACTGGCATGTGCCACCATGCCCGGTTAATTTTTTGTATTTTTAGTAGAGACGGGGTTTCATCGTGTTAGCCAGGATGGTCTCAATCTCCTGACCTTGTGATCTGCCCGCCTCAGGCCTCCCAAAGTTCTTTTTTTTTTTTTTTTTTTTGAGATGGAGTCTTGCTCTGTCACTCAGGCTGGAGGGCAGTGGCGTGATCTCGGCTCACTGCAACCTCCACCTCCCAGATTCAAGTGATTCTACCACCTCAGCCTCCTGAGTAGCTGGGACTACAGGTGTGTGCCACCATGCCCGGCTAATTTTTGTATTTTTAGTAGAGACAGGGTTTCACTATGTTGGCCAGGGTGGTCTTGAACTCCCGACCTCATGATCTGCCTGCCTCAGCCTCCCAAAGTGCTGGGATTACAGGCGTGAGCCACTGTCCCCGGCATGACTCTTTCATAACCACATTTCAGCCCTCTCAGTCCTCTCAAAGTCCCCTTTACTACTTGTTTCTTGTACATAATAGTTGCTTACTATTTGACCTGAATGGAATTTGTTCTAATACAGTCTTTCTTTTCAAGGGAGCCATGTGCATGTTTGTGGACCCAAGTGCTATTGATTCATTCAGTGAATATTTTTGGAAAGCTCACTATGTACTAGGAATTCTTCCATGAATTTGGGGCACATGAGTGAACAAAACAGACAAAGGAACACTATATTGCAGTGTTCCAGAAGGAACACTATATTGCACGTCTCTGTGCCCCACCTCATAACTCAAATTCTGTAGGACTCCTTAGAGCTGTATTGTTCTGTATAATAACAACTAGCTTCACGTTTAAATTAATTAGAAGTAAATTAAGTAAAAAATTCCTCAGTTACACTAGCCATATTTCAAGTACTTAGTAGTCACTATGGCTAACGGCTACTGTGTTGGACAGAGCAGATATAGAACATTTCCATCATCGCAGAAAGTTCTACTAGACAGTGCTGCCTTACAGGTTGCCAGTGGGATTAGCCCTACCCACCACTCCATCCAGTTGCTCACAGTAGTACCAATGCAATCAACTTGTTAATGGACCTTTGTACTGTTTTTACCTAATTTCCTATTTTACCCTCCCTAGACCCCCCAATCCCTGTGCCCAGAGTTCACCCCAAGATTAATTACTTGCAAGCTCTTATCCTGGACCCTGCTTTCTAGGGAGAATCCAGCTTAGACAAGCACTCCTAGTAGGCCCTCAATTTTATGAACAACCATTGATTTATAAAGGTTTTTTTAACAAGTAAGAAACAGGCCAGGCGTGGTGGCTCAGGCCTTTAATCCCAGCACTTTGGGAGGCCGAGGCGGGCGGATCACGAGGTCAGGAGATCGAGACCATCCTGGCTAACATGGTGAAACCCTGTCTCTACTAAAAATACAAAAACAAAAAAGAAATTAGCTGGGCATGGTGGCGGGCGGCTGTAGTCCCAGCTACTCGGGAGGCTGAGGCGGGAGAATGGCGTGAACCCGGGAGGTGGAGCTTGCAGTGAGCCGAGATCACGTCACTGCACTCCAGCCTGGGCAACAGAGTAAGACTCCATTTCAAAAAAAAAAAGAAGTTAGATAGAAACATTGTCACGTTAAATATACATGTCAATTGTAAGAAGCATTAAATTTCAGAAATGTTGGAACACAGGAATAAAATTCTTTCATAATCTAGATATCCTGGCCCATGACTTCTTTAAATCTTTATTTAATGCCATGTCCTTTGCTAAACAAAACAACCCCCTGGTTTTGGGTGGTTTTATATACTCTAATCAGTGATTTTGGTTTTGTTTTGTTTTGTTTTTGAGTTGGAGTTTTGCTCTTGTTGCCCAGGCTGGAGTGCAATGGCGCCATCTCGGCTCACCGCAATCTCCGCCTCCCGGGTTCAAGCAATTCTCCTGCCTCAGCCTCCCGAGTAGCTGGGATTACAGGCATGCGCCACCACCACGCCTGGCTAATTTTGTATTTTTAGAAGAGACGGGGTTTCTCCATGTTAGTCAGGCTTGTCTCGAGCTCCCAACCTCAGGTGATCCACCCACCTCGGCCTCCCAAAGTGCTGGGATTACAGGTGTGAGCCACTGCGCCCGGCCGATTTTGGGGTTTTAAGCGATGAATACCAAATGTCAGTTTAGGAAAATATTAAGTGGTCACGGGGTTAGTTTAGGTTTGATATTTTATGCTATGACTCCGGTTTTGCTCAACTATGTGACTCCCCTTAAACTAAGTCCACCTATAAGTACTTCTGAAAGCCTGGCTTTACACTGTGCTTGTTATGTCAAACTGATGAGGAGGATAGGGGAATAGGAAAACACGAAATTTGCTGCTTTAATTTATCAGCTGTAATAATGCTTCTGTGTATCCCAAGATATTATTCTTAAGTGTTCTTATTACCATGGGTTCAGTGTGTACCATAGAGGCCAATGTAGTGCCTCTGACTCCCAGTCTATGTATGACTTGTAGAAAGATACTTTTTTTTCAATCTGGTTATCTAGTAGATCAGTAAAACCCTTTGCCTGCACTCTCTGTTGACACCCAGCCAGGAGGGAGGATGATATGCTGGGCCCAACTAGTAATTGTAAATGAAGCAGGATAATGAATCACAGGACTTCGAGCTGCTCAAATTTAATTCCCATTATGTATTTTCTTGAAACTGGAGCATTGTGAGGGAGTACTGACAATGGAAAATGAATATAAATAAAGTTAAAGCCTTCATATGTATTTCATTCATGCTTGAGTCATACCTGGTGCTCATAAATCAATCCAGGATTATGAGGGTAGATGTTGACTTCAGTTTGGTTAAAAGGAAGTACAGTTTGAGCATTGAGTAGACATGGAGATGTGGAGTTTTTCAAGTCTTAAATTTACCAAGAGAGAGGAGGGTCAAGGACAGAAGGCTGTGGGAGGCCTATATTGATTCAGCAGGAGAGTTCCCTATCTTAACAGCAAAGGAAGGAGAGAGTTTCTAGGAGGGGTATGTTTGAATTATTGATTGTTCCTTCCAATCTAACTTCTGTTAGTGTAGATAATATAAAGTTTATTATGTCTACTATATACTGCAGGGATTATTATTAAGCAAATAATGATAGACTTGCTTATCCTATTGTAATTTTAGTTCCTTGGGGGAGAGGAAGAAGCTGCTTAGTTATATCCAGCGATTGGTTCAAATCCACGTTGATACAATGAAGGTAAGAGGATCTGAGTTTGTTATGTTTTTTGAATATAAAGTGATATAACTCAATTATGTAAAATTCATTTTGAAGAGAATAGGAGGAAATCTGCTTCTCAGTGATAGAATTGTGAGTAGTGGATCTTTTCTAAACTTTCTGCACTTTCTAAAATGAGCACAGAGTATTTAAATCAGAAGAAGAACTAAAATATGTTTAAGCATACAGAAAAGCATAAGTAGACCACTACCCAACTTGTCAAATATTAATATTTTGCCTAATTTGCTTCAAGTCTGTTATTTTTAGAGCAAAATATTAGAAACTATTGAAGACCTCCTTTGTACATTCTTTTTTTTTTAATGAAATGTGGTCTTGCTCTGTCATCTAGGCTGGAGTACAGTGGTGCAATCTCAGCTCACTCCAACCTCCGTCTCCCTGGCTCAAGTGATCCTTCCATCTCAGCCACCCCAGTAGCTTGGACTATGGGTGCATGCCACCACACCTGGCTAATTTTTGTATTTTTTATAAAGACGGGGTCTTCCTGTGTTGCTCAGGCTGGTCTCAAACTCCTGGGCTCAAGAGATTGACCTGCCTTGGCCTCCCAAAGTGCTAAGATTACAGATGTGAGCCCCCACGCCTGGCCCTGTTTCTATTTATTATGTTTCTATCCTTTTCTCCCTAGAAGTAATAAGCATCTTCCTGAATTTGATGTTTATCATTGTCATGAATGGTTTTTACTCTTATTGCATATTTATGTATATCCATAAACAATGTATAGTATTGTTTTACATATTTTTAAACTTTATTTTTTTGAGACAGAGCCTGGCCTTTTTTTTTTTTTTTTCCTCTTTTTGAGATGTAATCTCTCTCTGTCACCCAGGTTGGGGCTCAGTGGCACTATCTTGTCTCACTGCAACCTCTGCCTCTCAGGATCAAGTGATTCTCCTGCCTCAGCCTCCCAAGTAGCTGGGATTACAGGCATACACCACCACACCCGGCTAATGTTTTTGCATTTTTAGTAGAGTTGGGGTTTCATCATGTTGGCCAGGCTGGTGTCAAACTCCTGACCTCAAGTGATCCACCCACCTCGTCCTGCCAAAGTGCTGGGACTACAGGCATGAGCCACTGCGCCCAGCCAGAATGTGCATTTTTCACAAGCTCTTCAGAGTGATTCTAAAACCATACTTGATGAAATGTTTCTTGTTTTGTTAGTGACAGGAAATAGACCTTATTTACTCTTTTGACATTCCTAGGTTAAGAAAACTTAGTTTCAGACCTGGGAGAAGATGTAGGATATCTTCTTTTTTTGTACTTTTTTGCCCGATCATCATTTGCATTTTTCACTTTTTTTAAAAAATAGATGTAATGTATAGTATTTGAGTTATTTCAGATCCCTCTCTATAAGAATACATATTTTAATTTTGCTTTTGCAAGTTATAGACTTCTTTTCTTTCTTTCTTTTTTTGAGATGGAGTCTTGCTCTGTTGTCTAGGCTGGAGTGCAGTGGCACAATCTGGCTTACTGCAACCTCTGCCTCCCAGTTTCAAGTGATTCTTTTGTCTCAGCCTCCCAGGTAGCTGGGACTACAGGTGCACACCACCATGCCCAGCTAGTTTTTGTATTTTTTTTAGTAAAGACAGGGTTCCGCCATATTGGTCAGGCTGGTCTCGAACTCCTGACCTCATGTGATCCGTCTGCCTTGGCCTCCCAAAGTGTTGGGATTACAGGCATGAGCCAACACGTCTGGCCTACCCGGTTATTTTCTTTTTCTTTTCTTTTCTTTTTTTTTTTTTTTTTTTTTTTTTTGAGAGGGAGTCTCGCTCTGTTGCCCAGGCTGGAGTGCAGTGGCATGGTATCAGCTCACTGCAACCTCTGCCTCCCAGATTCAAGCAGTTCTCCTGCCTCAGCCTCCTGAGTAGCTGGGATTACAGGCACCTGCCACCACGCCCAGTTAATTTTTTTTTTTTTTTTTTTTTTTTTTTTTGGTATTTTTAGTAGAGGCAAGGTTTCACCAGGTTGGCCAGGCTGGTCTTGAACTCCTGACCTCATGATCTGCCCACCTTGGCCTCCCAAAGTGCTGGGATTACAGGCGTGAGCCACCAGCCCGTTCTAGGCTTATTTTCTATTGAAAATCACATCTGAAAAAATTTAATGAACATTTTTGGTTCAACTATATAATAATGTTTTGTTGTTGTTTTGTTTTGTTTTGTTTTTGAGATGGAGTCTTGCTCTGTCTCCCAGGCTGGAGTGCAGTGGTGCAATCTCGGCTCACTGCAACTTCCAAATCCCAGGTTCAAGTGATTCTCCTGCCTCAGCCTAAATCAGCTTCCTGAGTAGCTGGGACTACAGGCGCATGCCACCATGCCCAGCTAATTTTTTGTATTTTTAGTAGAGATGGGGTTTCACCGCGTTAGCTAGGATGGTCTCGATCTCCTGACCTCATAATCCACCCGCCTCAGCCTCTCAAAGTGCTGGGATTACAGGCACGTGCCACCGTGCCTGTCCCTGTTTTGTTGTTTTGAGAGGGAGTTTCACTCGGTTGCCCAGGCTGGAGTGCAGTGGCGTGATCTCAGCTCACTGCAACCTCCGCCTCCCGGGTTCAAGCAATTCTCCTGCCTCAGCCTCCTGAGTAGCTGGGATTACCAGTGCATGCCACCACACCCGGCTAATTTTTGTATTTTTAGTAGAGACGGGGTTTCACCATGTTGGCCAGGCTGGCCTCGAACTCCTGACCTCGTGATCTGCCTGCCTCGGCCTTCCAAAGTTTTGGGATTACAGGCATGAGCCACCGTGCCCAGCCAATAATATATTTTTGAGGTAATATTTAAGGCAGTCAGTGGTTTCAATTGCCCACTTTTATTCTTTCTATTTTTCTGTAAAAAGAACATTGTTGGCTGGGTATGGTGGCTCACACCCGTAATCCCAGCACTTTGGGAGACTGAGGTAGGTGGATCACTTGAGCCCTTAAGTTCAAAGACCAGCCTGGGCAACATGGTGAAACTCCATCTACAAACAATAGAAAACAATAGAAAAATTAGCTGGGTGTGGTAGTGCACACCTGTAGTCCCAGCTACTTGGGAAGCTGATATAGGAAAATCACCTGAACCTGGGGAGGTGGAGGCTTCAGTGAGCCATGATCACGCCGCTGCACTCCAGCCTGGGCAACAGAGTGAGACCCTGTCTCAAAAAAAAAAAAAAACAAACCAACATTGTTTAACCTCATTTATAAATTATAAATGACAGTTGTTGGAAATAGATTTTCAAACTACTGAATCACGGCTTAGTAATGAAATCAATACCTTAAATGAATTTAACTTCATCAGCAATGCAGTTCAACAAGAATTGACCTAGTTTGCTACTCAGTTGCAGACCTCAAGGATTTCTACCCTAATTTCATACCTACCTAACTTGATACTTAAAACATAAATGCTTTATTGAGATATAATTCACAAGTTGTATGATTCACTCATTTTTAGTATGCAAGACAGTGCTTTTTAGAAAGTTCACAGTGTTGTTCAATCACACACAATTTGATTTGAGTTGTAAGAGCTCTTTATATGTTCTGGATGTAAATCCTTATGGGAGATATGATACACAAATATTTTTTCCCAGTCTGTGGGTTGTCTTTTTACTTTTTTGATGGTGTTCTTTGGATCACAAAAGTTTTAAGTTTTTATGTAATCCAATTTATATTTTTTTTGTTCATTTGTGTCTTGTACTTTTAGTGTCATATTTAAGAAACCATTGCCGAACCCAAGGTCACCATGGTTTGTTCTTGACACAGTGTTCTTTATGCTAAATTTAGTTCAGTTGGCCTCTGAAGCTGAGATTGTGTAATGGTGAAGAGGGAGTGCAGTGTTTGACATAATGAGGACTAATTTTTCAAATGTATCAATGAATCTTTTTTTTTTTTTTTTTTGAGATAGAGTCTCACTCTGTTGCCCAAGCTGGAGTGCAGTGGCACAATCTCAGCTCACTGCAACCTTTGCCTCCTGGGTTCAAGCGATTCTCCTGCCTCAGCCTCCTGAGTAGCTGGGATAACAGACGCCCACCACCACGCCCAGCTAATTTTTGTATTTTTAGTAGAGACGGGATTTCATCATGTTGGTCAGGCTGGTCGTGAACTCCTGATCTCAGGTGATCCACCCGCCTTGGCCTCCCAAAGTGCTGGCATTACAAGCATGAGCCACCATGCCCTGCCAGAAACCCCATCTCTACCAAAAAAAGAAAAATTAGCCAGGCGTGGTATAGTTCCAGCTACTTGGGAGGCTGAGGTGGGAGGATCGCTTGAACTTGGGAGGCAGAGGTTACAATGAGCCCTGATTGTACTCCAGCTTATGTGATAGAGCTAGACTCTGTCTCAAAAAACAAACAAACAAAAAAGACAGTTATTACAACCTGAAAAATTTACAGTGAAGGCTTTTAGGTCCTTAAATGGTTTAAAAGTAGATTTTAGCCAGGCGCGGTGGCTCATGCCTGTAATTCCAGCACTTCGGGAGGCTGAGGCGGGCGGACACGAGGTCAGCCTGGGCAATATAGCAAGACTTTGTCTCCACAAAGAATAAAAATAAATTAGCTAGGAATGGTGGTACATGCCTGTAGTCCCAGCTATTTGGGAGGCTGAGGCAGGAGGATCCCTGGAGCCTAGGAGTTTGAGGCTACAGTAAGCTATGATTGTGCCTGTGAATAGCCAACGCACTGCAGCCTGGTGAGAAAGCGAGACCCTATCTCTAAGAAAAACAAAACAAAAAGAACACACACACATAAACACATTGTTCAGCTGTACAAAATTATTTTCTTGCTTTTTTTCTTCTTTTTTTGAGACAGAGTTTCTCTCTGTCGCCCAGGCTGAAGTGTTGTGGCACAATAGTAGGTTACTGCAGCCTTGATCCCCTGGGGCTCAAGGGATCTTCCTACCTCAGCCTCTAGAGTACCCGGGACTACAGATGTGCGCCACTGCATTTTTGTTTTTAAAGATGGGGTCTCACTATGTTGCCTAGACTAGTCTCAAACTCTTGGCCTCCCAAAGTGCTGGGATTACAGATGTGAGCACCTGCACTCGGACCTGCATGATTTCTTATCTATATGGTAGAGGAATTTCCATCTTTCTTTCTTTCCCTGCCTCCCTTCTTTCTTTTCTGTTTTAATGATGAGTGCTGTATAGATACATTTAGAAAAAAAAAAATTTAGGCCGGGCACGGTGGCTCACGCCTGTAATCCCAACACTTTGGGAGGCCGAGGTGGGCGGATCACTTGAGGTCAGGAGTTCGCGGCCAGCCTGGCCAACATAGTGAAACCCCATCTCTACTCAAAATACAAAAATTAGCTGGGCATAGTGGCACACCCCTGTAGTCCCAGCTACTCAGGAGGCTGAGGCAGGAGAATAGCTTGAACTTGGGAGGCAGAGGTTGCAGTGAGCTGAGATCGTGCCACTGCACTCCAGCCTGGGTAACACAGTGAGACTCTGTCTCAAAAAAAAAAAAAAAAATTAGACATAATACCTATAGTGATATGGGTTACATGATGTGGATGAATGTGTTTAAATCGAAATGAATATGCATGTTTAACTTGAATACAAGACAAACTTATTAAAGACTAAGTCATATACATAATAAAAAATCAAAATCCTTATTTTTCTGTTATTCACATCCATTAGGAAGAAGTAAAATATACTCAAATCCAATATACTTGATCTGTCTGGTAGTGATACCTAAATAAGGTAATGATGTTAACATCTTGTCATTTCCGTTAGTATTTTTACTTGAAAAATCAAATAGCTTTGACTTTGCACTATAATTAGGAATGGCTGCACACAAATTTCAGTTGGACTTACATGTCGTTATTTGTATTAATTAAACATAATTTTCTAGGTAATTAATGATCCTATCCATGGCCACATTGAGCTCCACCCTCTCCTCGTCCGAATCATTGATACACCTCAATTTCAACGTCTTCGATACATCAAACAGCTGGGAGGTGGTTACTATGTTTTTCCAGGAGCTTCACACAATCGATTTGAGCATAGTCTAGGGTAAGAAGGGAATGGGGTGGGGAACTTGCAGTTTTTAAGTATTTTCTCTGTCTCATGAAATAGTTATCTTAGGCCAGGCATGGTGGCTCACACCTATAATCCCAGCACTTTGGGAGGCAGAGGTGGGTGGATCACATGAGGTCAGGAGTTCAAGACCAGCCTGGCCAACATTGTGAAACCCCATCTTTACTACAAATACAAAATTAGCCAGACATGATTGTGCGCACCTGTAATCCTAGCTACTCAGGAGGCTGAGGCAGGAGGATCACTTGAACCCAGGAGGTTGGTGGTTGCAGTGAGCTGAGATTGCACCATCGCACTCCAGCCTAGGCAACAAGAGCAAAACCCCATCTCAAAAAAAAAAAAAAAAAGAAAGAAAAAGAAAACAGGAAAAAAAAGAAATAGTTGTCTTAATCTTTTAGAGAATAAATAGTTTTACAAAATGATGATAATGTCCTTATTTTATTGATGAGAAAATTGAGGCTTTTTTTTTTTTTTTTTTTTTTTTTTTGAGACAGAGTCTCTTTCACTAGGCTGGAGTGCAGTGGCGTAATCTTGGCTCACTGCAACTTCGACCTCCCAGGTTCAAGCAGTTCTGTACCTCAGCCTCCTGAGCAGCTGGGATTACAGGCGCCCACCACCACACCCGGCTAATTTTAGTAATTTTAGTAGAGACGGGGTTTCACCATCTTGGCCAGGCTGGTCTTGATCTCCTGACCTTGTGAGCCACCTGCCTCGGCCTCCCAAAGTACTGGGATTACAGGTATGAGCCACTGTGCCCAGCCCCAAAATTGAGGCTTTTTATTTACCTTGTTGCAATTTATTTATTTTATGTATTCTTAACCACCTCAGATCTTTCCTGGAAAAATAATGAAAGTATCTATAGACAGGTCAGTTGGATTTGTTTTTAAATATTAATTAAAAGCTAACAGGGGCTGGGTGTGGTGGCTCACACCTGTAATCCCAGCACTTTTTTTTTTTTTGAGATGGAGTCTCACTCCGTCGCCCAGGCTGGAGTGCAATGGCACGATCTCAGCTCACTGCAACCTCTGCCTCCAGGGTTCAAGTGATTCTCCTGCCTCAGTCTCCCAAGTAGCTGGGATTACAGGTGCCCACCACCACGCCTGGCTAATTTTTGTATTTTTTAGTAGAGACAGGGTTTCACCACGTTGGCCAGGGTGGTCTTGATTTCTTGACCTCGTGATCCGCCCGCCTCGGCCTCTCAAAATGCTGAGATTACAGGCATGAGCCACCGTGCCCGGCCAATCTCAGCACTTTGGGAGGCCGGGGCAGGCGGATCACTTGAGATCATGAGTTCGAGACCAGCCTGAGCAACATGGTGAAACCCCGTCTCTAGTAAAAATACAAAAATTAGCAAGGCGTGGTGGCGCACGCTGCAGCTACTTGGGAGGCTGAGGCAGGAGAATAGCTTGAACCCGGGAGGCCAAGGTTGCAGTGAACTGAGATAGCACCATTGCACTCCAGCCTGGGTGACAGAGTGAGAATCAGTCTCAAAATAAATAAATAAATAAATAAAAGCTAATGGGTCGGTTGCTGATACAACTAATTATGTATATTTGATTATTTAATTTTTCTGTATTCTCTATTTACTCTGGTACAGAGTTGCTCTTTCAAACCAGATCATTTTCTTACCTGTCAGGAAATGCGTAAGTTAAAAAAGCATTCATAATCTTAGAGAAGGCGATGCCTCTGTTACATACAACTAAGCTGAGACGTTGGTCTGCATTTCCATTATGCAGTGTAGAGCCAGGAGGAAGTGGACAGGGAAGAATAGACAGTCTTTGAGATTTTCATGAAGTACTCACAGTATATTACTTTGGTTTTCTGTTTGTGTAGAAGCATTTTTAGTTAGGCACAACATGTGTCTATACTCAAATGTTCATTCATCAACAAATATTTATCGAACCTTACTAAGCCCTACCAAACCACAAAAAGATAACAATCGCCTCTGTCCTCATGTAGCTCAGAGTTCAGGGGAAAAGAATTTAGGAATGGCTCAGATGGAAGTGCTGGAAGTGCATTTAAGTACTTCATCTCCAATTATGTTGTAAACATTACAAAGCCAGATATTCCTACTTTAAAAAAAAACTGTGGTAAAATACACAGAATAGAAAATACATAGTCTTAAGTGTTTTTTAAGTGTACAGTTTAGTAGGGTTAAATGCATTCACATTGTGCAACCAATCGATTGCCAAAACTCTTATCATCTTACAAAACCAAACTTGCCAAAACTCTTATCATCTTACAAAACCAAACTTGCCAAAACTCTTATCATCTTACAAAACCAAACTTGCCGGGTGCAGTGGCTCACACCTGGAATCCCAGCACTTTGGGAGGCTGAGGCCAGTGGATCACCTGAGGTCAGGAGTTCAAGATCAGCCTGGGCAACATGGCGAAACCCCGTCTCTACTAAAAATACAAAACCAGCCGGGCATGGTGGAGTGTACCTGTAATCCCAGCTACTCCTGAGGTTGCAGTGAGCTGAGATCAGGCCAGTGCACTCCAGCCTGGGCAACACAGCGAGACTCCATCTCAAAAAAAAAAAAAAAAAAACACGAAACTGTATACGTATTAAACAACTCTTCATGTCTCCCCCCGCAACCCCCCGCAACCCCCTAGTAACTACCATTCTACTTTTTTTTTTTTTTTTTTTTTGGAGACGGAGTTTCGCTCTTGTTGCCCAGGCTGGAGTGCAATGGCGCAATCTCGGCTCACCACAACCTCCGCCTCCTCGGTTCAAGTGATTCTCCTGCCTCAGCCTTCCAAGTAGCTGGGATTACAGCCTTCCAAGCAGCCTTCCAAGTAGCTGCCTCAGCCTTCCAAGTAGCTGGGATTACAGCCTTCCAAGTAGCTGGCACCTGCCACCACGCCCAGCTAATTTTGTATTTTTAGTAGAGATGGAGTTTCACCACATTGGCCAGGCTGTTCTTGAACTCCCGACCTCAGGTGATCTGCCCACCTCAGCCTCCCAAAGTGCTGGGATTACAGGCATAAGCCACCGCACCCGGCCCTCTTTTTTTTGTTTATGAATTTGGCTACTCTAGGTACCTCATCTTAGTGAAATCATATAATATTTGTCTTTTTGTCACTGGCTTATTTCACTTAGCATAATTTCCTCAAAGTTCATCTATGTTGTAGCATGTGTCAGTATTTCTTTCCTTTTTTATTTTTTATTTTTTATTTTTAAATTATTTTTTATTTCCTTTTTAAGGTTGAATAATATTTTATCATATGTATCTACCACATTTTGTTTATACATTCATTTGTTGATGGATACCTGTTGCTTTTACCTCTTGGCTATTTTGAGTAGTGCTGCTATGAACATGTCTGTACAAATATATTCTCTTTCTTTTTTTGGGGGGAGGGTGGTGGGGACGGAATCTTGCTCTGTTGCCCAGGCTGGAGTGCAATGGCAAGATCTCGGCTCACTGCAACCTGTACCTCTTGGGTTCAAGCAATTCTCCTGCCTCAGCCTCCCAAATAGCTGGGATTACAGGTACCTGCCACCATGCTGAGCTAATTTTTGTATTTTTTAGTAGAGATGGGGCTTCAACATGTTGGCCAGGCTGGTCTCGAACCCCTGACCTCAAGTGATCTGCCCGCCTCAGCCTCCCAAAGTGCTGGGATTACAGGCGTGAGCCCCTGAGCCCAGCCAATCTTTTCAAGACCTACTTTCGTTATTGTGGGTGTATACCCAGAAGTGAAATTGCTAAATCACTGTGGTAATTCCGTTTTTAATTTTTGTGGAGCACCCATACTGTTTTCCATGGCAGCTACACCATAATACATCCCCACTAACAGTGCACAGGCTTCCAACTTCTTCACATCATGTCCAACACTTGTTATTTTCTGGTTTTCTTTTTTTAATAGTAGCTATCCTAAGGGGTGTGAAGTGGTATCTCACTGTGGTTTTGATGTGCATTCCTCTAATGATTGGTGATATTGAGCCAGAGGTCCTGCTTTTGGGATTCCGTTTGTGTGTGTTCCTGCCTAGTTCTGAAATATACTGTTCAGTAAAGTTGCCCTAAAGGTATGTTAGAATGTTTAAGGAAACATACTGAAGTTCTTGAGGACCAGAACTATCACTCCTCTTGCAAACAGAAAAGTGACTTTTTGTGTTTTTGCTCTGCAGGGTGGGGTATCTAGCAGGATGTCTAGTTCACGCACTGGGTGAAAAACAACCAGAGCTGCAGATAAGTGAACGAGATGTTCTCTGTGTTCAGATTGCTGGACTTTGTCATGATCTCGGTAAGCTGTACAAAGAGACAAAGTTGTTATGTAAAATCATAACATATGTTACCTCTCTTTGACGTTAAAAAATCAGATCAACCAAGAGAATATGGAAATTGTATTTTAATTCTTCAGTTGATGTTAGTATAAATGTACTGTTGCTTCTTCCTAGAATGATTCATAAGTAGAAAACATTGCTATTTTATTTTCTTGGCAACTTTCAGTGAATTTCTCATGTTAAACATCTTTGCTAAAGTGGTTTTTTTGTTGTTGTTTTTTTTTTGAGACAGAGTTTTGCTCTGTTGCCCACGCTGGAGTGAGTGGCTCATTATCGGTTCACTGCAACCTCCGCTTCCTGGTTTCAAGCAATTCTCGTGCCTCAGCCTCCCGAGTAGCTGGGATTACAGGCATGCACCACCATATCCAGCTAATTTTTGTATTTTTAGCAGAGACGGGGTTTCACCATGTTGGCCAGGCTGGTCTCGAACTCCTGACCTCAGGTGATCCACCAGCCTCAGCCTCCCAAAGTGCTGGGATTACAGGCATGAGCCACCGTGCCCGGCCATCATGTTTACTACAGGTTATATGAAAGGGCTTTTTGCTAGTGAGTTTTTCTTACTACTGCTTTTAGGATGATATGTGAATTTTATTTTTCTTTTATCCTTCTTATGCTTATTTTTTTTTTTTTTTTTGGTCTTTTTTTTTCTTCCTTTTTGTGGAGAACAGGATCTCGCTATATTGCCCAGGCAGGTCTCGAACTCCTAGGCTCAAGCTATCCTCCCGCCTCTCCTCCCTGAGAGCTGGGATTACAGGTGTAAGCCACCGCGCCTGGCCTTGTCCTTCTTATCAAATAAAATCACCATTTTTCCTTCGGTTATTTGGTGAAATCCATTTTTTTTCATATTTATAATCTCTAATCTGCCCAAGTGGATTAACACATTTAGAGAACTCCTTGTCTTTTCTGATCCATGTGAGGTCTTAGGCCACTTTAATCCAAGCAAAAGAATATAATCCTTTTCCTGTGACAAAGAGAAAGGGGACTGTCCCATTTATTTTTTTATTTTTGAGATGGAGTCTTGCTCTGTCACACAGATTGGAGTGCAGTTGGCACTATCTTGGCTCACTGCAACCTCCGCCTCCTGGGTTCAAGTGATTCTTCTGCCTCAGCCTCCCGAGTAGCGCCTGGCTAATTTTTTTCTATTTTTAGTAGAGATGCAGTTTCATCATGTTGTTGAAACTGGTCTCGAACTCCTGACCTCAAGTGATTCACCTCCCTTGGCCTCCCAAAGTGTTGGGAATACAGGCATAAGTCACCACGTTGGGCCGGGACTGTTCCTTTTAAATCATGGGGGTTTTTACCTCTATCCTTATAGTTTATTCCTACTTATTCAGGGACTCTGAGAGTTTGTGTGTACCCTCAGGGCAGGGGAAGGGAGGTGCATGCCACTGTTTGGATAGCCAGATACTTAAAGCAAGTAGGCACTCTTTTTATGTCCCCCGGAGACTTACAAAGAACCAATACCAGCCCCTAGATGATAAATTTGATGGATTCTTGGTATTTTGAGGGAGAATCATTGGGAAACCTTTGCCAGTCCCCAGGAGCCTGAGCACTGCATTAGCGAGCCTTTATGTGTAGCCTGTGACTTGCAAAGCAGGGCCAAGGCTAGTCTAGGTAGACTTCCCTCTCCAGTTAAGTGGCTCACTTCTTTTTTTTTTTTTTTCAGATGGAGTCTCGCTCTGTTGCCCAGGCTGGAGTGCAATGGTACGATCTTGGCTCACCACAACCTCCACCTCCCAGGTTCAAGCCATTCTCCTGCCTCAGCCTCCCAAGTAGCTGGGACTACAGGCACATGCCACCATGCCCAGCTAATTATTATAGTTTTAGTAGAGATGAGGTTTCACCATATTGGTCAGGCTGGTCTCAAACTCCTGACCTCAGGTGATCCACCCGCCTCAGCCTCCCAAAGTGCTGAGATTACAGGCATGAGCCACCACACCCGGCCAAAGATAGATTTTTTTAAGCTTGAGAGTTATAAGAGAAATTCTAATTTTTTCTTCCTGCACCCCAGTGGATTTTCTTTTTTTTTTTTCCCGAGACAGAATCTCGCTCTGTTGCCCAGGCTGGAGTGCAGTGGCGCAATCTCGGCTCACTGCAACCTCCGCCTCCCGGGTTCAAGCGATTCTCCTGCCTCAGCCTCCTGAGTAGGTAGTATTACAGGCGCCTGCCACCACACCCGCCTAATTTTTGTATTTTTAGTAGAAACAGGGTTTCACCATCTTAGCCAGGCTTGTCTTGAACTCCTGACCTCGTGATCTACCCGCCTCGGCCTCCCAAAGTGCTGGGATTACAGGCATGAGCCACCGCGCCCAGCCCCTTTTTTTTTCTTTTGAGATGGAGTCTTGCTCTGTCACCCAGGCTGGGGTGTAGTGGTGTGATCTTGGCTCACTGCAAGCTCCGCTTCCCAGGTTCACGCCATTCTCCTGTCTCAGCCTCCCGAGTAGCTGGGACTACAGGTGCCCGCCACCAAGCCCGGCTAATTTTTTGTATTTTTAGTAGAGACAGGGTTTTTACCATGTTGGCCGGGCTGGTCTCGAACTCCTGACTCAAAGTGATCCACCCACCTCAGCCTCCCAAAGTGCTGGGATTACAGGCATGAGCCACCACACCTGGCCCTAGTGGATTTTCTTGAAACTGCTATTTTAATCCAGATATTTTCAATCTGAAGATTTCAAAAAGTTTTTGGCATTAACATTCTTTTTAGTTACACAGAATTGTCCATTTATCAAGCCCTGTGTGGTGGTGCATGCTTGTAGTCCCAGCTATTCAGGTGGCTGAGGCAGGAGGATGACTTGAGGTCAGGAGTCCAAGGCTGCAGTGCATAATGATCATGCTTGTGAATAGCCACTGCACTCCAGCCTGAACAACATAGCAAGACTCTGTCTCTTCAAAAAACAACAAAAACTGCCCTTTTATCAGATTTATGTAAAACCTGGTGACTGGAGACTGCTCGATGGAGAGCTTACTTTTCCATGTTTCTGCTTCCTGTTCTCCTGTTTTAGAAATAGGAAGAAAGGGTTTGTCCCTTTTTGTGATTGTATTTTTAGATTATTAATTTCTTTTGCTATTCAAGTTAAACTAAAAAGATTAAAGAATTCAGTTTGGCTGAGTGTGGTGGCTCACGCCTGTAATCCCAGCACTTTGGGAGGCTGAGACGGGCGGATCACCTGAGGTCGGGAGTTCGAGACCAGCCTGACCAACGTAGAGAAACTCCATCTCTACTAAAAATACAAAATTAGCTGGATGTGGTTGCACACGCCTGTAATCCCAGCTACTCGGTAGCCTGAGGCAGGAGAATCGCTTGAACCCAGGGGGCGGAGATTGTGTTGAGCCAAGATTGTACCACTACACTCCAGCCTGGGCAACAAGAGCGAAACTCCGTCTCAAAAAAAAAAAAAAAAAAAAGGAAAAAGTTTTTGTTGGTTTACAGATGTTTTTCTTGTTCTAAGGCTGCTTTTGTTTTTAAGGTCATGGGCCATTTTCTCACATGTTTGATGGACGATTTATTCCACTTGCTCGCCCGGAGGTGAAATGGACGGTATGTATTCATACAGTCAATAGTCAATAAAAAGAAAGACTATTTAAGCAGGTTATTTAGTTAATTTATCTGTTTGGTTCCACTACTGTGTTATAAAATACTTCCCCATTACAGTGTCCAGGGTGCTTTCATTCACATATATATATATATGCTTTTGTTTGGTTCTCACAGTAGTCTGTAAGGAAGTTATCGTTATCTCCCTTTTTACAAATAAAGGAACTTGAAACTCTTGGATGTGTATTGATGCATCAAAAATCACAAAGCCGTTAAATACTGGAATCAGCAATACAAAACCAGTTGCCAGTTTAATACTCCTTCTGCTCCATTGTACTACTGTATAATAAAAGGCCAACTCCAGTTTTGACACATTTGGTATGACCACGAACTAACTTACCAGCCAAGTCATATATATTAAATGAATCATTTTAAAATTAGGCATTTGCAGGTGGCTGTCCCATATTTTGGAATCAATTTTTGAGAAGTAAAATTAGGTTGGTTTTTACTACACTGTATTTCTGGAACGGGAATAGAAAAAGGATATTAATATATATTGAAAACTTCTTACATGTCAACCACTTTTTTTTTCTCTCTCTCTTTTTTTGAGGTATAGTTCACATACAATAAGTTGTCCAGATCTTAAGTTCAGTGAGTTTTGACAGGCGTATACATCCATATGACTATTACCCAGTCAGGATATAGAACATTTTCATCTTCCTGAAAAATTCCCATGTGCTTTTTCCTAGTCAATTCTCACTCCCCCTCACCCCACCATCACCTTCTGATTTTTACAAACATAAATGAATTTTGTTGTTCTTAGACTTGATTAAGCAGAATCATATAGGAGGTCCTATTTTATGCCTTGCTTTATTTACTCAACATAATGGTTTTGAGATTTGTTCATGTTATGTGCCTCAGTAGTTGATCCTTTTTTTTATCGCCTACGTAGTGTGGCATTATGCAAATAAGTCACAATTTGTTTACCCTTTCTTGTTTTGTTGGAATTTGGATTGTTTTCAGGTTTTGGTTGTTATAAATAAGGTTGTCGTGCATATTATCGTACAAGATTTTGGTAGAAATACATTTTCTATGTTGTTGTAGTGTGGAAAGTTAATTACATTTTTAAAACAAGAAATACATTCAGCAGAAATACATTATTTTATAAAAATAAAAATAGATAAAATAAAGAAATACATTTTCATTTCACTTAGGTAAATACCGAGGAGCTAGAATTGCTGGGTCATATGGTAGATATGTATTTAATTCTATAAGAAACTACCAGAGTTTTCCAATGCGGTTGTACCATTTTACACTCCCATCAGCAACATACTGGAGTTCCAGTTGTTTTACAGCCTCATCAACATTTGACCTTTCAAATTAGCCCTTCTAATGAGTGTCAAATGGTATTTCATGGTTTGATTTTCTAATGTATGTTGAATACTATTTCCTGTACTTTGTACTTTGTTATTGATATATCTTCTTCTGCAAAGAACTCTCAACATTTTACTCGTTTAAAAAGTTTGATTGCTTGCTCTTTGATTACTGAGTTGTAGGAATTCTTTATGTATATATATGGTTAGGTATATGTATTGTGAATATTTTTCCCCAGTGTCTGGCTTGGCCAATTCATTTTTTCATGGTGCCTTTTGAAAAACAGACGTTTTCAATTTTGATGAAGTACTCTGGTTCTGCAAGCCAGTAAAATGGGTAGTTTCTCACCAGTTTTTCTGTCCTGGGGCCTGCCCTTAGGCAAAAAACCATAAAACCGGAATGTCACCCAGCACCTCTCCCTTCTAAGTATTGAGGTCTAACATCCACTTGGTTTTGGTCTCTCTCCAGGACCTTCAGGGAGTTGTCCAGAGCTTATAGTTGTTTTCTTCTGCAGTTGATCTAATAGGATCTTCTCAATCATTACCAAATCTATTCCTTTAAGCATTTTGCCTTTCACATTTAAATCCTTAGCTCGTGTACAATTTATTTTTGTGTAAGTATATGGGAGAAATCTTTTTTTTTCTTTTTTTTTTTTTTTGAGATGGAGTCTCACTCTGTTGCCCAGGCTGGAGTGCAGTGGTGCGATCTTGGCTCACTGCAACCTCCACCTCCTGGGTTCAAGCGAGTCTCCTGCCTCAGCCTCCTGAATAGCTGGGATTACAGGCATGTGCTACCACACCTGGCTGACTTTTGTATTTTTAGTAGAGATGGCTTTCACCATGTTGGTTAGGCTGGTCTCGAACTCCTGATCTCATGATCCACCCACATCGGCCTCCCAAAGCGCTGGGATTACAGACGTGAGCCACCGTGCCCGGCCGAGAAATCTAATTTTTTAATAGTTCATCCTATCCCCACTGACTGTAATACCAACCCCAACATTTATTAACTTCCCATATATGATGAATCATTCTGCATTCTGTTCTGTTTCCACACTTGTTACTTGGGGAAGAAAAAAAAAGAAGAAAAGAAATTTTTATCTGAGAAATATGAGCCCCTTTACATTATCAGGCCCAGAGAGGCATTGAAATAGAACAGCAATCATGTCACGCCCCCTTGAGCTAAATAATTATTATCTCTTGAAGCCAGCTGTTATGTGGGATGCCAGGTAACCATAAAATGCCATATATCCTGTACTTCATAATATGTAGCCAATCACTAACTAATGTTATTTCTGTAAGCCAGTGAACATTCCTGACTAACAACTTTTGTTATCACCTCCTCTTTGTGATCACCTCCTCCTCCTGATTTATGCTCTTTTCTTTTTTTTTCTTTTCTCTCCCTTCTGTCTCTGTCTCTCTTTTTCTCTTTCTCACTTTCTTTCTTTCTCATTCTTTCTCTTTTTCCCTTCCTTCCTTCCTTTCCTTCCTTTCTTTCCCTTCCTTCCCTTCTTTCCCTTCCTTTTCTTTCCCCTTCCCCCTTCCCTCCTTTCCCCTCCCCTCCCCTCAACAGGATCTTGCTTTGTCACCCAGGGTGGAGTGCAGTGGTGCAAACATGGCTTACTGCAACCTCGACTTCCAAGGCTCAAGCAATTCTCCCACTTCATCCTCCAGAGTAGCTGGGACTACAGGCACACACTACCATGCCCAGCTAATTTTTTATATTTTTTGTAGAGGGAGTGGGCCTCACTTTGTTACCCAGACTGGTCTCAACTCCCGAGCTCAAGCTATCTGCCCCGCTTGGCCTCCTAAAGTGCTGAGATTACAGGCCTAAGCCACCACACCTGGCCAGTCCTTTTTTGTTTAAAAACTTGAGCCTCTTTTGTTCTCCCCAAGCATTCCCCAAGGCAATTTGTAAATGTGTCCTCAACCTTGGCCCAAATAAACTCTCTATATTAAATATTTCTCAGCTCCTTCCTTTTAGGTTGACATACTTTATAATAAGATTTATGTTTTTATTTTTTCCTTTCTGTGGAGAACAGAGTCTTACTATGTTGCCCAGGCTGGTCTTGACCTCCAGACTCAAGCGATCCTTCCATCTCAGCCTCCCAAGTAGCTGGGGCCACAGGCCTGCACCGTCACACCTGGGTATTTATTTGTAGAGATGGAGTCTTACTATGTTGCCTAGGCTTGCCATGAAAGTCATACATCTTTGTTATACTTACTCCTAAGTTCCTTATAATTTTAGTTGTTATTATGGTCTGTGCTAGCTTTATGAAACTTAATTTTTTCTGTTTGCTAGTATATTCACAGTTGGCATTGATATATTTAAAACTACTATTTTGAAAATCCCTTACTTTATTTATTTATTTATTTATTTTTATTTTATTGTTTTTGAGAGAGGGTCTTGCCCTGTCACCCGGGCAGGAGCTCAGTGATGTCATCTAAGCTCACTGCAACCTCTGCCTCCCAGGGTCAAGTGATCCACCTCATTTTTATTTTTTAAAATACTCTCTCTTGGCCAGGCGTGGTGGCTCGCGCCTGTAATCTGAGCACTTTGGGAGGCCAAGGTGGGCGGATCACAAGGTCAGAAGATTGAGACCATCCTGGCTAACGGTGAAATCCCGTCTCTACTAAAAATACAAAAAAATTGGCTGGGTGTGGTGGCAGGCACCTGTAGTCCCAGCTACTCAGGAGGCTGAGGCAGGAGAATGGCGTGAACCCAGGAGGCGGAGCTTGCAGTGAGCTGAAATCACGCCACTGCACTCCAGCCTGGGTGACAGAGTGAGACACTGTGTCAAAAAATAAATAAAATACTCTCTCTTTATATATAGATATTTTTTTTCTGAATCATTAGAAAGTAAGTTTTGACCAGGCACAGTGGCTCATGGTTGTAATATCAACATTTTGGGAGGCCAAGGTGGGCAGATCGCTTGAGCCCAGGAGTTCAAGACCAGCCTGGACAACATGGTGAAACCCCGTCTCTACAAAAAAATTTAAAAATTAGCCAGGCATGGTGGGGTGGCAGGATTGCTTGAGCCTGGGAGGTCGAGGCTGCAATGAGCTGTGATCGTGCTACTGCACTCCAACGTAGGTAACAGAGTGAGAACTTGTCTCAAAAAAAGAAAGTTAGTTTTTAGACTGGACACAGTGGCTTACACCTGTAATCCCAACAGTTTGGGAGGCTAAGGCAGGAGGATAGCTTTGAGCCCAGGAGTTCAACACCAGCCTGGGCAACATAGTGAAACTGTCTCTACAAAATTATGAAAACATCAGCTGGTCATTGTGGTGCACACCTGTGGTCCTAGCTACTGAGAACGGGAGGATTACTTGAATCCAGGAGTTCAGGGATACACTGAGCTATGAATATGCCACTGAGCTCCAGCCTGGGTGATAGAGCAAGAGCCCTGTCTCTCAAAGAATGTAAATTGTTGAAATACTTTATTTCTAAATACTTCAGTGGGTATTTCCTAAAAACAACATTTTCTTATATAACCATAGTATAATTATCAAAATCAGTAAATTAATGTTGATGCAGTACTCTTATCTAATTCAGACTTTCAAATTTTACCAATTGTCCATATAGAAAAAGGGGAAAAAAACTTTTTTTCCCTGGTCCAGAATTACACATTGCATTTAGTTGCCATTTTTCTAGTTTCTTTTGATCTGGAGCAATTCTTCAGTCTTTATCGTTAGTGACTTTGTCATTTTTTTAAAGAGCAACTGAGCTATTTTGTGGAATGTTCCTCAATTTGAGTTTCAGTGTGATGTTTCCTCATGGATTCAAGCTATGCATTTTTGGTAGAATGCCACAAAAGTGATGTGTCCAGATCGGACGCAGTGGCTCACATCTGTAATCCCAGCACTTTGGGAGGCCAAGGTGGGTGGATTACCTGAGGTCAGAAGTTGGAGACCAGCCTGGCCAATATGGCGAAACCCTGTCTCTACTAAAAATATAAAAATTATCTGGGCATGGTGGTGGGCACCTGTAATCCCAGCTACTCGGGAGGCTGAGGCAGGAGAATCACCTGAACCTGGGAGGCGGAGGTTGCAGTGAGCCAAGATCACGCCATTTCACTCCAGCCTGGGCAACAAGAGGGAAAAAAAAAAAAAACAACCACAAAAAATTAGCTGGGTGTGGTGGCACGTGCCTACTTGGGAGGCTGAGGAAGGAGAATTGCTTGAGCCCGGGAGCCCAGGAGGTGACAGAGCTAGACTCTGTCTCCAAAAAAATCAGTGATGCATCCTTCATAGTGTATCATCTCAGGAGGCACATAAATCCTAGTTGAGCCAATACCAATGATATTAATTCTGCTTACTTGATTAAGGCATTGTCTGTCAAATCTCTCCATTATAAAGTTACTATTTTTCCTCTTTGTAATTACGTATATCTTGATTCAATTCGTTTTTTTTTTTTTTTTTTTTGAGACAGAGTCTCGCTGTGTCGCCCAGCCTGTAGTGCAGTGGCGTGATCTCGGCTCACTGCAACCTCCGCCTCCCGAGTTCAAGCGTTTCTCCTGCTTCAGCCTCCTGAGTAGCTGGGACTACAGGTGCATGCCACCACACCCAGCTAATTTTTATATTTTTAGTAGAGATGGGGTGTCACCATGTTGGCCAGTATGATCTTGATCTCCTGACCTCGTGATCTGCCTGCCTCCGCCTCCTAAAGTGCTGGGATTACAGGCGTGAGCTACTGTGCCCGGCCAATTTGTTTGTTGTTGTTGTTGTTTTTTGGAGACAAGGTCTTGCTCTGTTGCCCAGGCTGGAGTACAGGCATGAACATAGCTAACTGCAGCCTCAACCACCTGGGCTCAAGCAATCCTCCCACCTTGGTCTCCCAAGTAGCTGGGACCACAGGCGCATGTCACTATACCCAGCCAATCTTTTTATCTTTTTGTAGAGACAGGGTCTTGCTTTGTTGCCCAGGCTGCTCTCGAACTCCTGGGCTCAAGCAATCCTCCCACCTTTGCCTCTCAAAAAAATGCTAGGATTACAAATGTGAGCCACTGCACCCAGCCTGATTCTGTTTTTGTGGGTT